>NC_000017.11:11097171-11400201 GCF_000001405.40 Homo sapiens | reverse complement strand
TCAGCAAAAAGGTCAGGGCTGAGAGAGATGCCCAAGAGTCATGCAAGTAAGTACATTCTTTAAGGAAAAGTGTTAAGAAAGAGAATAGTAGAGGTTTAACAAGAGCTTGGAAAATGTGCATATTTGTGGAGTGATGGAAGGAAACTCTGTAGAAAAGAAGATACAGAAGGTACAGTAAAAAAGAAACTGTAATCTAGCAATATGAGAAATGACTTTCAAGCAAGAGTGGGAAGTGTATAGTATCACATTCTGAAGAAAAAATAGCAAGGAGAATGAAGACTAAAATAAAACCCTTAGTTATGGAGATTTAATTTTTCTCAGGGACCTTTGACAGTGGAGTTTAATTTATCTAGTTTTCTGCCTGGAGAGTTACATCATCATTTGCTAAAATCTCTTACCTTCTGCATGGCTCAACATTTCCATAAACGTTTTTCTGATTCCTGTCCTCCTGCATCTGCTACTCTAAAAAAATGGGGAATGGGCTGGGCGCAGTGCCTCATGCCTGTAATCCCAGCAGTTTGGGAGGCCGAGACAGGCAGATCACCTGAGGTGAGGAGCTCGAGACCAGCATGGGTAACATAGTGAAACCCTGTCTCTACTAAAAATACAAAAATTAGCTGGGTGTGGTGGCAGGCACCTCTAATCCCAGCTACTCAGGAGGCCGAGGCAGGAGAATCGTTTGAACCCAGGAGGCGGAGGTTGCAGTGAGCTGAGATTGTGCCACTGCACTCCAGCCTGGGTGACAGAGTGAGACTCCATCTCAAAAAAGAAACAAACAAACAAAAATTTTAAAAAATGGACAATGGATAGTCAAATAATTCCATACTTGTCAGTGACACAATATTGAGTCCTACACTCAATATTGATTAGTACAGTCAATTACTGGTTAGGGTTTCTCACACTTGGTGGCAATTCAGGGAGTAAATACAGCACTACACATAAGACCAGGCACTGTAGCCGGACAAGGCAGATTTCATTTCATATGAGCAGCTTCAACAGAGCTGCATTCCATTTCTCCTACTCTATCTTTCTGTTGTAAAATACAATCAAAACATTATAATCAGACAGCCCCAGCCTTAATTACCACTGTTATTCCTAGCTGTGTCTTTAGCATAACTGGAAAACAGAAAACTCCCAGATTTTAAATTACTTTTAATAAAATAAGAAAAAAATATACAGCAAGTGATCTTTCCACTCCTGCTACAATCCTTGTGGTGAGCAAGACAGTCTGGAAAAAAAAAAAATAACCTAGGTAGAAGATAGAAGAGGTGAAATAACAGCAGGCCCAAGAATGATCAAAAGTACTATTGGGACCCGGTGTGGTGGCTCATGCCTGTAATCCCAGGACTTTGGGAGGCCAAAGCAGGTAGACCACAAGGTCAAGAGATCGAGACCATCCTGGCCAACATGGTGAAACCCCATATCTACTAAAAATACAAAAATTAGCTGGGCGTGGTGGCACACACCTGTAGTCCCAGCTACTTGGGAGGCTGAGGCAGGAGATTTGCTTGAACCCGGGAGACGGAGGTTGCAGTGAGCTGAGATCGCGCTACTGTACTCCAGCCTGGCAACAGAGCGAGAGTCTGTCAAAAAAAAAACAACAAAAAAACAAGCAAACAAAAAAACCTACTGTCGGAATGCGGAAGTTCATCCTAAGTATGAAAATACTGGAAAAGTGTCCTGGTAGGTCAGAGTATTGATTACATGCAACTCAAAGTAACAGTCTTCTGAATGAGAAGAAAGTAAAATAGGGAAAGAAGCACTCTGGAGATTGTTCATTAAAGAAAAGGAGGCATAGAAGTGGGGAGTAGTGGCATCCTGTAAGACGAAAGAGGACCAAAAAAATCAGAGGACACATAACTACTTCCTCATCATCATCATCACCATCATATCCATTAATAAAATTGTATTTTTTGTACTAATAGAAGAGGATGCCTTTTTAAAATACGAATAGTATATACAGCTATAAATTTTTAAAGGGATAAAAATATGAATAAACATATACTAATCTATTGTTAAAAATGTAAAATGAGACTCCAAATCCAAACTCCTATACTGACAACAATTTTCTCCCAAAATTACGCAAAACTAACCATGAAGCAGGAGAAAATCTAACACAATACTTGGAAATGAATTAAACAGCCTTAAGGACACATTTGTAGTTATTAAGAAAAAAAAGTTTTAAAACAGAAATTCAAAAATTAAAAACAACCAGCAGAAAGGAAAAATTTAAAAAGAATTAATTGAACTTGAGAAAGAAATGAAAGAAAAAGACAAAATGAGGACTAATGTACAAGATGCCTAAGGGGGGGCTCTAATCTCCCTTGGATATGACACTAAGGTACGTATGAAAAAAGCCCACCAGGTACCTGGAAAATGTACTCGGAATCATCAACTCTGATGTCCTAGCAAAACCAAGACTTCAAAGAGAAAGAAAAAAATTCTCAAGCCTTTTAAACAAAAAGATCAAATAACTTATAAGATGAGAAGAATTTAACTGTCATCAGACGTCTCAAAAAAAAAAAAAGTAACATAGAAAGCAAGGCAACAATGGGACAGCATTTTCCAGGAAAAGAAGGTGTGAACCTAGAATTTCAAAACCAGGCAGATTGCCTTCAGGTGTCAAGTACGTAAAACAACAGTTTCAACACACAAGAACTCAGGGAATTATGCATCCACAAGCCCTACTTGAGCAATCTGTTGGAAGATAAACTCCAGCCAAGAGAGGACTGGGCAAACTTCAGAGAAAAAACAAAATTAAAAGGTAGTGAACACACACACACACACACACACACACACACACACAGAGGCAGGTAAGAGAGTAGACATTTAGCACCCAGATGCTGTATGTGACAAAGTAGAAATAATGCAACTAAAAACTGGAAAGAGAAAGGAGGCAGGAAAAAAAAGTAGAATAATCACATTGATTGTTGTATAGGCAGGAAGTGTAAGTTAAGAAATACCAATAAAATTGATAAACTAGTTTTACAAAGTTAAATACAAGCACTTGGAACTAAGTAGTATTTAAGAAGTAAGTACAAAGGTAACTACTAGGAAAAAAACATATGAAAATCTACCTAAAAGTCAACATTTTAAAATATAAATGAAACAGCTAAAAATGTACAGCTTGTAAAAAAATTTAAGTTAATAAACTACCCTACCTAAAAGTTCTAGGCCCCGATGGTTTCATAGGAGAACCGTTTCCAGCCTACAAAAACCAGAGAGCCACTATGTTGTACATATGGGTTCCAGAGCATTGAAAATGGAGGGGAATTTCTAATTCTTTTTTTAAAATTTTACTTTAAGTTCTGAGATACATGTGCAGAACGTGCAGGTTTGTTACATAGGTATCCACGTGCCAGGTTGGTTTGCCGCACCTGTCAACCATCATCTAGGTTTTAAGCCCCGCATGCATTAGGTATTTGTCCTAATGCTCTCCCTTCCCTTGCCCCCCAACCCCCAACAGGCCCTGGTGTGTGATGTTCCCTTCCCTGTGTCCATGTGTTCTCATTGTTCAGCTCCCACTTATGAGTGAGAATATGTGGTGTTTGGCTTTCTGTTCCTGTGTTAGTTTGTTGAGGAACGCTTTTACACTGTTGGTGGGAGAATAAATTAGTTCAACCGTCGTGGAAGACAGTGTGGCGATTCCTCAAGGATCTAGAACCAGAAATTCCATTTGACCCAGCAATCCCATTACTGGGTATACACTCAAAGGATTATAAATCATTCTACTATAAAGACACATGCACACGTACGTTTATTGCAGCACTGTTCACAGTAGCAAAGACTTGGAACCAACCCTAATTCTTTTAATAAAGCAAGTATAACATTGATACTAAACAGGATAAAGACAGTATGAGAAAGAAAACTATCAACCAGTATCATTCATGAATATTGACACAAAAATGCTAAATGAAATATTAGCAAACAGTATCCAATACTATATTAAGAAAATAAAACAACATGGGATTTATTCCAAGACTGCAAGATTAGGTCAATATTAGGAAATCCATTTAAATTATAAAACAAAAAAACAGATCTAAGGGGAAAGTCTATGATGATCTCTACAGATGCTGAAAAAGCTTTTGACAAAATTCAGTATCCATTCTTGATTAATAAAAAAACTCAAGACAATAGGAACTGAAGGATAATTTCTCAACATGAATTCTTGTGAATCAATCTGTATCTATCTATCTAGCATCTCTGTCTATCTACCTTAGTCATAAAGACAGGATCTTAATGGAAACGCTCTGGAGGGATTTCCACTAACATCAGAAACAAAGCAAAGATGCCCTTTATCTTCTCTACTATTCAACATTTTACTAGTGGCATTAATCCAATGCAATCAGACAATAGAGAAGCATAACTGTAAAGAAGTAAAACTGGCCGGGCACGGTGGTTCAGGCCTGTAATCCCAGCACTTTGGGAGGCCGAGGCTGGTAGATCACTTGAGATCAGGAGTTCGAGACCAGCGTGGCCAACATGGTGAAACCCTGTCTCTACTATAAATACAAAAATTAGCTGGGCGTGGTGGTGGGCGCCTGTAATCCCAGCTACTTGGGAAGCTGAGGCAGGAGAATCGCTTGAACCCGGGAGGCGGAGCTTGCAGTGAGCTGAGATCATGCCACTGCACTCCAGCCTGGGCAACAAGAGCAAAACTCCGTCTCAAAAAAAAAAAAAAAAAAAAAGTAAAACTGCCTGTATTTGCATATAATATGATAGCATACCTAGGATGCCAATAATAAAAATAAGCAATAAAAGAAATCAGTAAGGTAGCAGAATATAAAATTAACACAAGGAAATCGATAGCCTTCATATATTCAAGCATAAACAGTTAGAGGGCCTGTGGCAGAGAAACCTCATTTACAGACAGCAATGATGATCAGCTACTTAGAAATAAACCTAAACATGTGATCCCAGACCAGGAAAAACATTTTTCTTTTTACACTAGTGGTACGTTTGAATAAACACTTTAGATTATGTACTGGTATTGTATCAATGATAATTTTTCTGATTTTGATAAGCATACTGTGGCTGTGTAAAAGAATGTCCTTGAGTTTAAAAAAATACATATGTACTTAGAAATAAAGGGCCATCGTGTGAATCCAGGAGGCAGAGCTTGCAGTGAGCCGAGATCGCGCCACTGCACTCCAGCCTGGGCAACAGAGCGAGACTCTGTCTCAAAAAAAAAAAAAAAAAAAAAGAAAAGAAAAAAAAATAAAGGGCCACCATATCTGAAATTTACTCTCAAATATTTCAGAAAAACAATTATAAAACAATATATACATATAGTTGCAAAACTGTACATGTTTATAATGTATGTATGTGTATATTTGTGTATATATTATACGTAATGAAAAAGAGAGACAGAGACTAAAAGAAGCAAAAAGATAGAAAATGATAAACCAAATGTGTTAAAATGTTAAAATTTGGAAAATTCGAAGGGTATACAGGAATTATCTGCACCGTTATTCTTTTATATATGTCTGAAATTGTTTCTAAATAAAAACATTAAAAAATCAATAAAAATAAAGTTGTGGGCCTAAAACTGGCTATATAAATGATGGTATAATAGCATATACGATTAAGCAGTCATGGGGGAGGTGCAGAATTGAGCTAAAGCTGTAGGTGTAGATATCAAATGATCTACAAGGAATATTAAGCTGAAAAAGGCAATATGCAGACTTTTGTGTTCAAAAATGTATATGATTGAGTGGTAATAGGTTCATAAAAGGTACAGAGATGACTCAATTAAAGGGGCACCAACTTTGACAGAGGTGGAAGGGACTGTCTTAGCACAGATGCATTGTGTCTCAGCACATATGCAGGAGTCCTGGAATATTAGAAATGAAAAATATCTTCTCAAAAATTTACAGGTACGGAGGTGCAGACTCAGAAAGATGAAGCAATTTTCTAATACTACATTTACCTGGAAGTTCTCAGGTCTCTTGACTCCCAGGTTGGAGTTGTTTCAATTTATCCATCCATCCATCCACTCATTCTGTAGTGAATATCCACTGGGCATCAAATATGTGCCAGGCACTGTGCTAGCCATAGGGAACACAGTGGTCAACACTCCAGATATGGTCCTTGCTCACACAGGGGCAAAGACAGGCATTAGGCAAGACAGCATACAAGTTAAAAATAATTTTTTGAAGAGTATGATAAAGAAAATATTATGAAAGATATAATTTTCACTTAAGGGCCAAGGAAGACTTACTAGAGAAAGGAAAATTTAGGCAGAGACCTGGACGATGAGTATATTGGTTCAATAAGTACCAAAGTGGAAGAACATTCCAGACAGAAGAACAGCCTGTGCAAAGGCCCTAAAAAGGGAAGAGCAGAAAAGAAACCAATTTTGGCTAGAGTGCAGTGAGCAAGAAGGACAGCAGCAGAGCAAGATGCCTGGGTGTTAAGCAAGGGCTAGATGATGTAGAGCCTTGTTTGCTTTGATTCTGAGTCATGTTTTTTACCACAGAATAGAGGAATGAAAGAAGAGTAGGTGCATCTTGCCATTTCAGAGTTTTGAGCTCAGCATTTTTATGATGGGCAAGCACTGTTCCAAAGAGTTAGGGTTAATATATATATATAAGATTCTGGCTCAAATAAATAACCTAAGTAATAACAATAGAGCTGAGCTTTAGAAAGATTACACTGGAATACATTAGGTTAGGAAGGTACATTGGAGCAAATTTGGTTAAATGAGGTAGAATGAGTTAGATCAGTCTGGCTGCTCAGTAGAGGACAGGATGTGGGTGAAGGGTGGGCAGTGGAAATGGAACTGCATGGAGGAGACCTTTGCAACTCATCTGGATGGGAAGCAGAGGAGGTACAGACTAGGATCCTGGCTAAGAAGGGGGCAAATGGTGTGTAAGTTCAAGAGAATGAAATAGAATGGTAACGGACTTGGATGCAGGCAGTGAGAGAGAGAAAGATGTCAAGGATAGTGTGCAGTGTGTAGAGTGCTGCTTGAGCAACTGTATAGCTAGTGGAGCCATTTACCAAGGTGGGGAACACTAGGGGAAGAGGAATTTGGAGGAAAAGGACCAAGGCCCAATACCTCAATAAATGCCCAGATATCTTCTTAAAGGGGATCTCCTGAAGACTAGGAATGTCTCATATCTAAAGAAAAGGCTAAGATGACAGAATTTGTGTAGAACAATAGGCTTAGGGGCAAATGCTCAAGAGCGAGGCTTCCCCAGAACCTCTCAATTCGCACAAAAAGGGGGTTACTGATTCTACTCATTTGGTCCACTGGTACCCCACCTCCCACCTGATGCTGCCAAAGAACCTGCCTTATTCAGCCCCAGCCATGTAGGGCCTTCTTTGTGGATCCTGGCTTGGGGCTCCATTCCCTCACTGCCCACTTGTCTACATTTGTGGCTCTCTCCTTGGTTTTTCACTGTGGGAACAATGTCTTCATTGCATAAGCGTAAGCTTCTCTCTAATCTGCTACACCCCAATCTGGGCATAGCTCATGTCTTAGTCCATTTTGTGTTGCTGTATCAGAATACCTGAGGCTGGGTAATTTATAAAGAAATGAGGTTTATTTCGCTCACGATTCTGGTGGCTGCAAAGTCCAGGACTGGGCAGCTATATCTGCTGAGGGGCTCATGATGCTTCCATTCATGACAAAGCAAAGCGGGGTCTAGGTGTGTATGGAGATCACATGGCAACAGAGGAAGCAAGAGAGCATCTAGGAAGCAAACTCACTTTTATAATAACCCATTCTCAGGAAATTAATCCAGTTCTGTGAGAGAAAGAACTCACCCCGATGGGACAACAATAATCTATTCCTGAGGAATCCTCCCCCAAGAGCCAACACCCCTCTACTAGGCTCCACCTCCTAACACTGCCGCACTGAGAGTCAAATTTCAACATGAGTTTTGGCACAGCAGCTAATGACTATGCCATGGCCCTATCTATTTTGGTTAAATGGATTCAGGGCTCAGGCGTTCAACTGCTCTTAGTGAAAAACCAGAAAACCATTACATTTCCCCAGAATTACTCCCCCAGGACAGAAGAAAAAAAAAAGATTCACTGGGAAGCAGATGAAGAGAACAAGAGTCTGACATCAATCCTATTCAAGGAATGAATACTTTATGAGCTCTGGCCCCTCTGAACCCAAACTGCACATTTTTGAATTCCTTGTGGAAGGGCCTTCAGGTATGAACTACGAACAATCTGCTATTAACCTTAGAAAAAAGCCACTTCTTTTCAGTCCTATGTTCATATTGGGAGGGTCTTATTACTGGTAAACAAGGATATGAATGGTCCAAGACTCAGAGTGGCAGAAGAATAGACTGCTCTGAGAACACATGGGGTGTTCAAACTCAAAGACATCCTCTGGGGGAAAAGCTCCCCACCTTATTCGATGCAGTAGGCCGACATTTAGGAAGTGTCTTACCTTGAAACTATCCCAGAATGTCGGACAATAAAGGGTCTTATCAATCTTCAATGCTCTGATTTACATGAGGAAACTGAGGCCTGCAACAGTGAAACTATCCATGATTGGGGCCATGGTTGAGTCTCTGGGGAGCACGAAATCCATAAACCCACTCAACTCCCTTCAGCTCTGCAGTCTGAGCTGCACCACAATTCACACAAACGGGGACAGTCGTGCTGAGAAGAGTAGAGGTGAGGGGAGTTGAACATCAGTTTGTAGTCCATCTCTGTCCATGGAGTCAGCCACACACAGAGGTCTGCTTTTTGCGTGCTGCTTTGCTCCTTAGTTCTGTTCTTAAAGGCAGAAGTGTAACAAGGAGGAAGAGGGCATGGGCAGTGGTCATTAATTGTAATGTTTAACTCAGCTCACATTTTTGTGCCTCCAACCCGCCTTTCTAGCTCTGTTTCCTACTGCCCCCTACAGGTGTCCTACGGTGCCTTCACTTTTCCACTACCTCCCTACAGGTGTCCTATAGCCCCATCGCTTTCTCATTACCTTCTACAGGTGACTTATGGCCCCATCACCTTCCTGCCCACCCTCTACAGTTGGCTTATGGTCCCATGACTTTTCTGCTCTACCCTCTACAGGTGACTTATGGCCCCACACATCTGCATTTCCATGATCATGTCTTTGTTTAGGAGGCTCCCCCACCTGAAATACCTGCCCTGCCCTATTCTCAGCCCGTCACTTTCTTCTTTTCCTGCAAGGTAATTCTCTCAACCCCGTCTCCCATAGGAGGCCATTTAGGACCCGTCCATTCAGAGGCAACATTTTTCTCTTATAATATCCTCCACTGTTCATGGTATCTACTTCATGGCACTTCCCATTTACTCGGCAGGAGTTTTACTGCCTGGCTTCTCACAGGCAGAATCTGTCTTACTCATCTTTGCTCAACTGATACCTGAGTTTCACTGGAATGGGCAAATGTAACATGTCTCTGTTGCTGGTTTTGGTTCCCTATCTAGAACAGGTCACTGGAATCTTAAGAGGTCTCTGCATCCTCCCTCAGAGCTCTTCAAATTATTTTCTTCCTCAGCTATGGGACAACCTGGCTTCCAACATGCAGGATATAGAATGAGACTGTGTGGCATATGAATCTTAGAAGTGATCTTAAAGGCCATTGAGGGGACTTCACTGAAATTAAAAAAAAATATTTTTTATCAGTGCTTCTCAAATTTTAATGCATGTATGAATTACCTGGAGTTTTCGTTATAATAAAATGGTGATTCTGATTTAGTAGGTTTGGGGTGGGGCCTGGGAGTCTGCATTTCTCACTGGCTCCCAAGTGAAGCCCAATGGCTGGTCTGTGCATCATCCTTTGAGGGGTAAGATTCTACAGCGCTCTTAAACTCCAACAACATGAAGGGCTACCATTGCTTGAGTGCTCAGAGCTCTGGTGCAGGTGTTTCTCCTACAGTCTCCACAACAGCCCTGATAAGTAGGTAGTACTGTTACCCTATTATATAGATGAATGTCAAAGAGGTCAAAGTCACACAGCTAGCAAGGTTAGAGCCAGAAGTCCAGCATGTCTGACTCCATGACTCTCTTCACCAGTTTTCTTCTTCCAACAACCACTGAATGAAGAAAATTTACGTTACTATTTGGAGTGGAGTAAGACTGAGGCTGAGGCCATGATTCTAGGCAAGAGAGGCTGAAATGTCTTTACTCTGCCATGTTTATAATCTGCACAGAATATAGTTATGTTTCAAACAGTGATGCCCTGAGAACACCAGTCTTCTGCCCCACTTCTAGGCCACCATGGAATCCTGGCCACTGTTGATTGAGAGGCTGTTTTCTCCTGGCCACAAACCCAAGCTGGCATAGAGAAGCCATTCCTACCACCTTCCTGGGGTTTGACTTAGCCCCATAGCTTAGCTTTCAGGGTCTGTAAGACTCTTGGCAGTGAGCAGTAGAGAATGAGGGAAGCAAATGCCAAGGGCTGGCACATAAGAAGGGGAGATTCCCAACTTAGATGACCACTCAGTGCCAAGACCAGTGCCAGGAGGAGAGATTGTACTAGCCCAAGGGTCATGGCAAGAGAAAGCTCAGATTTGGCACCAGCGAGGGACTGGAAAACAAGAAGAGCAACAGCCCAGAGCTGCTAGACCTCTGGCTGAGCAAGCCAGCCTCTGGCAAAACAGAACTCCGCCCTCTCTCCTCTCCCAAAGAGATGGTAAAGAAAGCACCAAGATTAGGGTTATAACAGACTTCCCGTGAGCCTCCCCTTCTGCCTAATAGAAAGAAGACAAGCTGGTGAATGCTGAGGAATATGGGACACATTCATGACCCTCAGTGTCCTAAAGTCTCTCTTGCTCCCTACCGGGGGCCATGGGAGATCCAGCTATGCCTGAGTTATTCCCCTTTTGAAGAAAGCATACATGTACCCTACAGGTAAGAGCTGAAACTTCCGCAAGCAAGCAGCCTTGCAGTTTATCTGGCACTCCTCCTTTGCCGGGTACTATCTCTCCTCTCCTTACACCAGTCCAGAAGATTGTCCCAGTGGCTTCGCCTGCCACCTACATGGGCCAATGGTAGCAGGCCCACAAACAAGCATTAAACAGGGATATGAGTGAGTCTCCTGAGGGCAAATGTGGTGGTGCTACCTTAGAGGTGGACTCCGTGGGTGGCTCAGGAACTTGTCCCATGCTTGAGTGCTTAGTGCTCTCCTGCTCCTCATATCAACCTGACTGGCTTAATTGCTGTGAATCCAGCTGGAGACAGAGTCCTGGGCCATACTGAGGAGTCACAGCATCCTTTCTGCTTTCTGGAGGGTGGTGGGTATCCTTGTCAACAGAACCCATATGGGAAAGGGAGTTTTGCAGAATCATTGCCCTTAGGCAAAATGGCTGAACTTGCAAACAGAACTACCCGACTGAGAAACTCTCAAAGGTTTTTTTTTTTTACCTTTTTTAAAATATATATATATATATATATATATATATATATATATATATATATATATATAAACTTTTGTTTGAACAGTAGTTCTGTTGAAGATAAAACTTACCATTCCTACAGGCCCATCTTTACTTCTGATGCAATCATTTTTTTTACCAAGTAGCTATGGTGTGAGGTTGACTGGATTCTAACAACATATGGAATCACACCGATGCCGCAGATTTTCCTAAGGGTAAGACTTAGGGAGAGCCTGTGTGTGCTAACCAGGGTCATGGGAAACACTACTGAATAAAGCTGAGCACACCAAGGCAATGACAGGTTCTCCGTATCCAGACATTAATCAGGAGTGAGCAGACATGAAGTAAACAGGGGTGCCGTCCCACATATGCAGATCCGAATGACCAATAGTCAGCTGAGATCTTTGGTGCCCTCAGCCCAGAACCCGAGAGTTCCTCTCTGCTCTGCTCCCACTCCTACCCATCCTCCCTTCACCTATAGAGCCACACAAGAAAGACGGCTCCCAGGTGGTACTGGCTTCACAGAGTCCATTCCCAGATAAGCCTGTGCTTCCCTCTCAGGGTTGAAAAAGCTCACTGTTGCCATGGAGACTCGACGCCTTCTGAGTGCTGCGCTTTATCTAGAGTCCAGCATTCAAACACCTTGGTATACTCAAACCCACTCACTCCCCTGGCTCTCCGGACTGTGAAAATATCTAGGCAGGGTTCTATTAGTCAAATGCCTCAGACATCTCCTTGCCACAATCCACTGTTGGTCTGGGGTTCTTGCCCAAATCCTGGTGTGGGGGTGGCAGCCTGTGACTTTACAGAGGCCCACACATACACATCCATACTTTCTTCCTAGGA
Source organism: Homo sapiens (assembly GCF_000001405.40). Taxonomy (NCBI): domain Eukaryota; kingdom Metazoa; phylum Chordata; class Mammalia; order Primates; family Hominidae; genus Homo; species Homo sapiens. The sequence goes on along the minus strand of NC_000017.11, from coordinate 11,387,994 downwards.
GAAAAGGCCTAATTTCAAATCTTGTATCACATGAGGCCATGAGCAGCACCCAGACAAATGGGCTGGTGGGAGTGGTGAGCACGGCCCCTGGATCAGATCAGCTGTGGGGCTGCAGAAAGGGCTGAGGAGATAAAGCAAGCTCAGCACCAGAAGGCAGTGCTGGGTAGGATGTCCACAGTCCACATAAAACCTGACTCAGCTGGAGGAGGTCCCTGACCTCAGCTTTGATTAACTTCTCTGCTTTGTTCAGCCTCCCACGTTAATGGTTAGTCCCTGGCCATTGTTATTTCCCAAAGTCACACTCCTCAAAAATCTTCTACTCTCACATCCCCCACCAATTCCAGGGACTAAGGCTCTTATCCTTGCTTCCCCTTGTCCTGCTCTCTTATGCTGGTTAGACTATTTACCCCCATCATCACTGACTAACATCTCTGCGTTTTCTGAATTTTATAAGCCAGGCCTGGCTTCATGCCCTTCTCAGAGTCAGATATAGCAGGTGCCATCAGCCTAGCGTCTAGAATCCCTCCAGCCCCACAGCTCCTCCTCCTCAGATCGGTGGGTTTGCACAGTCAAGGGGGCACCTCTGTGATTCCCTTGTTAGTGAGACCCCTAAATTGGCCTCAGGATGGTCACTTTTCCAGCCTTGAACTCATCACCTGCTCCAATGCACTCACCCCTTTTTTAGCATTTAGCCCCTGAACTTTCTGCCTTAGACCCCATGGAGTGCCTGTCTGGGCAGCAGGATGGCCATACCCAAACCAGTCCCCAACAGCATTATTTGGATGGGATGACGAGATCTGTTCAGGGTTGTTCTGTGGGGTCTGGAAAGGTGCTCGCAGGCCAACAGCTTCTTGCATTCTGGCCTTGTCTCCATCTCCCAGGTGACCTCAGAGCAGTCCCAATATTTCCTAGGGCCTTGGAGCTGTGCCGGTTCGAGCTCTGGGCAGAAGCACCCTTATGCTACTTCTCTGGGTTCTGCAGGTTATCGTGAAAAATGCTTTGAAGCCAGACTGGCAGAGCTTTCTCCCACACCATTAGGGTGACCAACTGTCCTCATTTGCCAGAAACTGAGGGTTTTCCTAGGACACAGGACTTTCAGTGTTAAAACTGGACAGTCCTGGGCAACCCGGGATGGTCGGTCACCCTAACCCCTCACTTACAGCTGATGGTTTGCTTTCCATTTCACTGAGCAAAGATCACATACACCCACTTGCCTGCACCTGTGGCCGTGTGGCCTATCTGTCATATGTGGCCTGGTGGGGTTTGCTCCTTGCCAAGGCCAGCGCCCCGCCTGAGCTGTAGATTCTATCTGCTTTCACTTACCAAGAATGTTACTTCTGAAATACACCCCCAGCATAATCAATTTTTCCCTTTTTTATTGGATCATTCCTATCTGCAGATAAATGGACTGTGATTTCTCTCCTCTTAAAAAAACAAAACAAAGCAAAACAAAACTCTCTTTTCACCATCCTCCCTTCTGGCTGACTACTGCTCTCATTCTCTATAATCCTTAACATTAAAACTCTAAAGAGTTGTCAGTACCTGTAGTCTGCATTTGTCTTCTCCCATTCTCTTATTTTAAAATCTTCTATTACTTTTTCTTTTTCTTTTTAATTTTTGAGATGGAGTTTCGCTCTTGTTGCCCAGGCTGGAGTGCAATGGCATGATCTCGGCTCACTGCAACTTCCACCTCCCGAGTTCAAGTGATTCTCCTGTCTCAGCCTCCCAAGTAGCTGCAATTACAGGTGTGCACCACCACACCCAGCTAATTTTGTATTTTTAGTAGAGACGGGGTTTCGCCATGTTGGTCAGACTGGTCTTGAACTCTTGACCTCAGGTGATCTGCCCTCCTTGGCCTCCCACTTGTAACTTTTTATTAGGAAACATTTCTGACATTTACTGAAATAATGCACCTTCCTCTTCCCATCACTTGGTTTGTCCAGGTAATGAGCACATCCCAGACGTCATCCATTCTCTCTTGCATCCACTGAGTAGATGTTCCCCCCTCCCACCCCCAAACTGTTCTTGCCAAGTTCATCAATGATCTCCACGAGCCTCGGTCTCGTGGTCACTTCTCACGCTTCAGCTCACTGGATTTCTCTACAGTCTATAATAGCTGATTGCTCCCTTTCTTGGGAACATTTATTTTTTTCCACTCTATTTCCAAGACAGCACACCACCCTGGTTTCCTGATGCCTGGCTACCTACTCTTGAGTTGTCTTTTCTGTAGGTCCCTCCTCATCCCCCCAGCCTCTCCCTGTTGGGGTGCCCTATGGCTCCATTCTCAGGCCTCATCACCTGAAGAGCACGACTCACTCCCTAGCTAATATCCTCCCAGCTTCAAAAGCCACTCACCTACTGGAAACTCCTACCCTTCTATCCCCAACCAAGAGTTTTCCCTTGAACTCAGCATTTTCACCTGGATGGTTAACAAGCATCTGAAACTTAACATGAAGACACACTGAATTCGTATGCGTCCTGATCTCTGCCTAAAATCTGGTCCTTCCACAGACTTCCACCTTGCCAATACCTCAGCCCCAAAACGTGTCTTTTCTCATTTCCCCAGAGTGGAAGCCAGATTCTTAAATGCCCCACAGGGCCCTGTGGGGTCAATTCCCTGCACCTTTCTGACCACACCTCCAACCACTACACTCTGGCTCCTTCTGTTCCAGCCTCATTGCTGCGCCCCACACAAGCCAGGTAGGCAAAGCACAGTTGTTCCTTCACCTGGAAGACCCTTCTCCCCGGGAATCCAGACGGCCTGATCCTTCACATCCGTCAGTCAGTCTTTGCTCAATGTCACTTCTTTTTTTATTTTTCCTAAGGCCTTCTGGACTCTCTTTTAAAAAGTGCAGCTCCCCACTCCATTCCCTGCCTTAATTGCTCCAAAGCTCCTAACTCCATTGGACCTACTTCATATATTTACTTGCATCTTGATTTATTTCTGTCTTCTCTGACTGACATGTAAGTTTGTCTGCTGTATCCTCAGTGCCCAGAACAGTGTCTGGTATTCAGCCAGTGCTCAGGAAATGTGATTTAGTGGAGGAATTAATGGAAAAACGGGCAATCGCTCCTACAACAGAGCGATCACTGTAGCTCCTTTCTTTTACCAAAGGCTTCAAAAATTTCTCTTTCTCTCTCCCTTGGTCTTTCTTCCTCTCTCTCTCTCTAACTCCCACCCTCGTCTATCTGGCTCCCAGCATGGCAGAAAGGACCTGGTGAGTGGTGAGAAATATCAGAGGAGGGCAGGCAGTAACTCGCATCATCACCTCCATGGGGACCTGTATGTCACATTCACTCTGCAGCTGCAGGGAGCACATCTGCCACTGCCGCTGCCACCACTGTAAGGACCCCTTACTTACCCTGGTGTGGCCAGGGATATCCCAGTGGAAACGACTGGAATTGACAATATTGAAATGTGGGGGTTCTGGAAAGAATTCTCTGGCTTTTTCAACCAGGCTCAAAAATCAACCAGCCGGACTGAGTTTTTAACCAAATTGCCAAAGTCGAATAGGGTTTCCATAGGGGTATTCATTTAGACAGATTCTGAAAATCTATCTGAAGGGGCTGAGCTTTCTCCCAGGAAGGGCAGTCCCTGCCAATCTAGTGTTCATGCTGTAACTCCTGGCTTATCTTTTTTATGACTTCCTGTCTTGCAAAATGTGTGCCTCTAATAAGAAGAGTCATCTTCCACTGAGCATCTACTTGTGGTTCCCATGGAAGCACAGCCCATCCACCACCTCAGCTGCTCCGCAGCTTGGAGAGGCAGGATAGCACAGTGAGCAGCAGCAGATCTTCAGAATCAGGCCTGGATTGGGAATAAAACAAGACTGACTGCTTGATGTTGACTTAGGCAAGTTGCTCAACTGCTCTGAGTTTCACTTTTTGCCTATGAAATGAAGGTAACGAGCTCTCCCACAGGGTGGTTGTAAAGGGGAAGATACTGGCACACAGTATGTATGTATTTATGTATGTATGTATGTATGTAAAGACCTGGTACATAGTAAATGCTCAGCAAATAGAAGTCTTCATCACTGAGTTTTCATGGTGGCAGCCTGGGAGGACTCTTTGCCTTGCTAAAGACCATTCTGGGTTCCAGTGTTGGGGGCTGAGTGATCTTGTCTAATTAACGAAGAAAATATTTCAGGGGGAACTTGGCCTAAACTCATGGTCATTCAGATCAGCATCTTAGACCTAGATTCTATTTATCATGAGGGATGAATGAACAGGAGGTCAAAGAAAGGAACCAAGAAAGGGAGACATGCAGAAGCAGGTACTTAGAAGGAGATAGTAAGAGGAAAAGTAAGAATCATAAGAGAAAGAATGAGTATGCCATTCAGTTAGAAAGTCCTGAAAACGGGTGTCAGAACTAATTCTAGTGCCTGGGAAGCCTAAGGTAGTGCTATGTAACCTGGGGGGTTGGCCAATCACTGTGGGACCTTCTAGACAAAAATGAAGGCTCTACCAACAGGTGGGAGAGACAGTAGAGGCCTTTGAGGGATATGGAGCTCCCACAGGCAGAATTCTATGTTTTATAAGATCTCACGTTCTCAATCCCACTAACAAAAGAATACGCGTTTATTGCAGGCTTCCTTTGAGACTATTTAATTACCCATGAACTATGGATCTTGTTACAAAGCAGACAGATCCATATGCATTCTTACCCCCAGGCCCTTGAAGTGGAAGAGCCCCCGCTGATGCTAGACGGTGCTTCTGTCTCCAAGCTGCCTCTAGAGCCTATAAAAAAGGGCTGACAGGGCTGGGCATGGTGGCTCATGCCTGTAATCCTAGCACTTTGAGAGGCTGAGATGGGCAGATCACCTGAGGTCAGGAGTTTGAGACCAGCCTGGCCAACATGGTGAAGCCCTGTCTCTACTAAAAATACAAAAATTAACCAGGCAAGGTGGCGCATGCCTGTAGTCCCAGCTACTTGGGAGGCTGAGGCAGAAGAATTGCTTGGACCCGGGAGACAGAGGTTGCAGTGAGCCACAATCGTGCCACTGCACTCCAGCCTTAGGTGGCAGAGTGAGACTCCGTCTCAAAAAAAAAAAAAAAAAAAAAAAAAAGGCTGACAGGACTGATGTCGACTAAGATTCCAATGAAGACTCCCATCTTCACTTAGAACAAGGACCATCCATTCTTGGCTCTTGGACAATCAGAGTCTGATTAGAAATACACATTAAATTAAGTGATCTGGGTTAGTAGGGCAATGGTATTACCTTGCAAAGCAGGTGTTGGCTACCCATTTAGTCCTGAGAGTCAAAATGGGGCAACGCAATGGCTAGATGCCACCAGGAGGCTGGAGGAAAATGTTGGATGAAGAGGGAAAAAGGAATAAAGGAAGAGGATCCAGAAAGAGAGTCACTGAAGTTGAAACAAAGGATAGAGAAATAAAACAAAGAGAATTAAACACATACAAATGAAAGTGACCCCACATTAGATGTTTCTGAATTGTTCCCTTCCATGGGATATTTACATGGGGCCAGTTGCTTACAGCTAGCACTTAGAGTTGAACTTAGTTTGCTCTGAAGGAAGAGAGGATGGTTCCTTGCCCTTTTCCAGAGATCCCAGCTGTCCAGAGGACTAAAGAGTCCCTGACATTAGAAGGGAAGTTCAAGCCAGATGTAGTGACTCAATCCCATAAACTCAGCACTTTGGGAGGGGAAGGTGGAAGGATCACTTGAGGCCAGGAGTTTGAGACCAGCCTGGGCAACATAGTGAGACCCTGTTTCTACAAAAATAAAAAAAAATTAAATTAGCTGAGCATGGGAGCATGCGCCTGTAGTCCCAGCTACTCAAGAGGCTGAAATGGAAGGATCACTTGAGCCCAGGAGTTCGAGGTTATAGTGAGCTATGATTGTGCCACTGTACTTCAGCCTGGGCAACAGAGTGAGACCCTGTCTCCCTCTCTCTCTCTCTCTAAAAAACGGAATCTCCATTTCCGAAGTCTGCCTGCACCCACTACCCCCAACCACCAACCTCAAACCCAGATTCTTTGTTCTTGAAACTTTAGCTGTTCTCTAAATAGGGAAATACACACAAGGTACATTCCTGGAAAGAGAAGGTGTCAGAAGCCTTGGTAGAGAAAGGAACGGGGAGAAAAATATGGCACAAATAGTGAATGGGGAGAACAAGCAATGCACGCACAGGAGGGGCAGGTGGTGCCACAGAACAAATTAAGATGGGAGATAAGGAGCATCAGACACAGCACAGCCCCACAGGCATGGGCAGGGGAGGGTCTCCTGGATGCCCCCAGCAGCAGTGACTGAAAGAACAGACAGGGATTGGGAATCACCTTCATGTGGCTCTGATGGAGTCCAGTTCATTTGGAAGCAGTTTAACGTCCACTATTGGATAAATGCATGATCTGGCTCACCTATGGCTTGGATCCTCTCTCTTTCCACTCTGGTCCTCTTTTATCCTGCTGTACTCAGACTGGCCTCCTTTCTACTTCCCCAATTCCCACCTTATTGGAGAGGCCTTCCCTGGGAAGACCAGCTTCCTGCCACTGCACTCCCTGCTGCCTGCTTTAATTTTTCTCCTTGCACTTATTGTCAATAATTTATTTTGTCTGTTTCTCCCAGTGGAATGTGAGTTCTGTAAGGAACTCCATAAACTCCATAACTTCTAAATATTGCTTAGCACATAGCAGGCCTCATTAAATATTTGTTGAAAGAAAGCATGAACCCAAAGCCATCATATTTATTATATGTATAAAGAGTTCTGTTGGTTGAAGTGTTGGGTGTTTTGGGTTGGACCACCTATAAGAGTAAGGGGTAGGGGAAAGGGTGGGGAACCACTGCAGTGGAGAAACCTCCCTAACAGTTGCCGTGTTCTGTTTGGAAATCCATATTTCCACCTCTGCTCCAAGGTTTGTAGGCTTGTGGTAGCTGGCCTCCGAATTGGCCCCCAACAATCCTCGGCTCCTGATATTCATAACTCAGTGTAGTTCCCACCCACTCAGAATAAGATATTGCAAAAGTAATGGCGTGCAACTGATAGGATTGGTCATCAAAGACGCTGTGTCTTCTGTCTTTCTCCTTCTCTGATTACCCACCCTGAGGAAATCCAGGCACCATGCAGTGAAGACACTCAGCTACCCAGGGAGAGAATGTCACGGGGAGGAACTGAAGCTTCTTGCCAACATCCAGCACCATGTGAGTGAAGCGTCTTGGAGGCAGATCCTCCAGCCCTAGTCAAGCCTTCAGAGGAGGCAGCCCTGCCTGACGTGGTGATGGCAACCTCATGAGACTCCAAGCCCAAAGCACTCAGGTTCCCAACCCACAGGAACTATGTGAGATAACGGATGTTTATTACTGTTTTAAAACGCTAAGTTTGAGAGTAAATTGTCTCACAGTGCTAGGTAATAATCACAAAGTGGATGATGTGGGGACCAGCAATCCCAGGTTTGAGTTAATAGACTATGGCCCAGAATGTATCTTTTAGTGAGTAAATGTGAAGTCCATTTCCCATTCTGGAGATAGCTGGTCTCAGTTTGATTCTGCAACTCTTAGTAGCCACAAATGCCACCTGTATCCTCGATAAACTTTATTTAGACACAAATAGACACAACAGAAAATACATACACAGATACAGATTTTTTTTTCTCTATAGGATGAACAAACATCACATAAGGAATTTAAAAAGTAGGTGCATGGAATGTAAGAAAATATTGCACAGTTCCTTGTTTACTCACACAAGACACGTATCTCAGGGGAAGACAGGGATACACTACCCCTACAACAGAATTCACATTTGATCTATAACAGCACACAGGTGTTGGGACGGTAATTAAAGGAGTTAGGGATCCAGTGACTCTTGATGTGACAGAATGCTCACAACACTCGTAGGACCTTGTTTAAACAAAAGACAGAATTGAGGAGGAGTCCATGCCCCCTGCACAGATGCTCTGCAAGCTGTCAGCTAGGTTGTAAAGCAGCTCAGCAGAAACTCTAGGTTAGCTTTCATCTTGAGGCTTGAAGGTCTGCATAACCTTCTACCTTTGTGTCCACATCATAGAGTGTTTATGGAGACACACTTAGGATGCTGAAACTCTCCACATGCACACCGGCTTAGATACCACAGTACAGAACATTGACATTGGTTTATAAAATGTAGCTTTCAAAAGGAAAAGGAATAATAGCCAAGAGGCGAACACACACATTGCAAATGCTGCTACATCCACCGGCAGTTTTCCACCACACTCCCTGTGGTCCCTTCCCACAAGGAGCCGCCGGCATCTGTGTCCCCGCCATGGGTGGAGTGGGATGGGTGTCTCTTGGAAGTCTATCGCCCTCTAAAGTCACACCTGTGACCTCCAGTAACTCCTGTCAGAAGCCACGCATGTCACCAGGACAAGCTGCCATGGAACCACCCCACTTATTCCTGTCCCAGACAAGCCTCTGGCCTCCACACCATCTTCTCATTTCAGATGGCGTTCCCTAGGCAACCTCTGTATTTTAGTAAAAAATGGTTTCCACTGTACCCTTGGTGTGTCCTCTTCCTAATGTGACAAATCCAGATGAGATGAAGTTATGGAGATCAGGTCCTCCACTTCGGTAAGCATCCTTCCCATAATGCCCTGCAAGAAGATGGGGCAGAATTACCTGGCGCATCCACGACACCAACATGGAAGACAAGCGCAGCTGCATCTCACCCAACAGTGATGGCGTGCATGTTTTCAAACCAGCAGCTAAGTCAGAAGGTGGAGGCAGCCAAGAATATATATACACATACATATAAAATATATATTATATATGAAAAATATATATATTACTGAATATATATACATATACACATATATAATTATATATACATATTATACATATATGTGTGTATATATTAGTATATATACTTATATATATATCTAGTATATTAGTATATATACACACATATATGTATATAAAACTGTGCAACAAAGAACAAAGTCCTGGGAACATTACATTACATTGAAAGTATAGGAGAACAAACGAGATACACGGCTTGATTTTGGCATTTCTGGCTGAGCGCAAGGTACACCAGAACCTTAGTCTATTTGTCCCACCACTCTTTCCTTTATCTCACCTTCCCTCTGTCTCTTTCATCCATTATTCATTTGTTTTTTCTTTCTAATGTTTATGAATCATACCACAACCTGTGGGACTACAGCTCGTGACTTCAGAGAAATCCGACAGCAGCTGAGGCTGACAAATAGAATGGTGGTTACAAAATACTGAGAAAATATATACGTGCTTCGCTTCTTTAACTTTATGCAGCAGACACTATCCCCTGCCTGCTTAATGCAGAGATCTACCTGTGGTTTTGTGGGGAGGAAAAGACAGAGGGCAGGTTAGGATTGTGGATAGAAATTCAAAGAGAACCGAGTTAATGTTCTACTTCTGACATTCAAAATAGGATTTTGCAGTACGCTTGAAATACAGGCATTGTAAAAAAAGAAAGGCCTCCCTAAATGCCCTCCTAAAGTATGTACATGTGAAAAAACCATTTCTTTCATGTTACCAAAAGAGTGTATTAAAAATCGTATGTATAACTATAACAATGCACAGGCCTACTTCAGATATAATGTTAAGTTTAAAAATGGACAGAAACGGTTCATTAAACAGAATCACAGTGCTGTAAAAATTCAAACCAGTGCGTGCATGTGCGCGCACACACACACACACACAAGATAGAAAAAAAGCACACAAACATATCAAAGACAAATGTCTTTGGATAGTAGGAACACGAGTGCTATTTCTTCTGTCTTTTCAGCTTTTCTATATTTTCCAAGTGTTTTTTCCGTATGAATATGTAATTTGTCTCATATAAATAGGTAAAATAAATGCCTAATGGAAAAATTTATGAAAATACAAAGACAACACAAAGCGTGATTTTTTGTAATGCCACTTTCTGGATCAGTAGATTGCAACCCTGGGTGCGTGCTGGAATCAGAGTTGGGGGACGAGGAGGAGAGCATTAGAACAGACAGCTAATGCATGTGGGGCTTAAAACCTAGACGACGGGTTGACCGGTACAGCAAACCACCTTAGCACATGTTTACCTATGTAACAAACCTGCACGTTCTGCACATGTATGCTGAAACTTAAAGTAAAATTTGTTTTTAAAAATGCAGACCCTCAGACTCAACTCCAGAGATTCTGATTCAATTGAGTGGGGTCCGGGCTTAGGCAGGTATATTTTTAAAGCACTCTCTAGTGATTCTAATGTGCCACCGGAAATGAGAACCACTGCCTTAGTGTAAATGGAGGAACAACTAAGCTCAGTTTATTCAGGTGACTTCAATGAAAACCTCTTAGGCGCCCAGCTCTACCCACAATTTATGTTCAGGGCTTCAGCATTCTTCCTCCGAAGAGTGGAGTCTAGCTCCATTCCCTCCCTCTTACCCCAGATCTCAAACCTGAGAGTGCCTCAGCATAGCCAGGAGAGCTTAAAACAGGTGCTGGGCCCCACTCCCAGAGTTTCTGATTCAGAAGATCCAGGACAGGGCTCAAGAGTCTGCACTTCTATCAAGTCTCCTGGTGATGCGGATGCCGCTGTTTTGGGGACCACACTCTGAGAAGTAATGCCTTCGTGCATCAGGAACAGGAGAATCTTGCCACTGTTTCCCTCACACCCTCCCTTCTGGAATAAGTTACCTCCTTCCTTAGGGCACACAGCTTTCCAGGAGGAGCATTCTTGCTGTAAAATACTGTGGCCACAACCCTCACTTTTATAGAACAGAATTATTAGGCTGGGGGTGGTGGTTCATGCCTGTAACCCCAGCACTTTGGGAAAAAAGAAAAAATGCTGGGGCATAATGAGGCAGCACCAAGAGCATTTGAAAGGAGTAAAGAATTCTTTAGTCAAATCAGTTTGGAAAATGTTGAGTTCAATGAAATGAAAAGCTACATAAAAACCAAGTCTAGGGACTTCTCACAAGGCAGTGATCACTGAACTGTCTATGAAGCTTTTATGTTTTTCAAAGCCATCCATTGGGACACTTTTTGGTAAAGCTGCTCATGAGACTGAGGTGGAAAAAGCACAATGACAGTTTCAGCTTTCATTTGAACTGTGGTTCTCAAAGTTGAGCGTGCACCACACTCTCTTGGATGGCACAGATCGCAGGGTCCCGGCTCCAGAATCCCGGATTTAGTAGGTCAGAGGAGAGGCCTGACAATTTCCATTCCTAACAAGTTCCCAGATGATGCTAATAATGCTCTTAGGTCCAAGGACAACTCTTCATGAACCACTATGTTTGGACCAGTGATAGGTCAGTCTTCTGCTGGACCCAGGGTCAAGGTCTAGAATGATCTGCATTCTCTGTAGCCTCCAAAGTTTAATATGAACCAGGGAGGCATGAAGAGAAGAAGGGCTGGTTAAAAGGGAAGCCCCAGGCCGGGCGCAGTGGCTCACGTCTGTAATCCCAGCACTTTGGAAGGCCGAGGTGGGTGGATCATGAGGTCAGGAGATCGAGACCATCCTGGCTAACATGGCAAAACCCCGTCTTTACTAAAAATACAAAAAATGAGCCAAGTGTGGTGGCACAGGCCTGTAGTCCCAGCTACTCGGGAAGCTGAGGCCTGAGGCAGGAGAACTGCTTGAACCTGGGAGGTGGAGGTTGCAGTGAGCTCAGATCGCGCCACTGTACTCCAGGCCGGGCAACAGAGCGAGACGTCTCAAAAAAAAAAAAACAAACAAAAAAAAACATGAAGCCCCATGCAGGCAGACAGAAGAGAGGGGAGTCAGTGCCTCTTCTTTTCCTTGGTGATGCATAGAGTTAATGGGTTGATGATATGAACTCATGATTATATGAGTGGGTATCATAGGATTTGTTAGCTGTAACACAAAGAACCACCCCCTTCCTTGTCCTGCAGTCTCTGCCCATCTGCCACTTATCAGGGTAAGAGGACAAAAGAGGGCAAACTTTGACCAAATTGCAGTTCAAGAGAAACAACCATGTATATCCAGCAGAGCTCTGAACAGAAGTTAAGCCAAAGTTCCGTGAAGCATAAGCACTTCCATGTCACAGGACGGACAGACACACAGTCCACAGCCAGGGACCAGGATGGTTTCAGGTTTCAGAGCATGCCTTCCACCACCTGCTGAACTGAATGGTGCAAATCAGCATCCTGGTGATGTCTATACCTCCAGTTCTGCCACTGCCCCCTCACCTTCACCACTGACAACCCTCCCTAAAGCAACAAAGATTTTATTTTAGCTCAGTCGCTGCTCAGGCTGCCTCGACCTCCCGTCAGAACTCCATGCCTTTCCCAAATCTCAGCACAATTCAGAAGTCCTAGAGACAGCACCAACGGACAACTGTCCCCAGGCAGGAGGCAGATTCAAGCTAAAGAGAGGACCATGGCTGGGCTCCTGGAGTGTGTGATACGGCTGACTCTGATAAGAAAGCAAGTGGAGGGAAAGTTTCTCTGTGAAACAGATTTGCTGTAAGGAAAGGAGGGAAAAAAATGAGATAATATCCAAATGGTGATCTCTGTAAAGACTTAACAGAATTTTGCATCTGTGAGATTAGACCAACAGCCATAAGGGGGAAACAAACTGATCAGGACAGTTTGCCTCGGGTTGCAGATCTGGACTAGAGAACGGATACACAAGGAAGCTGATAAAGGAGAGTCCAATGAGAGAAAGGCACTGGGTACTCAGAGGGGAAGGACAAAGAGATAAAAACTGTGGGAGAAAAGACAGGGCACAGAGGACAACTTCAGGAGTCATATCTATTTAAAATAAGACTCCCAGAGGAGAGACAAAAGGGAGAGTTCAGAAGCAATAATTACAAGTTAATAGTTTTTCTTTTTTTCTGAACAGATTGGAAGACTTTAGTCTTTCGATCAAAAGAAATAATCAAGTACCAGATTATGCATTAAAAGGGACCGATATCTAGATATACCCTGGTGAAATGCCATTTTAAAAAATAAAGGAGAACACTCAAGCCAACATCATAAAACACAAAACCTACAGAAAGTGCAGCAACGTTTTTAAGAATTTTGACCCCTTCATTTTTGTAGAGGTGGGACAGTATACTGGTGGAGGGACACTCTTATCTGGAAATGACTGACAAGATTCAAACCTCTGTGTGTCTGTGTCCTCAAATGCGAAATGAAAACAATGATGACGCCCATTTCATATTATATATGTTACATATAATATGAATTATATATGTGTTATATATAATATGAATACACAAAGCATTTAGAACAGTAGTACTAGTATTACTTAAGTACTACTATTACTACTATTTAAGTACTAGTATTAAGTGCTAGTACTATTACTATTTAAGGGCTACTAGTATTATTTAGGATAAGAGCTTGCTATTATTTTTGAATGAAGATGTTTTGATTCCATTCCTCTACCTAAAAATTCACTGAAAATAATGAAAAGAAAGGAGAATAGAAAAGCTTTCTTCACAAAAAAGTCCAGACTTTTCACTAAATAGGGGAAAAATATACAAACATAAACATACATGCAAATATACACAAAAACACATACACAGAAATCAAGTCAAGGACTAAGAAGCTAAATACAAAAAAAAATCACACACTAAAAACTGTCACATAAGAATCAGAGAGAATATGTTAATGATCTCAGAGTAAGAATTTTTAAACAAGACTCAAGTCAAAAACTAGAGAGAAAACAAAAAAAAATTTTAAACTGTGGTACATCAAAAGCAGTCATGAAACTACAAGTCAAAGACTAAAAATGTATATTTACATTACTTTCTAGAGCACGTAAATAACTTCACATTAATAAGAAAGTAAACAACCCAATTAAAAAAATAGGGAAAAGAAATGCATAGGCGACTCAAAGGAGAGAAAACCCAAAGGGCAAATACACATAAAGTAGTGTTCAATCTCACAAGTAATAGGGAAATTCAAATTAAAACCATAATGAGGTATCACTTCACACTCAATAGACTAGCAAAAATTAAAATGCCTGAGCCTACTGACATGAATAAGCAGAAACAAGAACTCATGTACCTTTCTGGGAGTGTAAATCGGTTCAACTCCTTTGAAAAGAACTTTGGCAATGGCTAATAAAGTTGAATGTGGATATAGCAGGAAACTGGCCACTCTACTTCTAGGTATATAACCTAGATAAATCCTCACACGTGCATAAGGAGATAGGCACCAGCATGTTCACTGCAATATTGTTTGTAATACCGACAATTAGGGAAAAGAATCTATCTTCCCAGCCAGAGAAAAGTCATAAATAGTGGTGTACTCACACAATGTATTCTTATACAGTACAAATGAAATGTAATGAAATTAAATGAACCAGAGCTCTAAATATCAGCATGGATGGTTCTCAGTCATAATGATGAATGCACAAAGCAAACAAGAAAAGCAGGATGACATGACACAGAGAGAGTTTTAAAATATGCAACATAACACATTATGTTGTTTGAGGATGCGTGCATATGTAGTATTATACAGATACAAAGAAATTCATTGAAATGATAGAGATTTTAATATAACAGATAATTCTGTAGGTAAGAAGAAAAATGTAATTGAGAAAAAGTATAAAAGGTACTTCTCTGTTTCATTTCCTATGCTGGGTAGCTGGAGACTTGCTTGACAATTAAACAATTTTTTGTTTTATTTGTTTATAATCTAGATAAATGATGGATGGATAGATGGATAGACAGATGGATAGACTGATTGGCGGCTTTTGGTTAAGTGGCTGTTACCTGAGGGTTTTATTCATTGCCAAATTATCCTTTAAGAATAAAGGCCACAAAGAGTGTCCAGTTTTAAGAACTCAGGGACTAAAATACCCACGAGTCACCATAGATGGGAGAATTAAAATAGACCTGATGAAAAAATCCACCAAGAAAGAAAAAAAAACTCTAGAATTTCTAAAAACATGAATGTATTTATCTGTAATCTTCAAGCAGTACACAAATCCCAAATTCATTAAGAAAAGATTGGCAAACTAGATTACACATTTTTAAGCATTTAACGAGTTATCTTTATTGACAGAAATAAAGTTAAATGATACTGGAGTTGCCCCAGAAAATCTGGTGTAAAAACAGGGTAATAAAAGTACACTGTGGTCATGAAATAAAACCGAAAGTAGCTTGAGGGGTGGGGGAGCAATTCTCCATCTTTAGAGCCTGCTTGAAATGCATTATGTGCCCTCAGAACAGGCACAGAGCTGGCCTCTGACAAGCTGAGAGGGAGCTTGAATGGTGCTTAGGCCCTTCTGTACAACCATGCACGGCTGAAACTCTCTATGGAAAAATATACCACAGACAAAAGATAAAACACATATTATACCCCAGTGACACACTTTCAATACATGAGATAAAGGCCTTTTCCCTTTGTTTACAAAAAACTCCAGCATGTCAATAATGAAAAGGCACACAGGTACAAACAAACGAACAAATAATAACTAGAAAAAACACATTAAAAATATACAAAAACTGAAAAAAAAAGAAAAGCAATAGGTAGTACCCCACTACACACGGAAAGAAAATGTTTTAAAAGGCTAATGGATATTTAAAAATATGATTAACCTTAACTCCCAATTAAGAAAACACAAAGCAAAATATAAGATACCTTTTTAGAAAACCAATCAGTTTGGCAAAACTGAAGAATCTGATGATACCCAGTGCCAGGAGAATGGGCACCTCATTCCCACTGGTGGGAGTGAAAATCAGTAGTGCCAATTTGAAGGGCATGCCTTTGACCTATTTTCCTGCTGCTAGAAATTTACCTTACATACATGCCCTCAAAATTTTCCATAATATCTCAACCAGGCTAGACAGTGCAGGATTCATTGCAAATAGTTTCTGCCAGTGAGGAACTTAATAAACTGGAATCCAACATCCATGATGGAATACTATGCAGCTGTTAAAAAGAAGGAGGCAGAGCTGTATGTGCTGGTAGGAAGGTTTCCAAGATACAGAAAGTTGAAAAAACAACAACAAAAAAGCAAGACCCAGAGCAATGCTTATGTATGACTTCTTTTATATAAATAACAATAAAAAGAAAACATACAAAGGAAATATCTATAGGTCCATTCCAGGTATGATGATTTATACCAACAATAATTTTTTTCTGGAAATAATCATGAACACAATCTATTAAAACTTTCTTTCCTTTGAGGAGAGGGGTGGGGCTGATGGGAGGGAGGCATTTGCCTTTGATTTTTATTATTTTCTTTAATTTTTGAATATTCTAAACGTGTTATTTTAATTTTTGTAATATTTAGAGTTTATCTGGGATTATAAAGTGGGCTCATGGGCCATTTTTTTTTGTTGTTTTTCTCTGTACTTTTTAATTTGAAAACAACAACAACAAAAACCTAATAACGTTATTTTATAAAAAGAAGTACAAGGGCCAGGAAACGAGAGGGGCCACTTTTCCATGTGTAAATGACAAGGCATTTATCAAACACAGATACTAATACCTAACCTCACAGGAGGGCAGTGAGGATTAAATGAGATTCTGTGTATAAAGTGCTTCGTCTAATACTCTGCACAAATAAGCCCTCAATAAATGGGAGTTGCTCTTTGCATTAAGACCACAGTTTTCCTCTTTCCCATGTACCTCCCTGGGGTCCTCTTACCTTGCATGTGCCTCAAGCTGACCTCAGGCCATAAAGAGTCAAGGGAAAAGGGAGCTGGAGAGAGCCCGGGGTTTGCTCTCTGGCCTGAGGGCTCCTTCCCTGAGGAAGCCCCAGGGCTCCTTCCAGTTCCCAAGAATACACAACCCTGACTATACAATGAGAAGGGGGCTGGGAGCCAGGAGACCTGTGCTCCTCTCTGCATTAACTTTTTGCTGAACTAACAAGGCAGCTTCTGAGCTTGCTCTTACCGAGGTAAACTGGGGCAGGCCAGGTCTAACTGGAGATTGCACTGACACTAGCTAGTGCAAAAATCTCCAGAGAGCAGCAACTGGGGATGTGTTATTTCATGTGACAATTCTAGTGCTTGCTCACATAAGCCCATGAAGACTGTGTCCTCCAGAGTCTGTGCAGAGTTAGAAGAGCTGTTGGCAAATACTCTGGGCACCCCAAAGATCTCCTCTCTGGTTGTCTTCCCTCTGCCTACACTGCTGCTGGCGGAAACAAAGGGGACCATTGCTAAGTGCCTAGCCCATCAGGTGAATGCAAGGTGTCCACAGATGGGAAGGCTCAGGATAAACCATCCCAGCTTGTCAGAACCATTCAGGGACCACCTTACCCGACACTCTCACTGGACTAAAGAAGTATAAACCCAAAGAGGGTGAGTAGTGGCATTCTCAAGGTCACAAAGGCAGATAGTCTTGGAAACAGAAACGCATACTCTTGACTTCCAAGATGGTGCTTTCATCCTGTCATCTGCCCTAAGAGAAAGCAGAAGATCTCATCAGATACGGAAGCTTGAGGAGCACAGGCAAGATGGGGTGGGGACTAAGAACCTAGAATGCAGCTTGATAGCCATCCAAAGAGTGGGTGGATCCTCCCGAAAGCAGTTCGTAAGCGAACCTCTTTCGATTCAACTAAATGTCCCCCAAATCATCATTTTGTTGGTTTGGATTTTGTTTTTAAACTGGTGCTTTGTGTTTGAAACCAAAAACAAAGAAACAAACAAAAACGTAAATATGGGATCCATGGACGTCTCCAGCTGAGACCAAGAGCAAAGAAGGGGAGGGTCAAGGGCAAACTGTAGGTCAACTCACCCGTTGTAATTGAGGAGCTCCACTATGGGGTCTCCTGTATATTATATAGGCTTTCAGGTAAGATATTATCTTAAGAAAGTTACATGGCTAAAAATACAGTGTTTGAAAACCATACCTCTCATGTATCCTAACTATTTGCCACAGGGATGAGGGAGAGGAGTGCTTGATGGTGGTGATCTTAAGAGGTTTTAGAGGGGCTAAACCCTCTGCTTACTCCCTGCCATCAAGATAAAGTCAGAGAATGTTGCAACAGAAAGAGTCTTCAAGGTCACCTTTTCTCGCCCCTCTATTTGCTAATGAGGAAACTGGAGCTAGGGAAGGATAGTAAACAGTGCAAGGTCATGGAGGTGTTGACTGTTAAGTGGGGACTAAAGTCAGTGTCTTTGATTTCCCAGCCCTGGGCACATTCAATGTGCCTAGCAGCCCACAGTCTGAGAAAACAACGCAAAAGGCTGAGTTCTATTTCAGGGGACCCCAGCGCGCCATTTATTTTCTCCTCAGATATGCTGGCTGTAATCCCCTTGGAAAGATGCCCAGAGCTTAACCAAATTCTTGTCTCTGACTGGTCAGCATCCCAGAGCTGTTGCATTGTCATAAGCAGGACCCTGGCCAAGACAAACCCTGAAAAGAGCCGGGCAGAAGAGGCAAACGATGTGGTGCTCTGCAGGGAGGAACAACTCTTTCTTTGCACCCAGCGTCTTATGAGAATACAGGTTAGACCTCATGGCTCTATTAAGAAATGAAGGAATTGTCAGTTTCCTCTTGTCACCCTGCAGATGCATGGTGTGTTAGCCCATGGGGCAACTGAGACCTGCTTTCCTCTCTGTTTCTTGACTTCTTCTCACATTCTGCAAAAACACTGAGCGTCCTATGAGTGAATCCAAATGAATGAGTTTTAACTAAATGATCCTGAGAAACTGCCACCGTCTTAGATAATTTTATCATGTGCCTTTGGACTGAGACATTGGTGATGAATGCCTTTTAACATCTAGAGGAAAATGTGTGAAGAAAATATTGACATTCTCTATTTGCCAAAAGAGTTAAGTCTCAGAGAGGTTAAATAATTACACAAAGTCACAAAGTGACTAAGCTGTGATTTAGGATGGACTCTAAATTCCCTGTCTTTCTATGCTGGGAGTTCCTTTCATTCCACCATACTTGCAAAAAAAGCTAAGCCTGAAGTGCCAAATGGCCCTAGGCATATCTCAGTAACATAGAGGCGATAAAAGCATAGACTTCCAATAAGTCTTTCTGGTTCTGGGACTAGCTGTGTGGCTCTGGATGAACCATTCATGCTTTCTAAATTATCTTCATCTGTAAAATGGGAATGGTGCCTCGCTCATGAGGAAGGGATGAAGACTAAATTAAGTACAATAATTCGGCCGGGTTCGGTGGCCCATGCCTGTAATCCCAGCACTTTGGGAGGCTGAGGTGGGCGGATCACGAAGTCAGGAGTTCGAGACCAGCCTGACCAACATAGTGAAACCCTGTCTCTACTAAAAATACAAAAATTAGCTGGGCATGGTGGCACGCACCTATAATCCCAGCTACTCAGGAGGCTGAGGCAGGAGAATCACTTGAACCTGGGAGGCAGAGGTTGCAGTGAGTCAAGACTGTGCCACTGCACTCCAGCCTGGGCGACAGAGCAAGACTCTGTCTCAAAAAATAAATAAATAAATAACCGAACAAACGAAAAACAAAAAACCCCAACAATTCATATAAAGCACAGTGCCCCTTACAGTTATTTGATAAATAGTTACTATCATTACTAGTACTACTACCATTACTACTAGAAGAGCAAAACTCAAGTATACTGAATATTTCAAAATATTCCAGGGAGAAAGTCAAGGAAGAGTCTTAAGTCCAAAATTATTCAAAGCTCCAGGAAGGACTCTTCTCTACCCCATACTTCTGGGAGAGTATCAGTTTTCATGCTGGTAATGTCATGGTTTAGGGCACTCACTGCGATTCTCCTGAATGTGCTTTGGAAAAAACAGACCCGCTAATTAAGATTAGTAGGAGAAAACACGTCAGCTCATCTCACCTCCAAAAGGAAGCGCTCCATCTCACACCTGCCTGCACTGGTTCCTCTGTGATTCTGTGATCCCTGTCTTGCTCCTGACATGCTGGGAAATTTCATGTTTGTGTGGGTTGGACCATGTCCTTGGCTCTGAGACAGAATTTGCTTGGACACACCGAGTCTTGTACTGTATTGTCCAAATGTAGTCACGTGTATAGAGCGTCTTGTGGGATTTTGTCATCTATTGTCTCTTGATTCTTTGGAAAAGTGGGTCATGTGAGTGACTTGGGGTTAGATTAATTCAACTTTGGGAAGATGATGGAACTATAAGCACTCTAGGTGGGGGAGCTGTCCGGCCAGCATCTGCTCAAGGGACCACACCTCTTCCCAAGCACCTAAGAGAGAACTTTCCAACCCAGAGCAAAATAAACAATTGGAGAGGGAGAAAATTTGAGGGGCTAAACTATTTTTCAGACTGTAATGCCCAGTAGGAAGGTGATTTCATTTGCAGACTGTTATACCCTGAGCCTTCCTTGCCTCCTTATCCAGTTGTGTTGGCATGGTCCATCCTCAGCATCCTCAGCCTCCATCTCATTCCATGCATTCACTCAGCAAAACCGCCAGTGGTGAGAGCCCACCAGCTACATCTAGTAGATGTGGGACTTTAGATGTAAAGGGCTTAGAACAGCACCTGGGGTGTGTTCACCAATATCACTGTGACTGCCCAGGGTCTCTTAGAATTGAGAACCACAAGTTTCAAAGGGCCCCTCACCTCTTGGGAATTGTGCTTTCCTTCCCTGGAATGTTGGTTCTTCCAATTCCCAAATGTTTTTTATAGTTTCTGCTGTTCCTGAAACCTCCAGTGTTCCCTGTTCTCTGTGCCCTTCAACTCATGACCTTGCCTCATCGGAAAGGAACTCTGTTGTTCACAGGGAATTTACAGCCATCCCCTTTCTCTGTCCTCCCTGCTATGAAAGTGAGTCCAATGTCCTTGTTCCAAGCATGGCCTATCCCTTTTCATCATCTCAAGGACTTAGCTCCTGAAATTCTCCCTCTCCTCCTCAGTCATCAATTTCTCTCCCTCAATGGGCTCATTCATACTGAAACTTCTCAACTCTTATGACTTTACATGTTCTATTCTCCCTTCACCCCATTCCCCCAGCCAAGTCACCGTCCCATTTCTCCACTGTCCTTCTCTATGAAATGTCAAAAGAGTTGCTGATAGTAACTTTCTTTGCCTCACAGTTTGTCCTCAATTCCCTCTTGCCCATCCTGTAGGTCTGTCTGTCCATCTCTCCTTTCCGTTCTTCTTATCACCATAAATCCTTATCATATGGATTAAAGTCCAACCTAATTCAGTATGACCTCATCTTAATTTGATTATATCTGCCAAAATCCTGATCTCAAGTAAGGTTCAGCAATTCGGACTTCAACATATCTTTTATGGGGGCAAAATTTAACCCATGACAATGGCCAAAAGAAAACTTTATTCCTGCAACCCTCCACATACACCATTTCTCCTCCAGTCTTTCTTGTCATTGCTTCCTCTGTTCTAGAGCCTTTATTCCTCTCTTCATCTTCTCCTCCCTATCATCAGCAAGGCCCATCAGGACGATTTGCAAGCTTCATTTCACATCCACCCACTCTTCTCCATCTGTCCTGCCACCTCCCAGGAGTGCTGCCACCATCCCTCATCTGACCTGCTACAGCAGGAGGACTGAGCTTCCTGCTTCCACTCCTTACCCACTTCCATCGACTCTCTAGATTCTCTGCATAACACACAGAAAAGTCTTCTCCTAAAAATAGACATCTGCTCATTCTATGCCTCTCCTTAAAATCTTCCAAGGCGTCATATTACACTTAACATACAAATGTAGCTGGGCACAGTGGCTCATGCCTGTAATCCCAGCACTTTCTGAGGCCAAGGCAAGCAGATCACTTGAGCTCAGGCACTTGAGACCTGCCTGGGCAACAAGGCGAAACCCCACCTCTACAAAAAATTAGCTGGGCATGGTGGCATGTGCCTGTAGTCCCAGCTACTCAGGAGGCTTAGGTGGGAGGATCACCTGAGCCCGGGAGGTGGAGGTTGCAGTGAGCCAAGATCCTGTCACTGCACTCCACCCTGGGTAACAGAATGAGATCTTGTCTCAAAAATATACATATATACAAATGTAAAATAATCTACAGGACATTACACACCATGGCCCTGCCAGCTTCCCTCCCTCACACCACTTTTCCCTTGGCTCCCTATAGCCATAGCAAATTCCTTCTGTTTTTCTAGCATTCCCAGCTTATGCCTGTCTTACATCCTTTGCACTTGCAGTTCCCTCTTCCTGGAACTCTCTGTCCTCAGATGTTTGTAAACCTAGATTCTTGTTAATCATTTAGATTTTTATTGTAAGGCTTGCCTCCTGAGAGAGACTTTCTCTAATCACCCAATCTATTGTAGGCTCCCCAACATTCTCTATCACATTACTGTATTTTCATCAAGGGCATGTATCATTCTATAAAACTATCTTGTTCACCTACTTGGTTATTGTTTATTGTCCATCTCCCTTCTTAAAGCTTCCACAAGAGGGATATCCTGTACCTAGAGCAGTGCTGGGCACATAGGATATATCTGTTGATAGTTGCCAATGGATTAACGGACTAAATGAACTTCTCTCAATATTATTAAATTCCTGTCAACTGTCTAAGAAAACTTTATAACATAAAAATATAACTTTAAAAATAATTTGGCTGAGTGCAGTGGCTCACGCCTGTAATCCTAGCATTTTGGGAGGCCAAGGCAGGTGGGTCACTTGAGGTCAGGAGCTTGAGACCAGCCTGGCCAACATGGTAAAACCCCATCTCTACTAAAAATACAAAAATTAGCTGGATGTGGTGGTGAGTGCCTGTGATCTCAGCTACTTGGGAGGCTGAGGCAAGAGAATCGCTTGAATCTGGGAGGCAGAGGTTGCAGTGAGCCAAGATTGTGCCACTGCACTCCAGCCTGGGTAACAGAGTGAGACTCCAACTCAAATAATAATAATAATAATAATTTCAACCAATAATATCCTTATATGTAGGACAACCTTAATAGAATAAGGGATTTCTTTACCTGAATAGTATCAATTGCAGTAGTAATAATAATAATGATAATAACAGTAGCTATAATAGTTATTATTTAATACTAAGTATTTATGAGCGAGAGCTTCTGCTTTGTAATCACTACCTCATTTAATCTTCAGAAAACTTCTTGAGGTGGTCAAGAATATCCTTTGTATTATAGGTGAGGAAACTTGAGTCTCAGAGTGTTTAGGTTTCTTGTTCCCCTTCACTTACCTCATGAATAGAAGACCTAGGGCTCAAATACAGATTTTTCATGGCTTCAAGAAAGTCTACACTTTTAACTGTAATGTAATACCACCTTACACTCACCAGAATGGCTAAAATTAAAAAGACTGGCAATACCAAATGTTGGTGAGGATGTGGAGCAACTGGAACTCTCATACACTGCTGGTGGGAATGCAAAATGATAAACCACTTTGAAAAGCTTGTTGGTAGTTTGTTCTGAAGATAAAATATTTCCATTCTATATTCCAGCAATTCCAAATCTAAAAATTTACCCAGGAGAAATGAATATATGTCCGTCAATTGACATGTGCAAGAATATTTATTGCAGCTTTATTTAAAATAGTAAAAGAATTGAAAATAGCCAGAATGTCCATCAAATGGTGATTGAATAAATAGGCTGTGGCATATTTACAATATACCACATAAATACTTATGTGAAATACTTATGTGAAAAATTATGTGAAATACTTCAAAAAGTGTGAACTGGTGACAGATGTAACAATATGGGTAACTCTCACTAATATAACGTTAAGTGAAAGCCAAACACACAAAAAAATGCATGTCACATGGCTTCATTTGTATGAAGACCAAGACCAAAGTTCTTTTGAAAGAAGCTCAAAAAACAAGCAAACAAAAATTAGGCCAAGCTATTTGATAATGACAGAAGTCAGAATAGTAGCTACCTCTGGGGGTTAAATTTAGACTGGAGAGGAACATGAAGGAAACTTATGGGGTGATGGAAACGTTCTTTATTTTTTTTCTAGGTGCTGGATAAGGGGGAGATGGATAGTTGAATAGATAGGAAAAATCCATTAAGTTATATACACAAGATTAATACACTTTATGTATTTTAGTATTTAGGTTTACCTGTTGCAGGGCAGGCAAGTCACCAAATTGGGGTTTAGCTGGGGAAGATTCTTAGCGTTGCTCAGGAAAGAATTCAAGAGCAAGCTGGTGGTAGAAGGAAACAGCTTTATTGAGGTGGCAGTGCTCCAGCTCTGTGACTGCTCCTGCAGAGCAGGGATACTCCTTAAGCAGTGCACTGAGAGTAGCACCTCAGGGGCAGTTCTGCAGTCAGATTTATATCCACTTTTAATTACATGCAAATTAAGGGGCAAGCTACTCAGAAATTTCTAGAAAAGGGGAGGTAACTTCCAGGTCATTGCCATGGAAAGGGGCAGTAACCTCCGGGTGTTGTCACGGCAATAGCAAACTGTCATGGCACTGGTGGGCGTGTCTTATGGAGAAGAGCTTTCAGTGCCTCTTCCCTGTTTCAGCCAGTCTTCAAGCTGGTCTGAAGTCGAGTCCCACCTCCTACCTCAATACCTCAATCTTAAAAATCCATCCTTTAAATCCTTGCATTAAACTTTTATTTGCACCCCAACTATAACAACAAGAGGAAGGCAACTGTTCTTATTTCTTTAAATGCTTGCACTCAATTAGGTTTATAATCCAGAGACCGCCAGAACTGAGAGGAAAATTAGAAACCACCAATATTTACTCTTTCAGTAGAAAACTGAGAAAACAAATCTGGAAAAAGAAAGTGCCTTGTAAAACAGACAGTGTTTATAAAGGGCAAGACTAGTCTAATCCCATCTATTTCCTACCTCCAAGTCTGGTTAATGTTCTTTCCTTTCCACAACACTGCTCAAAAATATAGTCTTTGTCACTCTTCTGCAAGCAAGACTATTCCCAGAGATTGGGAATGTGACACCAGGAGAGTTGACCCCATAAGAATAAACAGGCCAGCAGGTTTTCTTAGGAAAAAAAAAAAAAAGAAATGTACCCTGGAGCTGGCCAGGAAGGAATGGAGAAAGGATTCCTGGTGAAGAATGTTGAGTGGAAAGAGTTCAGAGCAGAGGCATTAGCTCTGCTTCTAATAAAGCTGTAGTTTCTGAGCTGGCTCACAAGGATGAGGAATGAGGGAAAGAGACTGCACCAGAAAGTGGACTGGACATGCTAGGAGGCAGAGGGTATCCATTTCAGCAGTGGGCCTGAAGACATTTATTCCACTAATAAACTCAGTGCAACAGTTGACAAGGAGTTTAAGGTTCAGAACTCCTTCTAACAGAGCAATTTAAGTAAAAAGAATTTGTTTCACGGAAAGGTAAAGAAAGTCAGGCTAAAACCAGAAGACGTGTGATAAATCTCTGGGTTTAGGAGGCCTCTGATCCAAAGGGAGGGCAAATATTAATAAAATGGTCACCACTTTGGATATGGCGCTAGACTGCAAGCTTTATATAAAATCTCATTTAATTGAACACTTAAAACAGTCTTACATAAGATGTATTAATTACCTTCATATGGCACATGAGAAAATTAAATCTTCCTCGTTTTAGAAATTTGGTCCAAAACCACACCGCCAGTAATATAAGCAGCAAGGATTTCAGCAAAGCTTAGTTTTACTCCAAAGGCTGTGGTCTTTCGGGAGCATCGGGCTGCCATTAGAAATCAAGATGTATTATATTTCAAGGAAGTGAAATTGGTAGAAGCATCAGAAAGCAGGTCGACAGAGATTACGTTCAAAAGAACTGGCCTGGCCAGGCACAGTGACTCAGGCCTGTTAATCTCAATGCTTTGGGAGGCTGAGGCATGTAGATCACTTGAGGCCAGGAGTTTGAGACCTGCTTGGACAACATAGTGAGCTCCTGTCTCTACAAAACTTAAAGAAATTAGCTGAGTGTTGTGATACGTGCCTGTAGTCCCAGCTACTCAGGAGGCTTGGGCAGGAGGATTGCTTGAGCCCAGGAATTTGAGACTGCAGTAAGCTATGATCATGCCTCTGTACTCCAGCCTGGGTGACAGAGTGAGACTGAGATTCTGTCTCTAAAAGAAAAACTAGGCCCAGGAATATGAACCCAGGAATGGAGATCTTAATGATGAGAAAGTGCATCATGCTTAATGATGAGAAAATGAAAAGAATAATATGTCAAAAAACACCTGATCCTGGGCCTGGAAAACCCCTCGGTTGATCAAATGGCTATGGCTTGTAGTCTGTTCCCTCCATGAAACAGAGAGGAAAAAGGTCCCCTGAATCTGGATGGCTGTGAGCTGACCCCATCTCTGAGTTTCCACAGCACAGTGCTTTATGGTACCGATAGAATTCCGCCTCTGTTGTTATTATTGGTGAGCACATGTAATACTACTTACTGTGCAGCAAGGACCAAGTCCCACCTTTATTGCCACCCTGCAGCGAGCACAGTGCCTGGCACATGGTGTGTGCTCATTAATTGTTCATTGAATTAATTAACAAATACCCATATTCACATTTTAATGAATTGAAGCTCTGAGCCCTGGAATGTTCATGTTTTATCCACACATAGGGAAGTGCTGAATGGTTGTTAACCAGCCACAAGGCCCCATCAACTGGGTAAGCAAAACATCTAAAACTGCTTTTGCCTCCAAGTCAATGCCTACCCCTAAGTTACCCACTTAATTACCTCAGCTTTTCACTCACTTGGAGTTACAGTCCACGGACATGCATGAGAGACAATATTCACTCACTCAGTAGGGAGCTGGGTGAGATTAACTTTATATTTCCATTGGTGACAAAGTGGATCAAGTTCCTAGGTTCCACGATGCCCTAAAAATTTTCTAAATTATTAAATGTAATTCAATTTATTTTTATTTAAAAATGCATGGCAATAGTACACACATTAGATATTGTGAAAGTGTAAATTCTCCTCAGACTAATTTACTAGCAGTTCTAAAACAAGTCTAATGAAAACAATGTATATATGAACTAAAAAGCAGAATAATTGAATCCAAAATCTATCTGGAAAAAAAAACTAACGTAGGGAAGAGACAAGACATTTTGAAAAAAGATTTAATAAAGGAGAACTTGTACTAGATATGACGTAAGGCTATGATAATTAAACCAGTATAGCACTGACATAAGAATAGATAAATGGAACACACACACAAAAAAAAAAACAGGAAAAAAGATCATAGTAAACTTAAGGAATGAGAATATGATAAAGACGACATTCAAATCAGTGGGGGAAAAAGAAAACAAAGAGAAAAAGGAGTACTGGTGTTCTGTTTGAGAAAAACAAGAGTGACCTCAACAGTTTCTTTTACAGACATGTTAGGGTGCCTGCCACCCCATATACCCTTTTGGAAGCTCCACATTAATTTCCTGGGAAAGGTGTGGGCCTGGAGATTCTTTTTTTTTTTTTTTAATTTTACTTTAAGTTCTAGGATACATGGGCAGAAAGTGAAGATTTGTTACACAGGTATACATGTGCCATGGTGATTTGCTGCACCTATCAACCTGTCATCTAGGTTTTAAGCCCCGCATACATAAGGTATTTGTCCTAATGCTCTCCCTTCCCTTGCCCCCTACCCCCGGACAGGCCCCGGTGTGTGATGTTCCCCTCCCTGTGTCCATGTGTTCTCTTTTTTTTTTTTTTCCTTCTTGAGACAGAGTCTTGCTCTGTCACCCAGGCTGGAGTGCAGTGGCACAGGCTCGGCTCACTGCAACCTCCACTTCCCGGGTTCAAGCAATTCTCCTGCCTCAGCCTACCAAGTAGCTGGGATTACAGATGCCTGCCACCACGCCCAGCTAATTTTTGTATTTTTGTAGTAGAGACAGGGTTTCACCATCTTGGCCAGGCTGGTCTTGAACTCCTGACCTCATGATCCACCCGCCTCAGCCTCACAAAGTGCTGGGATTACAGGCGTGAGCCACCATGCCCGGCCCATGTGTTCTCATTGTTCAACTCCCACTTATGAGTGAGAACATGCGGCATTTGGTTTTCTGTTCCCGTATTAGTTTGCTGAGAATGATGGCTTCCAGCTTCATCCATGTCCCTGCAAAGGACATGAACTCATCCTTTTTGTGGCTGCATAGTATTCCATGGTGTATATGTGCTAACATTTTCTTGATCCAGTCTATCACTGATGGGCATCTGGGTTGGTTCCAAGTCTTTGCTATGGTAAATTGTGCTGCAATAAACATACATGTGCATGTGTCTTTATAGTAGAATGATTTATAATCCTTTGGGTATATACCCAGTAATGGGATTGCTGGGTCAAATGGTATTTTTGGTTCTAGATCCTTGAGGAATCATCACACTGTCTTCCACAATGGTTGAACTAATTTACACTCCCACCAACAGTGTAAAAGCGTTCTTATTTCTGTAGGCCTGGAGATTCTTGTTTGTTTTTTGTTGCTGTTGCTTGTATCACATGACCCTCTCCCACTTCCCGGTGAGAACTGTTTGGGCCCAAAACAAACAGCAGACACAAAGAAAACCAATCCGTGGACAAGGGTGAACCAGTTTGTTTTTTCTTTCTCTCCCTCTCCAGATTATAAACTAAGAGTTTGAAATACTCTTGTCAGAGTATTTGCACCATTTAAAATCATGTAGAATTAGAGCTGGAGTCCCTGTCAAGACACTTCAAAGTCACACGCAATCCAGAGTTCTGTGAACTCCCAAACTGTGTGCAAGCCAAAAAACCTGGTCCAGAGAGAAGAGAGTTGATGCAGAGAGAGAGGCCAGAGAGGGACATAGCTTGCCCAATGGTATATTTGCTCCTGGAAGGCCCAGCTGACTCTGCAGCCATGAGATGTATTGTTGAAGAAGCTTCCTTTTGTCTGCAGTATTTTGACTGGGTTTGCATTCCTTGCAAACAAATATATTCTGAGTAAAGCACACACTATTTAAGAAAATATGGTTTAGTTATAGCCTTAAATTTAATAAGAAAAAATGAGATGATAGAAGACAATTTTAAAAAGTGCTTTTTCTAATTGTGGGTGAGCAAGACATGCTTAAACATGACAGCAAGGAAGCAAGCAACAAAAAAGAGGACACATAGGTCAGATTTCACAAAAATTTTTAGAAGCCTATATGTCAAAAATCACCATGAATGTACACCCATGTTCACAGAAGCATTATTCTCAATAGCCAAAATGGAGAAGAAAGCCAAGTGTCCATCAATGAATGAATGGATAAATAAAATGTGGTATGTACATCACATGGAATAATATTCTGCCTGAAAAAGAAAGAAAACTCTGGGCTGGGTGTGGTAGCTCACCCCTGTAATCCCAACACTTTGGGAGGCCAAGGTGGGCAGATTGCTTTGAGCTCAGGAGTTCGAGACCAGCCTAGGCAACATGGTGAAACCCTGTCTCTAGAAAAATACAAAAATTTGCCAGGCATCTGTAGTCCCAGCTACTTGGGATGCTGAAGCTGGAGAATCACCTGGGCCCGAGAAAGCAGAGGTTGCAGTGAGCCAAAATCATGCCCGCCGCCACTGCACTCCAGCCTGGACAACAGAGTGAGACGTATTCTTTAAAAAAAAAAAAAGGAAATTCTGGCCAGGTGCGGTGGCTCACGTCTGTAATCCCAGCACTTTGGGAGGCCGAGGTGGGTGGATCATGAGGTCAGGAGATCGAGACCATCCTGGCTAACATGGTGAAACCCTGTCTCTACTAAAAATACAAAAAATTAACCAGGCATAGTGGCGGGCGCCTGTAGTCCCAGCTACTCGGGAGGCTGAGGCAGGAGAATGGCGTGAACCCAAGAGGCGGAGCTTGCAGTGAGTGGCGATCGCACCACTGCACTCCAGCCTGGGCGACAGGAGAGCGACTCCATCTCAAAAAAAAAAGAATCCTGTCAAGTACTACAACATGGATGAAACTTAATGGCATTACTCTAAGTGAGAGAAGCCACAAAAAGACAAATACTGTATGGCTCCATTTATATGAGGTACCTAGACTAGTAGCTGAGTTCATAGAGAAAGAAAGCAGAAGAGTGGTTACCAGGAGCTGTGGGGAGAAGCGAATGGGGAGCTGTTGTCTAATGGGCACAGAGCGTTAGTTTTAAAAGATAAATAAGTTCTGGAGATTGTTTGCACAACAGTGTGGAGATACTTAACATCAGTAAACTGTATACTTAAAAATGGATAAAATGGTAAATTTTATGTTATGTATATTTTACCGTAATTAAAAATTTAAAAGTTAATATTTTTAGCATATATTTAAAAAGCTCTTCCAAATAAGAAGAGATGAACTTCCTTAGGGGAAGACAAACCAGGCCATGGACATTAACAGGCAATTCAGAAAAGAAGACATAAAGTGGGACAGTGTCTTTTCAGGACAATATAGTGATATATACTAAGAGTCTTCAAACACGCACACCCTTTGGCTTAGTAATTCGACTTGTAGCAATCTATCCAAGGGAAATAATTACAGACAGAGTAGATTTATGTGCAGCGATTATCATCCAGTATTAATTATAATAGTGTAAAACTAGAATCAAGCTAAATGTGATCAACAGAGGAAAGGCTGCATAAATTATGTTACATCCAAAGGGTAGATGCCACACAGTCACTTGATGCTATCTTTTGAAGAACAGTTTAATGCCATGGGAAATTCTCATGAAATAACGTTAAGTGAACAAAAGGTTTGTAATTACTCCATAATGTGATTCCATCTTTGTAGAATAAAGGAGGGGATACACCTGGGGAAGGGGAGGAGGAGACACATCGGTTGCTCTCTAGGCATTTTTTGGGATGTAATATGAGTCATTTTATACTCTTCTGTGTTTTCCAAAGTTTCCTTAATGGGCAGGTATTCTTTTCATAATTAGAAATATTCTATTTTAGAAATAGGGTACATTTTGATGGGAGGGGTAACTTAGAAATTAAATGACAAAAAGTCATAATTCCAGAAAATGAGAAGTTACACAAGGCACAGCCTCCTCTTACCACCACAGGCCTCTGAATCCCTGCAACCTCCCTGCTTCTTCTTCTTCTTCTTCTTCATTTTTTTTTTTTTTTTTTTTTGAGACGGAGTCTCGCTCTGTCGCCCAGGCTGGAGTGCAGTGGCGGGATCTCGGCTCACTGCAAGCTCCGCCTCCCGGGTTCACGCCATTCTCCTGCCTCAGCCTCCCTAGTAGCTGGGATTACAGGTGGTGCCTGCCACCACGCCCAGCTATTTTTGTTGTTGTTGTTGTTGTATTTTAAGTACAGACAGGATTTCACGATGTTGGCCAGGCTGGTCTCAAACTCCTGACCTCATGATCCGCCTGCCTCAGCCTTCCAATCTTGCCATCTTTGTTTCTTATAGGACAGCAGAGCAACAGCAAATGGGAGTGAGTGCTGGGTTGTTCACCCCTGACCTCGCCAATGCCCTTCTTTGGCTACCAGGTAGATCCTCACATGGCTTTAGAGGAAAGGAAAAATATTAACATCAGACCTCAACTCAGCCAGCAGAGACTTTGCTGTGCAACTTAAGGGGATACCACAGGCCCCTGGTTATAGAGGGGAGGGCTGGTGTGCCACACAGCTGAATGACAGGAGAGATGCTGTCCTGTTGGCGGCTCACCCACAGTGGTCCTCCACCCAGACACAGCATTAGGGCCAGCAGAGGCCAAGCAGATGGAGTGTGACTCCTCCACAGCTGTCAGTCAAGGGAGGAGGCTTCCCAGTTCTTGGGCTCATTTAGAGGAAATTAGTCATTAACACCCTCATCTCCTTGGGTGTGAACTTTAAATAAGATGTTCCAGCCAAAGTGCGTAGAGGGAACTATTTTGCTGTGACTGGGGAGAGAGTAATTGCATCTGCTAAACAGCAGCTCTGGGACCTGGTTTCATGCAAGTGAGAGAGACCAATGGAGAGTCTCTGGAGGGGACTACCTGAAGGCAGCTGCCTTCACATAGGCCAGTGGAGCCAGGGTTTGGGCAGCCTGCATGCTGCTTCTAACTTATGCTTTGTGGATTGCCTGGACTGGTGCTTGGTTCTCTAAGCACACTGACAGTGGAGTTTGCATCAACAGGGAAGATGGGAAATTGTCAATGGTTTGCTCATTAAGCTAATTCTACAATGCATGCCTCATTTGCTGGTCTTATCTTTGTACAGAAACTTCTCTACATACAACTAACTTTGCACCAGTGCCTCTCACACTTTGGTAAACACACAGATCACCTAAGAATCTTATTACAAGGCAGATTTGGACCATTCTTTCTGCCTACTACCAACAGATGGCATTAGCCATTTTGGTCTCATCCGCCATGTTGGTCCTTGATCTACATGGTTTATTGTATATCTGTGTTTTGATCTCAGATGTTCTTTGCTATTAAGTGCAAATGGCAGGGTGTCTTAATCATTAGGCAGATTATCATGGGAATAAAAGGATTATCTGTTGATGATTCTCGGCATTCCCCCTTCTGTCTAACTCATCAGACCCACCATCTGCCTTTCTATCCCAGATGGGGACCCCAAGAGGCTGGCCGATGTGGATTCAAGCTCATCCGTTCCCTTTCCAGCCAGTTTTCAATTGAGTTCTCCCAATAGAAGGTACCTGTAGGTAACTGAAGAATGAAGAAAAGCAGAGATCAGTGTGTTTTATCTTTATTTGATATATTTTTGGCAGTTGTTTTGTTCTGCCATGGCTTGAGCTCTAACTGAGCTCTGGAAATGCTATGACCTCCCCTTGTCCTTCCATCAGGCCTGGGGGTGGTAATGGCTTCCCACCTGGCTGGTTTCTAGAAACCACATCCTTCATTTATTCCCATAATCTCTTGAACCAAGTAAATTGTATTTTTTTCCCATCAGGACCCAATCGTCAAATGGTTCTGCTAGATAAAGAAAAAAGTACAAGTGAGGAAACAATGGAGACCTATGTACAAGGTAAAGGGAGGATTCTCAAGGAAGTAGCATGTGATACCACGAGGGGACAGTTTTCGGAATACGACTTCAGTTTGATGGAACAGCTTCTCAGGATAACAAACTTAAGCCCTGCTCAGTTACTTCGGGGCTGAGGATAGATGGACCTGCAAATAGCCCATTGGCTCTGTCCACTCACTCAAGTTTAGGTTGCAGAAGCCTGGAATAAAGTGCTCTCAGTTGGCCTCTCTGAGGTGGTTTTAATAAAGGGCTTCACTCTCATGTGAATAGTAAAGTGCTAATACATGACACCTCCAGTAATTACCTGCATTTATTGGGAGATAATGCCCTGCCTAAGAATCCCAATTTAAGGTGTTGGAGTAGAGGTACATATATTTTCATTTTGCTCCAAATCACGACCTTACTTGGCTTCCAAATACAGGTGGCTGCTAGGACCTTTAAAGAAAGTTCCATGATTCCACATAGGGACATCTAAAGCTCAATGGAACACAGACTGGGAAGAAAGAGAGCCTTCCGTCACATTTCATTTAAAAATGGCTATTCTGTTTCTGGAGGGAAGGAACAAATAAGGAAATCACTGACTGAGGATAGGGGGTGGGGGAGGCACGTGCCCACAAACAAGGCACAGACCATCTGGTCCCATTAGCTGCTGTACCCTCTGAACTGCACCCAGTGGACTGAGTCACAGCTGCCTTGGCTGATGTGTGAGCTCCTCCCAGCCTCTCCAATCTCTAGATGCCCAGGGCTTTCTTCGTGACCTTGGAGGCATTAACAATGAGGTTGAGATGCGTCTCATTAATTTACTCCCAACTGCTCTATGCCCCTCCAACTGAGAATGTGGAGAATGGAACATGAGGTCGGAGGGTCCCTGCTTGGTGGATGTCCATGTTGATACAACGGGAGGCCCTGGTAGCATCCCTGCCATCATCCGGCCTCCATCCTGTGTGGTGGCAGAGTGTGTAGAAGGGAGAAAAGGCAGGCAGTGTCAAAACCCAGCTACCCAGAATGTGCTCCTTGGAGCAGCAGCAATGGGCACAACTAGAGAGTTTTCTGGAAAGGCAAACTCTCAGGCCCCACCCTGGGCCTACTGAATCCGAATTCGCATTTGAACAAGGTCCCCAGATGATTCCTGTGCACATCAACATTTGAGAAACTTTAGTGCAGAGCAGCAGTGCTATACTGGGAGTGATTTTGCCCCAACAGAGGATATTTTTCAATGTCCGGAGACATTTTCATTTGTCACAACTAGGGGCTAGGGTGGATGATGCCCTGGGTGGAGGTCAGGGATACTGATAAACATCTGAAAATGCACAAGAACAGCCTCCCCTTCCCCAAAGATTTATCCAGCCTAAAATGCCACAGTGCTGAAGTCGGGAAACCCCTGGAGTAGGGGGTTCTCTTAGGAAAGAAAGACATATTGGGGCCTGTTCCTTTTCCCTGTCTTCCTCACAGTTCGCCTGAAATTATTATTTAAACATGAATTTATACAGCACGCCCAGGACAATTCTGTAAACAGATGTCTTCTTCCAGCATTTAGTCCCAGGAGGCAGGAATGATGTCTTCCATTTCACAGCAACATTAAAATCTAAATTATGAACAGATAAATTAACCTTCCCTTTCCTCAAAGCATCTTTTCTTCCTGTTTATCACAGTGTCCTCTGAGCACACACATCCATGATGATGCGAGGGTCCTTGTGGCTACGGGCAGACCTGTTCCCAGGGTTTTTCTAGAGCTGGGGGTGAGCCACACTGGGCTCAATTTATGCATCCTCCAATCAGAGCATTTGCCTTATCTGTTGGTTGAAGGGACCAACAGTAGCTTAAGCTATGAAGTTAGTTTATTGTTACACTGGTTGAGGACCCCCCGCCTCACCCTTTTTTTTTTTTTTTTAGACGGAGTCTTGCTCTGTTGCCAGGCTGGAGTGCGGTGGCGTGATCTCGGCTCACTGCAACCTCTGCCTCCTGGGTTCACGCGATTCTTTTGCCTCAGCCTCCCGAGTAGCTGGGACTACATGTGCGCACCACCACACCCAGCTAATTTTTGAATTTTTAGTAGAGACGGGGTTTCACCATCTTGGCCAGGCTGGCCTCGAACTCCTGACCTCGTGATCCGCCAGCCTCGGCCTCCCTAAGTGTTGGGATTACAGGTGTAAGCCACCGTGCCCGGCCCGTGTTCTCCTTTTTTATGACTATTATGCACCGGCAGCTGTAACATTCTGCATGACCCTGGCTACCACATATAAAGAAGGAAGATGTAACTTGAAAGAAACATGAAAAGTGGTAAAATGGAGGTTGGGGGCTGCCATATGGAAATGGAAACATGAGGATAGTGCCTTTCAGTTTGGCAAAGATAAAGGTTAGGGTGGAAGGCAATCATAATTTGAACATCATGAGCAGTGCGGATCAAGTGATTAAGAACTGTCCACTGTTTATAGAAGAATGCAAATATATGGAATTTGTTTCTCCCCCAAATAGTTAGTATTGGTTGGGAAATGGTCAGAACTGCTTTTTAGAAAGACCACTCCAATAAAAGGGGGGCCATTCTGTTTGCAACGGAGAAAGTAGCTGTAGGAACCACTGTTTGACCTACATCAGCCCACCCTACTGTTTCAACCCTACATGCACAAGGCGCACCAACCCTCTCTCCATCATGCTCAGCCCCAGGGAGACAGCTTTTCTTTTGCCTTCATCGCTGGAACGTTGGTGCTCTGGTCTCTTGGTTCCCCAATCGCCCCAACTTCAACTTCAGTGCTGCTCCCCCAACCATTACCCTGTGGGTATGATTAGCAGCAAGACTTACTCCACTGCTGAAAGCTCACACTGTAAAAGCACATGGTAGCTCACCACCCCTATTTTTCCCATCTTGCAGTCCACTTGAAGTCACTAATAAATAATATTTCTGCTTCTGCAATAATTCAGCTTTTAAGCACTAGTGACTGCCTAATTACCAAACGCAACAATTTTTCTTTGGTCCTTAATCTACTTGTCCTCTTGTATTTGCAGCTGTTAACCATCTTCATATTGTTCAGGGTTTTTTTTTTCCTCCTTTGATTTCTCAATATGAACACTATCTCCATTTTATGCTTGCCTTTCCAGAAGATCTCTCTCCTTCATGGGATTCCTTTGCTTTTTCCCACCATGTAAAATTACATATTCCATAAAGGCTCTTTTCTTTAATGTTTACCTACCCTCTCTCTCCTCCTTCCCTTATTAATGTACTCTGTTCTCATGGGTCCCACCTTCACCTCCAGGTAGGTCCTTTTCAAATCCACTTCTCAAGCTCTGATTTTGTGCACTTGTTCTGTCCCTACGTGTCCAACATCTTGAGGCATATCTCCATACCAATATCTCACCAAAAATTTAAAGTTATCCTTCTCCTAAAACCTATGTCTTTTCCATACTTACCTACTTTCTCCCCACTGCCCATCCCAATAGCACCACCATACTATGTTCAAAAACCTATAGGTCATCATTGGTTCCTTATAGTATATATTGTTGCAGTATGGCTTTGTTCTGTAACCACAGAACACACCTCTTTCATCCCCCTCTTTCATTTGACGGTGCCATTCCTGACTTCCTAAAATGCTTTCTTCATTCAAAAAGCATCCCTTGAGCTACAAATATGTGCTTAGGGCCTATGCCAGAGGATGAAGGTGCAGAAAAGAGTAAACATAGTTTCTTTTCTCACGGATCTCACAGACTAATACAAATAGAGATGTGCAAACAAAACAACTGTAATGAAATGTGATCACTGCTGTAATGAATACATGATTAAGAAATAATAGAAGCAACAAAATAGAATTTGTTGGGAGGATCAGGGTAGGCAACACAGAGGAGGTAATGCTTGAGTTGAAACTTGAAAGATGAGTAGAATTTTTACTAGGTAGGTACTTTGATGACTGGATATTAAAGGAAAATGGAAAAGCATGTAACAATATGTAGATAATTGTTTTCAGAGAACCATACATGACTAGGTAATTGGATATTCAGGTAGGCATGACAGGAGATAAAGACGGGATAGTATTTTTTGTTTATTTATTTTACTTTAAGTTCTGGGATACATGTGCAGAATGTGCAGGTTTGTTACACAGGTATACATGTGCCATGATGGTTTGCTGCACCTATGAAACCATCATCTAGGTATTAAGCCCCGCATGCCTTACACATTTCTCTTAATGCTCTCCTTCCCCTTGTTCCCCACCCCCCAACAGGCCCCAGTGTGTGATGTTCCCCTCCCTGTGTCCATGCATTCTCATTGTTCAACTCCCACTTATGAGTGAGAACATGTGGCATTTGGTTTTCTGTTCCTGTGTTAGCTTGCTGAGAATGATGGTTTCCAGCTTCATCCATGTCTCTGCAAGGACATGAACTCATTCTTTTTTATGGCTGCATAGTATTCCATGGTGTATATGTGCCACATTTTCTTTATCCAGTCTATAACTGATGGGCATTTGGGTTGGTTCCAAGTCTTCGCTATTGTAAACAGTGCTGCAATAAACATATGTGTGCATGTGTCTTCATAGTAGAATGATTTTATGCCATGCTATGGAGTTTTTAATCTTTTGGCCAGTATGAAACTAGTAAGGAATTTTGAGTGAGGGAATGGCATGACCAGATTTATATACTAGAAAAAATGCTCTGATCACTCTACAATAATTAAATAAAGATAAAGGTAAGATAAAAGGCAGAAAAATAGTAAGCAGAATAGTTAATGGTCCAGTGAGAGATGATTGACAGTGGACTGAGGGAAGAGGGGATAGAACTGAGATGTAAAGAGAAGGAATCAACTAGATATGATGTTTGATTAGATATCTGATGAGGCTCTTGGTTTGGTTTCTTCATAAGCTGACCCTTAAATGGGTCCTCGGCTGGGCACGGTGGCCCATGCCTGTAATCTCAGCACTTTGGGAGTCTGAGGTGGGTGGATCACAAGGTCAGGAGATCGAGACCATCCTTGCCAACACGGTGAAACCCCGTCTCTACTAAAATGACAAAAAAATTAGCCGGGCGTGGTGGCAGGCGCCTGTAGTCCCAGCTACTCGGGAGGCTGAGGCAGGAGAATGGCGTGAACCCGGGAGGCGGAGCTTGCAGTGAGCCGAGATCGCGCCACTGCACTCCAGCCTGGGCGACAGAGCGAGACTCCGTCTCAAAAAAAAAAAAAAATAAATAAATAAATAAATAAATAAATTAGCCGGGCATGGCGGTGCCTGCCTGTAATCCCAGCTACTTCGGAGGCTGAGGCAGGGGAATCACTTGAACCTGGGAGGCGGGTTCAACAAAAAAAAAGGTGGGGAGAACATGGTTTTCTATGGCTTTCAGAAAGCCACCCACAAAGAAAATGTGAAAGGAACCATTTATCCAGATAAGCAGAGGATGTTTCTGCACTCTCCTTTTGTCCCTCTTGGGTCTTGCATTTCCCCTTAACGTTTATTAACAGAAGGCCCAGTGCAGGGGCTTAACCCTGAGCCCACAATCTTCCACTTCTATTCATTTTGACTCTCCACGTGATTCATTTTTGCCTGTTTCCAACCTATTGCTTTGAAACTCTTAATCTGAATAATCTCTCTTTTTCAAGAGGCCTCATTTCATTCCTTCCTTCCCATCAGTTATCTGACTTAGCAGATAGTGGAGCTGACTGACAGGTAGAATACTGCAGACATTTGGAAAGTGCTGGAGCTTTGTAAACAAAGTGGTTGTCTTTAGCACTGACTTACACATTCACGCGTCCCCCATCCCCAACTGTGGCTGCTCAGCTACAGAACTCACAGCCCAAGGAGGCACAGTCCTGGCATTTACAGTTATCTTCAAAAGTGTTGACCCATAAAATCCATACCATAAATAACTTCCATTGTTACTATGTAGGTGGGTGACAAAAGCCTGACTCAATGGACTTCTGCTAACCAAGCACAGAAAACGATGTCAAATAATCCTAGGCTGATGTATTTACTCCCAAACCAACTCTGAAATCATAGAATCTGAGAGGGGTGTTAACCTAAGAGGTCTGAGTCACGAGCTGATAAATAGTTTCTTTCTGGCCCAATGTGAAAGCTGCACTATGAACAAAATAATACCTTTGGGGGATGAGGTCAGGCCCTCTTTTGTTGTGGATCCATGATGGGCAGAAACAATGGCGAAATGGAATGGTAAATTTATGTGGTGGGAACTCCAGCCAAATTTTTATGGCCAGGCAAGATTTTATACTTCTTTGCAAGGCACAAATAAATGAATCTCACTAACATGTTTATCCAGTGGCATAAAATTAAACCAAAGGATCCCAGACCAAACACAACCTTTAGCTTATTTTGTACCCTGGTGCAGAGCTCCTTTTTTATGAATCCCCCAAAGCTGTAGGAGCTACGCCTATGGTTTCCCCCACTAGTGAAAGCACAGCCAGATGAGTAGGAGAAGCAAAAGAATGGCCAAGTTTCATGATTTCTGTTCTGATACTTGTTTCTATGTTTGCTCAACTCTTCCTATCAGTGGGAAGAATATAAATGCTTCACAAGATAATTATGTGGTTTGAAAGTGAGCAATCTTGATACAAACATGAAATATTATTCCATTTTACTACTTAGGATCTCGAGTGTTAAAATATACAGATTGGGTAGACTGTTAAATATAGGCCCCAAATGAACTTGTTTCTTATGAAGGAAAAGAAAGAGGAAAAAAGGGAAGAAGAAAGAAAGAAAAAACTCAGGGTAGACACTGCTGAGGACCAATAGAATAAAAGGAATAAAACTTCACTCACTAACTCAGACCAAGATTGAGGAGGCCTATTGGGATCATAGAATATTTTTAAAGATGGTTCTATAATTATTAAATTATTTTATAACTATCAAATAATTACTAAATTATTGCATTAAATAATTATTTAATTCTTTTAAATATAGAGGGTGACAAGTGCCGTTAGCTCATCAAGAATTGCCAAGAAAGTCTTTAAAGCCTGCTTTAACAAGAGGCAAAAAATCATTTATAGTTGACATCACTCACGATCTGCAGGTGCATGGCTATTGTTCAGTTTTTGAGAATCATGTATGTTCTTAAGAAGATAGAACACACTGATCCCTGTTTACATAAACAAATAACTTACCAACTCTTTTTGGTCCCATAAATAGAGCAAAGCTAAGCTTCAGCTGAGCTCCTGACCAGACCTTCACAAATTTCAAAGCAATGGGGCCCAATTAAA
Source organism: Homo sapiens (assembly GCF_000001405.40). Classification (NCBI taxonomy): domain Eukaryota; kingdom Metazoa; phylum Chordata; class Mammalia; order Primates; family Hominidae; genus Homo; species Homo sapiens. Next base: position 11,348,159 of record NC_000017.11, on the reverse strand, counting down.
TGCAGTTTCACCATATGTACTCTCAACATATGGAGGACACAAGGCTGGTTGATTCAGCTAGGACATATTTCTGTTGATGCCATTATGCTTTGCCAAGCCACTATATTCTGTAAACAAAATAGAATTTTGCATCTTCTTATGGATGACCAATTAACTCTGGCAGTCCAAAAACAATCCTGTTCACTCTCAGAACATAACTCTGTGTTTCAGTTTCATACATCCCCAAGGATCTTTCTTTGTACAGAAAGTCAGCGCATGAAAGAGAAGCAGAGTGGGTTACGTGGGACAACCCATAAGCACCAGGCCAGATGCAGCTCTGAGTGACCTCAGCTGTCACCTCAGCAGGGCTCCCAGAGAAAAGGGCACCACTCTCACCCCTAGATACAGCTTCCAAGCTTCCTTCTCTGACACTTCCTTGTTCGTAGGTAGGTTCTGGGTCTCTCATGTGCCTACCCACACTGCTTTTGTTTTCTTCGTCACCTGCTCTCTCCTCCTTTCTCCTTTATAGTGAGGTTGCATTTGAAATCCAGCTTGCAATTGACTTTCTATTTGACCTTAGGCAAGTTGCTTAATACTTCTAAGCCACCGTTTCCTCATCTGTGAGATGCAAATAATATCTAGCTCATAATGTTAAGTATTAATAAGATAATACATGTGAAATATGTATTATAGGTTCTGATATATATTAAGTTCTCTATCAAAGGTATAATTGAAAAGGTTCTCTCTAAAGTTACCAGGTGACTTACTATCCTGTAATCTAGAGAATGATTCTCACATATTTAGCCTTTTCCATTGTTTCTCTCTGTTGACCACCCTGGTCTTTTCTACTCCCCTGGTTCTTCTCCCACTTCTGACTGCTCCCGTTTAATCACTTGTGCTGCTGCTGTTGTTGTTGTTTCTTTTCCTCTTGTCAATGTAGATATCCTTCTAGGCTCAGGCTTCTTTGTGGATATCCTTTTTTTTTTTCCCTCAAAAAATGATGCCCAACTCTAGTTCCAACCACAACCTCTTACCTTCAGTTAAGTTTCCATCTTCCTACCTTTCCTGTGAACATTTGTGCATGGAAGATGAATCATCACCATCCAAACTCTGTATGTTCATCAACAGGAACTTTGCAGCTACATAGCATGACTTAAGCTACAGACTCAACTCCGCAAACATGATACTGTGCCTATAAAAGTCATGCAATGGAAAGATGCCATTGTCCTTCAAAGAACAATTCATTACATCAAATGATACATATCAAGTAAGTATTCAGGAGAATATCATCAGTAGACTGACTATATGATGAGTATATTATTGAATATCATAGGACACATATCATGTGGGTATTTCATGAATATGTCATCATCAGTTTGTTGAGTATATCATTGAGTCTCAGATAAACATTTCTATTCAAGATATCAAATGCAACTCAAGTGAGCATGAGTGACAATTATTTCAACATAACAAAATAATATTATTCAAGACAACAAAAGATAAACATAGAATGATATATTATTGGGATAAATTATTTTCAATTTCCTTTAAGTATCTCCAGAAATACTCATGTACTGATTGATCCCAGATGATTCTGTCTCAGGAAAGACTGATGGATTTGCTTTATTATTTAGAATTTATAATTTTCTCAAACAGATTCAAATTTTCAAAGTAAAACTATTCTTCAGGCAATCACCTACCTCTGAAATCTCTGAGAGTTCACTTAAAATGGTTCTTTAGATCTAGAAACAATTTCAGAGAGGCAAAAGTTCTTAGACACTTATAACTACAGATGCAGATAATCTTAGCAGAGTACTAGCAAAACCAAATCCTGTAACATATACACCATAACCAAGTAGAATTTACCCCAAAATTCAAGGTTGGTTTAACATCTGAAAATAATGTAATGTACCATATTAATAAATTTTTCCTTTTTTAAGTTTTGTCTTTTCTTGAACAACAAAAAACCCATATGATTATCTCAAAAGATGCAGAAAAAGCACCTGACAAAATCCAACACCCTTTCATGATGAAAACACTCCACAAACTAGAGACAGATGGGAACATCCTCATCTTGCAAAGAGCATCTATGAAAAATCCATAGCTAACATTTATTTAATGGTAAAAAACTGAATGCTTTCTCCCAGGATGAGAAACAAGACAACTATGTTCGCTCACAACTTTTATTGTACTGGAGGTGCTAGCTGTGACACTTAGACAAGTAAAAGAAGTAAAAGATAAGCAAATTGGAAAGAAAGAGAGAAACTATCTGTATTCACAGATGACATAATCTTTTATATAGAAAATCCTAAGGAATCTACTAAAAGAACCTACTAGAACTAGTAAATGATTTTAGCAAGTTTCAGGATACAAGATCAAGACACAAAAATCAGTTCTACTTCTATTTAATAGCAATCAACAAACTGAAAATGAAATTAATAAGTCAAGTCTATAATAGCATCAGAAATAAAATATCTAGTAATAAATTTAAAGAGGTGTAAGATCTGTACCCTGAAAACTATAAACATTGCAGAAAGAAATTAAAGAAGATCTAAATAAATGGAAAGACATCCCACGTTCATGGATTGGAAGACAATATTGTTAAGATAGCAAAATTCCCCAAATTGATTTACAGCTACTACACAATCCCTATCAAAATGTCAGTTGTTTTTTCTTAAGAAATTGCATATGAAATGCATGTGATAAGGCAAAAAAATACAAAATAGTCAACACAATTTCAAGTAAAAGAATAAAGTTACAAGACTAATACTTTCCAATTTCAAAAGTTATTATGAGCTAAATTAAATAAGATAGTGTAGCAAAGACAGATCTAAAAGTAGAATTATCGTATGACTCAGCAATCCCACTACTGGGTATTTATCCAATGGAAAGGAAATTGTTATGTTGAGGAGATATCTACACCCTCATGTTTATTGCAGCACTACTCACAATAGCCAAGATACAGAATCAAACTAGATGTCTATCAGCAGATGAATGGATAAATAAAATGTGGTATATACAACATTCATTCATTCAAATGAAATACTATTTAGCCATAAAAAAAGAATGAATTCCTGTTATTCAGGGCAACATGGATAAGAATGGAGGATATTATGTTAAGTGAAATAACGCAGGTCAGAAAACTAAATACTGCATATTCTCACTCATATGTGGGAGCTAAATAGTTGAGCTCATAGAAGTAGAGAATAGAACTGTGGTTATTACATGGTAGGAAAGGTCGGAAAGAGGGGGAATAAGGAGAGGCTGGTTAATGGATATGAAATTACAGCTAGATAGGAGGAATAATTTCTAGCGTTCTATAGAACTACAGGGTGAATATAATTAACAATAATTTATTATATATTTTCAAATGACTAGAAGAGATTTTAACGGTTCCCAATGCAAATAAATATTAAATGTTTGAGTGGACAGATATGCTAATTACCCTGATTTGATCATTAGACACGTCGTATACAGGTATTGAAATATCACTCTGTACCCCACAAATATGTACAATTATTACATGCTAATTAAAACATTTTGAAAAGATAAACCTATAGATTAATGAAATAGGCAAGAGAGTCCAGAAATAAACCCTTACATTTACGGCCATTGATTTCTGACAATAAGAGACAAAACACTCTTTTTCATAAACGGTGGTGGTATGACTGGATATCCACATGCAAAATAATGAAGCTGACTCATAAATCAAAATATAAAAGCTAAAAATATAAACTCTTTGAATAAGATATAGGAGTAAATCTTAGTGAGCTTGGAGTAGTAGGCAAAGACTTCTTAGATACAACACCAAAAGCACAAGTAACAAAAGAAAAAATACATAAAATGTATTTCATCATATTTTTAAACGTTTTTGTTTCAAAGGACACCATCAGAAAAGTTAAAAGACAACTTACAGAACGAAGGAAAATATTTACAAATTCTATATGTGATAAAGGACTTGTATCCAGATTACATAAAATCTCTTTCAACTCAAAAATCAAATGACAGCCCAAATAAAAAATAGATGAAAGATTTAAATAGACGTTTCTCCAAATAAGATACACAAATGGACAAATAAGCATGTGAAGAGATGCCTAATGTCATTAGCCATCAGGAAAATGCAAACCAAAACCACTATAAGACACCACTTTACGCCCACTAGGATGACTATAATAAAAAAAGACAGATGATAGGCCAGGTGCAGTGGCTCATGCTTGTAATCCCAGCACTTTGAGAGGCCAAGATGGGTGGACCACTTGAAGTCAGGAGTTCGAGGCGAGCCTGGCCAACATGGTGAAACCCTGTCTGCAAAATGGAAGCAATACTCTTCTAATGCATGAGTGTACTGATCACTTTTTATGCTCCATCTCACATCCTCTTGTCCTTCATTTTTGCTTTGGACATGACTATAGCAGCTGGATGACTCCATATAGGTGTATCTGGAGAGCAACTCACCTCTCAGCTGCACCTGGTGCTTTCTGCCCTGCAGCTTTTTGCTCTGCTGTGGAGCCTGCTCCGCCATTCCATCACATAGGCTAATCTGGAGTGATGGATTTAACCACCTCCCATCCAAAGGGTAGGGGACTCAGGGGATCAACGCCCCCCAGTTCAGCATCCCAGGCAGACAACGTCAGGGTACCTTCACATGTTCCCAGCAGGATTGAGATCCCGTGTTCCATGGTTGTAACCAGCTCAATAGCCTTTGGACTGTCTTCCTCTCCTTCCTGGTACACTTTCTCAGTTCTCCACTCACTGGTATCACACCCCCAAATAAACTACCCTACACAAGCCTTTGTTTCAGGCTCTGCTTCCTGAAAGCACTCAAGGTAAGCCACTGATCCTTGTGAACATGGGCTAATAAAGTGCCCTGGAATTAAACCGATGACATCAGTTTCTCTCCTCTAAAAGAGGACCAGGGAAATTAACTGAGAAGCTTACCCTGGGTTGAGTTGGCAGCTCTTCTCTCCTTCCTCCAGAGGCTAACACTGAAATAATGCACAATTTTCAGTTACTATCCTAAATAAATTATTAATTTGTCTCAGAGCTAAAATCACATATAACTTATAGGGGGAAAGAAGGAACTGGAATGAGAATTAGGAGTTCCAGCTGTGTGTATCTTCAGGCTCTTTCACAAGCCACCACCCCAAGTCAGTCCCTGTGTTTCCACTTTCTGCCGCATGCACTGGTGGGTGTGGGTATGTTAACCTCCTCATCTGTGAAATGAGAGGCTTGAACAAGAAGTCCCAAGGTCCCCTCCCAGTCCAAACTGTCCCTGATTCTGTATCTGGAGAAATGTGCAATTCACACAGCTTGAAAAATCCACAGGAAGTGGGTAAGGATATCTCAGAACCAACATCACAACAGGACTGTCTCTGCCCCTACTTCTGACAAGTTGAACTTCTTAGTATGAGGACCTTGCCTGTGGTGTTCATGGACAGAAATGCCCACTTCTGCACAGAATCACCCTTCTAGAAATATTTGTGCAGTGAATATATCTCTTGCTATGCAAAAGGAGGGGTTGGTTGTTTATTTTGGGACAATCCTACAACTGTACCCACTGCTAGAAGGTTGTTACTGCTCTGCTAATGGGAAATGAGGTTTAAAAACTTTATCAGTGCATTTGGGAACATCTTTATCCTCTTACTATCCTTTTATCATAAGATGTGTTTTTTCACCCCTTTGGGAGCTCACGAAGACCCTTTGCAGGGTCTGGCTCCCCTAGACTGATGGGAAGAGTCCCTGTGCCTTCTCTCCATATCTCCACCGTCCCAGCTTGGGCCTGGTCTGGCTGCAGCCCCAGCCTCCAACACGCCCTCTCTCCTGCCTCCCTCTGCCTGCCACCTCCCCTCAGGTTGTCTGCTGCTAGGTAATGGATGTTTCTTCCTTCTCCCTGCTCACAGACTGCCCCTCCCAGAGGGCTTTGGCTCTTGGGTGATTTAATATTTATGTGGTTTTAGGCTGCAGCTCCATGGATCTCACTTTTATGTTAGACACCTTCACCTCTCTGGGTCCTCTGGGGGATCTGGGATCTGCAAGGAAAGAGCAAAGTGGGCGGAGGCTTCTCCCCCATCACCCCGCTCCATTTCAGCAGAGATACTGGCAGAGAAGTCATTCAAGAGGCCAGAGGAAAGTTTGCCAGAGAGACAAGATAGACTGGCCATGCACATTGGCCTCTGGGAGGATGGGGAGGTGCAGAGAGGGTGGGCTGCAGAGGGCTGTCATCTCTGGGCTGGCCCCAGACACCTCTTCTCCCACTGTTCAGAGGAAAACTCCATGTTGGAAGGAAACTGTGTAAAATTAATCAGTAGCTAAATATACAGTCTTCCTCCTGATAATCTGTTATAAATGACATCAAAGTGCAGTCTATGGGCAACAGCACTGATATCATAACATCAAGGAGAAAAATGAGCTTGGTGTTGGCAGGGTGGTGGGCAAGAGCACCCTGCAGCCAGGCTGTTGGCATTAAAATTGCAGCTCCAGCTCCACCTTGGGCAGATCAATGAGCTCCTCTGAGCCTCTCTTCTCTCACTTAGAGAATGGGATTCCTGGGCAGGCGCGGTGGCTCACACCTGTAATCCCGGCACTTTGGGAGGCTGAGGCGGGAGATCACTTGAGGCCAGGAGTTCAAGACCAGCCTGGCCAACATGGCGAAACCCCGTGTCTAATAAAAATACAAAAATTAGCCAGGCATGGTAGTGCACACCAGTAATCCCACCAACTCAGGAGGCTGAGGCAAGAGAATCACTTGAATCTGGGAGGCAGAGGTTGCAGTGAGCCAGTATCATGCCACTGCACTCCATCCTGGACAACAGAGCAGGATTCTGTCTCAAAAAAAAAAAAAAAAAAAAAAAAGAGAGAGAGAGAAAGAATGGGATTCCTATTTTACAGGGTTGTTTAGAGGATAATCAGTGAGTACAAGGCCCGTAACTGCTGCCATGATCCTTGTCATTTTTATTGTTGCTGTTGCATTAACACTGTAGAATGGTGGAACTGTGAGTCGTGAGACAAACTCAATCCTGGGTCCCCCAGAAGATGCTCCCATCCCTGTAACCAATATGAGAGTGGGTGCATCTCAGCCAGAGATTGACCAACAGAACTTTTCTTCAGAAGGTGGGGCAGGATTGGTGCCAACATTCGTCAATTATTATCCACATGAGAAACAGGAAAGGAGTCTTGGGGCTGCTTCCTGCTTGGCTGAGGGTCACCTCCAGACCTGCAGCTAACCAGCAGGGCTCCACAGGCCCCAGCCTTTGTAGCTTTCTCCCTCCCAGATCCAATCTGTATCCTTTCTTGTCTTCCTTTCTTGTACCTCTGGGAACTGCTTGGAACATACGGTCACTAGGTTTCTCCTTCCATGTGTCACTGCAGTGTCCACTATTCTAGTTCAGTGCTTCAAGAAACTGTCTGTGATCCCAGCCTTGTTAGGTAGCCTTCCTGTAATTGGGGAGTCATCTCTTTGGAGTGGAGGTGATGCAGCAGACTCTGAGCTGTGAATATAGCTGGATCCTTCCTGGGCCAGACTGTCTGCAAAGATGATTGCCAGTAATCCCTCCCATCCCTCTGTACAAGCACATGGCCACTCCATCAAGAGGTGAAGTCTGGTTTCTCTCCCATTAAATTCAGGGTAGTCTTGTGACTTGCTTGGGCCAACAGAATGGAGCAGAAGCAATGCTGTAGCAAGTCTGGGACCAGGCATTCCTGGGCCTGGAAGCTTCTGCTTTAAACCTCTTGGAACACTTAGGAAGCTTAGCCTAGCCTGCTGCATGATGAGGACCATGGGAGAGAAGCCCTGCCTTCCAGGGTCCAGATGAGCCCAGCCCCAGCTGTCCCCACAGCTAAATGCAACCACAGGCATGAGCTCAGGCAAGACCTGCAGAAGAATCATCTAGGCCACCCTCAGAATTGCAAGAAATAATAAAGTGTGGTTGTCTTAATTCATTAATTTGGGGGATAGTCTGTTACATAGTGACAGATAACTAATACATTTCTCAAATTCCCCAGAGCACCCATATTCAGTTCATTGGTGCTCAAGCTTACATGGTTATATTTATAGGATCACTGAGAATTCATGTGCTCTCAACTTTTGAAATGGTAGGGGGAATAACATACAGGAAGGCAAAAAACAGGTAGCCAGTTTCATTGCTTAAGCAGCTTGGCAAAATCACAATGGTAATTAGCTTTTAACAAGTGGTTCCTTTCTTTCTCTGCTGGGTCATCTAGGGTCCTCCTTTAGTACCAATTCTTGAATACCTGGTTCTTTTCTAGCAAGTCTTGGTCTTCCTTCTAGCTGAGCTTCTATTCGAGAGTCTTTCTCTACTTCCTTCACCCTCAGAAGCCTTGGAGTCTGGGTCGCAGGTCCACACTACCAGATCAGAGCTGCTCTTTCTTCACGGCTACCAAATATCAAAAGGGAATCCTCCCCTGGGCTCCCACAGGCTGAAATTTTCTGGCTTCACCTCATTTACACATGAACCCTTAATTCCTGTAGTCACACTTCTGCTGCAAGATAGAAGAAGGAAGCAATAGAGCTGTTGCTGCCAGTCTTTCTAAATGTGGCATGTCGAGGCAGCTTTTATGCTTTTATGTCTTACTTCAGGTGAGCAGAATATTCCTAAATCATACTGTTTAAACATCTAGAGTCCTGCTAATTTCCACAGTTATCCCTCAAAAAACGATTTCTTGTTATTCTATATGCAAATGAAACACGTTTCTTGTAGAAAAATTTAAAAATAACAGACCAAAAAGGAGGGGGGGTGTAGTGAATCCCTCATAATTCTACCACTTTGAAATAACCACAGTAAAGCCTGGAGATTACTATTTCAGATCTTTCGCTCATGTTTAAATAATTATAATGAAAACAATTTGACCAGGGTGTGTATACTAATTTTTAATTTGTTAATTTCATTTAGTATATTATGAACAGAGCTTCATATCAACAAAGACAAGTTGACAACATCACATATAACAGGCCAGGGGCAATTTAGTGGCCTCGTGGTTTTCTTTTTTTTTTTTTTTAATCATACTTTAAGTTCTAGGGTACATGTGCACAATGTGCAGGTTTGTTACATATGTATACATGTGCCATGCTGGTATGCTGCATTATATGAATGTACTACACACATTTTGGATTTTTTTTTTTCAATGAACTCTCTGTTGCTGGGCACATAGAACACTCCTTGTTTTTCCATATTTTAAACATTATGTATACAGTAAATATATAAGAATGTTTGCAATTTTATGCACATAATTTAATTAGTTCAGTAATCCCCCACTGTTGTACATTTAGGTTTTTCCCAGCTTTTCAACAATTTAAGCAGTGCAACATCTTTTTCATGTATCTTTGCAGTTTCAGTAGTAATCTGTGAGGAAGCAAGATTAACAGCAAAATTCAAAGTCACCTTGAGCTGTGAATCACAGGATGGCCAATGAAAAGACAGATAAATCTTTTGTTAAAAGTCTTCTGGTGGCCGGGTGTAGTGGCTCACGCCTGTAATGCCAGCACTTTGGGAGGCTGAGGACCAAGGCGGGCAGATCATGAGGTCAAGAGATTGAGACCATCCTGGCCAACACGGTGAAACCCCATCTCTACTAAAAAAAAAAAAAATACAAAAATTAGCTGGGTGTGGTGGCGCATGCCTGTAGTCCCAGCTACTCAGGAGGCTGAGGCAGGAGAACTGCTTGAACCCTGGAGGCAGAGGTTGCAGTGAGCCGAGATCATGCCACTGCACTCCAGCCTGGGTGACAGAGCGAGACTCCATCTCAAAAAACAAACAAACAAAAAAATAAACAAAAAAGGCTTCTGGTATGAAGAGGACTTGCTTAGCAGGATGTGGCTCTAGGATACAAATTCTAGGTGGCTTTCACTAGTAGTCGCTCCTTGGACTATCACTTTGGGGCTAGAAGCTCAAATTGTTATGTAAGTGGGTAGAGGGGAGAGAGGAGAGTGCTCCCAACATCTTCAAAGCAGATGCATGCCAAACTCCTATCTAGTCTGTGTGCAGCTGCTGAACATGAGGTTGCTGTGTGCTTTACCCACTGCTAAAGACCTCATCCAAATCAGATGCTGAGTCCAGCTGATTCTCCCCTGACAATGTGTTTTTCTACATTGTTCCTCCTACACCCTGGTTCCAGGCCTCAATCACTTCTTGGGCTATTGCAATGGCCCCTGATTGATACACATGCCCTCTACCACTCTTCTTCCAAGACTTCCTAAAGGTCAGAGTTTGCTAGCCCCTGCTCAATCAGCCACAGTGGTAACAAGTAACACATCTTCTGTAGTAGCGTTGCCAAATGCAGGAATGAAAAAATAATCATTTGACTAATAATTATTACACATCGGGTGGTTTTCTAGGTGCTCAGGAAACAAAAAGGAAGCAGCTATGTCTCCTTGTCCTCTAGAGACTCAGGTCTGATGGTGAAGACAGGCAAACAGTGAGAGGGGACTGTGACATGGACTCTCCTAGAGCCAGGTCATGAGAAGGATCTTAGTGCACCTGGCCAAGCAAAGCCATCTTGGAGCAGGTAACCTATAAGCTGATTCTCAAAGAAAAAGACAAGTCTGTCAGACAGGAAAAAGGAGTCCCTGCCTTTTTGTGCTTACATGAAGAAGCCCCACTTTCCAAGAACTCTGCCTCTTTGTAGCTAATCCAAATCATCCACGTCACATCCCCTGCACCGCTATCTGTGTAAGTTGCCAGCCTCCCACATCAAGTGTCTCAGGTATCTCTGCCTCAGTGTCTCTGAGTTTTGCCCAGCCTCGTGCAGGTGCAAGCCCGAAGTGCATGGCAAATCATGCACCAGGGGGATGGGAATGGGTGGCCCTATAACACACCCTCCAGTGGGACATGCTACATGGTACTGCAGAGGGTCTTCTGTGGGGCTGAATTCCAGATGCCCACAGCGATAATCAGCTCATTCATGTATCGCACGACTGGCTTTTCCTCCCAACCATTTGCGTTTTGCCCACTCTCTCACTTCTGCCCCCTGGATCCTCTCCCATATAAACTACCTGCAGCCAAATTCTTGTCTCAGACTCTGCTGTTGGGAAAACCTAAAATAAGGCACATTCTACACTGCCTGTGGTTCTGGGGTCCTAAGGAAGATGTAGGGCTCCATCTTAGATCAAAGGGGCCAAAGAAGAAAGAGGAAATGAGTCCATTTGGGTCTACATCCCACTCCTCCTTGTCTGACTTTGCACTCTCCTCATCTCATCTCACACAGATGCCAACTTCCTTGAACTTGAGGAATCCTAGTGTGTTCTCACCACCTCTGTGCTGCCTGCCCTGGAGGGAGTTTTCGGACGCTGGGGCAGCTCCCACACAGGTCTGCTTAATGACTTTCTGGAAGAAATCAGAGGTGACAGAGCACTGTAGAGTATCACAATGTGCCGGCTCCAAATCCCTGCGCCCTGGGCGACTGGAGAAGGACAGGACAGATGGCAACTGTCAGGCCTTTAATTGCACGATGTTTCTCAGAGGTGGCCAGGGAAAGGCTTTGCTGGTGGCTCAGTTTCTGTCCAATCACTGTTAGAGGGGAGGAGAGAAGGGAGCACTATGACTTCTTCCCTGCCCCCTCCTCATCTGCCTTCGCAAGCCCCAGGCGTGTGACGTTGAGAAGCTTTGTCACAGGGTCAGAGTGAGTGTGGACAGCCAGGGGCGGCAGGTGAGGAGCTGCAGCAGGAGGTGCCCCATGAGCCCAATATTGGGGTCTCTGGGGAAGGGTCCATCATGGGCCATGTTGATTCCATAAGCATCTAAACCTCTGCATGCCCACCCTCTCTTCTCTCTCTGCCCCCATAATAGCTTACCACGTTCCCCTTTAAGCTCCCAGCACCCCTCCTTTACCCCATACCCACATTAAGACTATTCTGACAAAAGTGTCTATAAAGATCAGAGCCATAAAATAAACAAACTTATGGACTTAGCTAACATTTCATAGCACTTTGAGATTATTATTATTATTACTATTATTTCTTTTTTGAGAGAGTGAGTCTTGCTCTGTCACACAGGCAGTGGCACGATCTCAGCTCACTGCAACCTCCACCTCCCAGGTTGAAGCAATTCTCCTGCCTCAGCCTCCCGAATAGCTGGGACTACAGGCATGCACCACCATGCCCAGCTAGTTTTTGGATTTTTTTTTTTTTTAAGTAGAGACGGGGTTTCACCATGTTTTAGCCAGGCTGATCTCAAACTCCTGACCTCAAACAATCCACCTGCCTTGGCCTCCCAAAGTGCTGGGACTACAGGTGTGAGCCACCACGCCTGGCCCACTTTGTGGTTTTGTAAGGCATAACTCGCATATGTCATTTGAACCACTAAGCGTGTTATGAAATAAACTTTATTGCAACCACCATTCTACAAATGAGGAAAATGAGGCTCAGACAGGTTCCATGGTATGCCCAAGGTCACCCGGCCAATGAGTAGTGGCACCAGAGAAGGAACTCAAGTCTGCCTTTCTTTCCTCCATGTTCGCTGGAACCTCGGGCTCCTGATAATTCGTGGGAAAATATTCCAGTTTCCTTGGGAGGGAAGTTCATTCAAACACTAGGTTTTTGCCACAAGAGCCCTTTTCATGGGGCTTGAGGAGCCAAGGAAAAAGAGATCCATGGATTCTGCACTACTCAAGAGGAACTTTAATTGAACAATGATTCTCAGGGGTGGCCAGGGAAAGGCTGTGCTGGTGCCTCAGTTTCTGTCCAATCAGAAATTCATTCCTCTCTTCCTGCCTTTGGAGGCCTTGGGCCTTGAGATCACCTATAGCAGCACGGCTTCCCTGCTCAGGGTCATGTCCTCACGTGTAAGCCTGGAGAAGGAGCATGTTCACGCATTGACTCAAGCTCCTCTGCTCATTCACCCATATTCATTTGTCAGTGACCCAATATGGCTGGCACTTGCAAGGCTCTGGAATAGAACCCAAAGGAAGCAGCGAGCATCTAAATAGAGGCCTGCGATATGGGATAAGTCTTCCAGCAGAGAGCTGGGCAGATCTGTGCAACCGCCAAGGCTATGGGTTGCGAGTATCTTTGTGACAGGAGAAAGCTCTGTATTCACCTCTGTATCCCTGAGTTATAAAACTGTCATTGTTTCTAAGAAGCAAAGGGCACATTCTTCCACGTGTCCTACGAAAAGATGTTGAAGTGCCACCTGTCAATAGCCACTGAATAAGTTGCCAGCCTCCCACATCAAGTGTCTCAGGTATCTCTGCCTCAGTGTCTCTGGGTTTTGCCCAGCCTCGTGCAGGTGCAAGCCAGAAGTGCCTGGCAAATCATGCACCACGGGGATGGGAATGGGTGGCCCTATAACACACCCTCCAGTGGGACAAGCTACATGATACTGCAGAGGGTCTTCCGTGGGGCTGAATTCCAGGTGTCCACAGTTTAAAGATCCTACAGGCAGCTGTGCCAAGGCCAGTATTCCATCCACACCTTCTCAGAGCACCAGGGGCTGAAATGATGCTTTCTGATCCGAAGGCAGGGCTTCCAGGGGAGCATGCTAGTGTCTTGTCACAGGTGATGTTGGCATCATGTGGCAGTCTCCCTCCCCCCGATAGGCATCCCACATCTTCAGGGAGAGGCCATTGTGGCCAGGACTCCAGCCTGGCTTTGGCATCAAACCTAAAACCTGGACATGCATGTCTAGCGCTCTCCTGGAGGGCAGAGCTAGATAAGTTGTGTTGCAGCCACCAGTATCCTGTTAGGGGCCCTGCTCCCTGCATGCCCAAGTTCATGAGAGATGGCCACCTGTGAGTCGAATGCAGACAGTGATTTTCAGGTCCAGGGGCTTGTTTCTCAAGCACTCTCAAAAAGCTGTTTTTACTCACAACGCTTCTGACACCAACTGGGTGAATTTTTTTTTTCCTTACATCAACCAGTTCTCCAACCTTTCAAACACCAGCTGGGTGTTCAAGAATTCAATTCAATTCTGATATTTACTACCTAGAGTTAGGGCAAACCTCAGCACTTACAGGCTCAGTCCCAAGAGACTGCTCCCTTCTTGGGACTCTGGTTGCAGTTGTCAGGCCTCCTGCACTTTGAACGAACTGGCTATAAACAGGGGATTTCCATGACCCCCATCTTCATGCTCAGTAATTTCTGGAATGGCTCACAGAACTCAGGAACACACTTTACTGACTGTTGCCAGTTTATCATAAAGGAGAAAACCCAGGAACAGCCAGATGGAATAGATGCACAGGGCAATGTATGGAGAGTGGGGAGCACGGAGCTTCTGTGCCCTCTCTGGATGGTGGTAGAAACTTAATTGCCAATGTACCATCCTCACAGCGCCTCCACATGCTCTCCAGACCAGAAGCTCTCTGAATACCACCCTCCATTGTTTAGGGGTTTTTGTAGAGTTTTCATGACCTCAGGTGATCCACCCTCCTTGGCCTCCTAAAGTGCTGGGACTACAGGCATGAGCCACCATGCCCAGCCACCTGAGGTCAGGAGTTTGAGACCAGCCTGGCCAACATGGTGAAACCCCATCTCTACTAAAAATACAAAAATTAGCCGGGAATGGTGGCATGCATCTGTAATCCCAGCTACTTGGGAGGCTGAGGCATGAGAATCACTTGACCTCGGGAGGCGGAGATTGCAGTGAGCCAAAATCACACCACTGCACTCCAGCCTGGGCGACAGAGTGAGACTCCATCTCAAAATAAAAATAAAAATAAATAAAAAAGAAGAAGAAGAAGAAGAACATAGAGTTTTCAACAGATTAGCCTGATGGATTATTAACTCAAGCTCCAGCTCCTGTCCTGTCCCTGGAGGCTGCAGGGGGTGGTAAAAGTTCCAGGCCTGTAATCAAGACTTTGCCTTTCTGGCAACTGCCCCACGCTGGAGCTATCTAAGGGCTCCTATCACTCAGAAAATTCCAAGGATTTAGGAGTTCCGTGTCAGGAACCAGGGACAAAGACCAAAAGTCTATTTCTTATAGTTCCACACTCTCAACCCGCTGGCTCTGGCAGGTTCCCTCTCCACATGGACCAGAGAAACCCACCTCTGTGCCACTCTGAACATTACAGAGTGGGGCCTAAATATTCCTTATAATGCACGATCAGTCCCAGCTCCTCAAGCCACACCATGAGGAAGTCATTGCTGCTGTGTTCTTGTCACAGTGATAAAGATGTGGCATGCACACCAAAAGGCAGGTCACCCCCTGGCAGCCACCGCACAGGGAGGCCCCCGCTGCTCTGCAGGCTCCTGGATCACCATCTCATCTGGACACAGACTTCTCTAGATGCCGCACTGGCAGTTTGACTTCTACCACCACCCGAGAGACAATGACACCAAACATCCCTGCAAGCTTTGGAGCCAGGGGTTCGGCAGGCTTCCAGTGGAATATCACATGACGGGTTGCTCTGTCAAAACCCCCCACTAATTTATTGGAATTGTTTCCTAAAGCAATGAGAGTGGGTTCACAACAGATCTGATCATCTAGATGCTCCCCAACCCCGGCATGGGCATAATCTATCCACTTGAATTTAAAGGCCTGGAAACCTGCAGGAGGTGGCTCCCAGCTGAATTTCCATGGAGCCTAGTCTGCACAAAAGGAGACAGAAAGCAAACCTGAGCCTGCGAAAGGGAGACAGGCTCACGGTTCTCTCCCTTTCATCAAATATGGCCCACGTCCTTCCCGTATCATGGGATGTGGGACACATCAGCGGTGTGTTTATTTTACGACTGACAAAGAACAAAGGAGCGTTTTCAAAAGTTTTGGGAGCCCATGGATTCAGGCCAACTCTGATTACAGTGCATGTTTATTCTTAAGTGTCCAGATGAAGAATTCATAATTTTACCCATAAGGACGGACAGAAAGCAAGTTGTCCCCAGTCTATGGTACGCAGGGTAGCAGAGAGCTGCTATAAAACCAGAAAAAGCCCACGGATGACTCACCCAGCTGAGGAAGGTAAACACATTATTGTCTTTCCATTTTTTTTTTTTCCCCAACGCTGGCGCTTCTGTCTCTTTGCGCCAATGAGACGGGTAACATTTTAATTAGGACGCTCACTTGTCTTCACTTTTCAAGAGAGGTGGGGGAGGATGGTGGTGCTTGGATAATTGAATCCATAACTCCTGTGGTTATAAGTGTGCACAACTAATCAAGGAGAGTGTGTGTGCTTTAGAGAGAGAGGGGGAGTCCGAGGGGGAGGGAGGGAGGGAGACAGAGTAAGATGGATGAGAACTGAAGGATACAGAGAAGAGAGGAAGTGATTCCGCTCCACCGGCAGTGTGAGCATCTGTGAATGGAAGGTACACAGAGCCACAGAGTGAGGAGAGCAGCCACTGAAGGCTCCTGTTTGTGTGCAGAGCTGGGAGGGTCAGAGGGAGGAGACCCAGAGGTGACAGCAAGACTAGAGGTTTGTGTATGAAAGAAGCAGCTGGAAAGAGAGGGAGATGCAAAGGAGGAAGTGACCAAGGGGGCTGTGTGTGTGTGTGTGTGTTTGAGAGAGCCCTGTCCATGTGAGCTGTGGATCAGAGAAAAAGATAGACAAGAAGAGAAGAAATAGGGAAAGCTCGTATGTGAGAGAGAGAGCAAAGGGAGTGTGGAGTTTCATTGTGAGTGCATGCATGGGGTGCTCCAAACCATGCATTTGGTTTAATGCATGCCATCTCGTCTATTTTAGCTGTGCATTGTTTTTATTTTTTTCATTCAAAAAGTCATTAAAAATAAGAATAGAAAACTGAAGGGAGGGAGAAATCACCCACAGACATACCTCTCAAAAACAAAGCAGGCTTTGCATTTTTTTCTCTAGACATAGCTGTAAATCCTATTTAATTGGACTTCAGAATTCAGTGGTGAAATTTACCTGTGAGAACTTACATTAAGCATTTAGCAAACGTTCCCACTGAGAGGAAGCAGGTGAGAAATGCTGTTTGTTGTCTCTTTTGGCCTGTACTTCTCTGAAGAAGAAGCTTTTCCAAAGGAATGTCTTATGTTCAGTTACAGAGTCAAGCCAATAAAGAAGGGTAATGCATTTTGAAATCCCTCCCTTTTAAGCTTCTTCTGGATGCCACTGGGACAGGAAAGCCACGCCTCCACATCCCGTGGAGAGGCCGATCACCCTGGGAGAGTTACTGCGCAGATGTTTCTCCTGCAGGCTCCCAGATGGGGGAATCTGACTCTCACCTCAAGGAATGCAGCCAGTTCTTATAAGCAAAACATCCACTCGCATTTCTAACTTCAGTTATCTTTGGCTGGCTAGAACTTCAAATCTGCTAGTTTCCAAGACTGTATATATCCAAGAATGACTTCATGTTGTCACTATACGTGAGATACTTTGTCTTGGCAAGAGGTTCCTGGCTCACGAGCACTCAGAAAAGTCAGGCGCTTCCCCACTGTCTCTGGTCCTTGATACCAGACCAAAGACGAAGGCCAACCTAATTTTATTCATCTGACTATACAATAATTTTTAAATTACCTTAAACATCTAGATACTTACATTTTTTTCTTTGCTCGTGTATGCTGTTCATTTGGCAAGGTGCTTCACGCATGGATCTTTTTACTTACGTTTTTTCTGTAATGAATAGCACCCTTTTAACTTGGACCCCAGGGAAGCTCAGGGAAGGTGATTTGTCTGCATCTTTGATTAGGACACCTCAAAAATTGTAGATTTTCTTTAGAAACAGGTTTAATTTTAGTCTTTTCCCTGTCTTTCCTATCTATAATCTTCTCTCTCTCTCTCTCTCTCTCTCTCCCTAGCATTACTCTCAGAATTTTAGAAAATAGTCTCAATTTGCCAACCTTATTGCTGACTAGCCTTTGCTTGATGTCAGTTCTACCCTTTCCTTGGCCTGCTATCACCTAGCACAGATGGAACAGATGTGAGCTTTTCATCTACCTGGAAGCCCTAACATTGGTAAATCACATCAGCCTCTTTCCACAAGAATGCTGTTCAGTCCAGGTGGTTCAGATGGATTGTCTCCCCCTCCTCCAGGTCCCTGGTGGCAACCACGTGACCATGGTCTGGTTAATCAGAGTACTCCATCCCACTGAAACCGGTTCAGATACGAGCCAATCCAAGACAGGTCAACCAGAACCCAGGAACATTTGCTAGAAATATAAGGAAAGGCTTTGCTTCCCTCTGGGATACTAAGCTGTAAGGATGATGCAAGTTGGGACTTGCTGGCGGCCATATTCTACTCATATGGAAAGCCTTATTCTACTCACATGGAAAGCCATATTCTGTTCATATGGCCGTATTCTACTCATATGAAAAGCCTTCCCAAGAATGAAATTAAGGCAAATAGAGAGACAGGAGGGAGAGGGAGGGAGGGAGGGAGAGAGAAAGAGAGAAAAGCATCACTGGAGCACCTTGATCCAGGTGCGCTTGAACACATTACACACAATGAGTCAATGCTTCCCTCTTTCACATAACCTATATTAAGTCGATTTTCTTTACCCTACAATGGCTAAAAATTCAGACCAGGACAACTGGTTCTGCTGGACCTTGCTGGGATCTTCTCCTGTCCCCTCCAACTGGTTCTTGCAGATCTTCTTTAAAAAAACCACATAAGGAAAGCTGTAATGCCCAGTATATTTGTTCCCAAGGCTCTTCCAAACTCTACCCTTACCTAAAATGTTTTACTCGCGTGGAGACTCTGCCCACCAAGATGCATTGTGCCGCCACCCATCTCTTCACCCCATCCCCTTCTTATTTTCTGGAGTTTGCAGGGAAGAGTTGGGAAGGGCAGGGCCAAAAATGTATTAATTGGAGAGAAGATGAATGCCCAGTTATCTGGAAACTATGCTTATCCACGGACAGTCTCCGAGATAACAGTAAATGGTAACCCTACCCCCATGCACATTATTTCCACAAATTTGGTGTCGATTTACATTTTTAAGATAGAGATGTAACGACGTTGGAATTAGTAAAAATTTCTCCAAGATCCTGATAGCAGCTTAACTCACGGTGTCCATGTTCAGCAGTCCATGAGCAGCTGTTCTTCTTTCTGTCTTCATAGGTCACTTGATGGGAAACTGGAAGAGGCTACACCAGGGCTACTAGCTAGGCAGACAGCATTTAAAGCAGGAAGCCCTGCCACCTTTTCTTTATTCCCTCTTTGAATACAGGCAATTGCAATCTTAACACCTGCTGACTGTAATAACTTACAGGCTAAGATGAGTCAATGTGCCTGCATGGATGTCCTGAACATCCACTGAGTACTATTTATTAAAGCATTGTTTTGATTTATTGTTATCATCATCACCATCGTTATTAGCAGCAGAAGCACATTCAAGCATGCAGCCTTTACATCAATGCACCCTCTGCCTCACAGCAGATGCGCCCACAGCACACTCCCTCCCTTCATTCAGCTCCTTATTGAAAACCTCACCTCCTTAGAGATGACTCCATCTAAGGGGCACCCTTTCCTCCCTCTCCATTTGCCCCTTCCCTGGTTTTCTTTGTTTCTTCTCCATCATACTTTCCTCTGCCTGACCTACTTCATACTTATTTTTTTCATTTGTGTGTTGTCTGTCATTCTCCTCAGAATGTAAGATCCACAAGAGAAACACTGTTTTGTTACTTGTAGTTTTTGTTGGGATATTTGTTAAAAGACTCTTGGTGACTGTATTAGACTTAACAACACACACACGCAATTTATTTATTGAGTGTTTCCTACATACCAGGCACTGTTCCAAGTACTTTAGATGTATTAACTCAGTTAATTCTCAAGAAAGCCCTGGAAGATAAGCACCATTCCCATTCCCATTTTTGGATGGAGAAACCAAGGCACAAGAAGGTTAATTAAGCTGCCTGTGGTTCTGCAACCAGTAAATGTCAGAATGAGGCTTGGAATGCTTCCAAGGCTAGCCCCAGAGCTGTGGCTCCGAATCACCCCACCACAAACAAAGCAACCATTAGGGAAAAGTTCTCTTATTGCCCCTGTTTACTGGTGGTGGGATCAAAGCCCACAGAGGTGGGAGGGAATTGCACTAAGGTCACAGAGCTGAGAACCTGCAGTCATGTGTGTGGCCCGAGTCCAGGACCCAATTTCCTACCCAATATGCTGTACTCATTTCTAGTTCATTTGTTGCCTTGACATAGTTTTTGTATCTCCATTTGATAGATGAAGAAATTGAGGGTTAAAAGATCATGCTGGGTTCCACAACTAGTAATTGCCGAAGAAATAAACTGTAAATGTCACAAAAAAGTGAATGAATTTGTATTTATTAAAAATATATACATTTTTTAATTTAACAAAACTGTGTGTGTGTATCTATGAGAGAGAGAGAGACAGAGAGACAGAGAGAGAGAGAGAGACAGAGAGAGAGAGAGAAAATGCTTCTGAATGGGGAAACTTTAACTTAAATTGCCTTTTGTCAGCAGTTTAAACCTCTTTCCTTCAGTGTTTTGTGTTTTTGTTTTGTTCTGTTTTGTTTTGTTTTGAGATGGAGCCTCACTCTGCTGCCCAGGCTGGAGTGCAGCGGCACGGTCTTGGCTCACCGCAACCTCTGCCTCCCAGGTTCAAGCGATTCTCCTGCCTCAGCCTCCCAAGTAGCTGGGATTACAGGCACCCACCACCACACCCGGCTAATTTTTTTATTTTTAGTGGAGACGGGGTTTTGCCCTGTTGGCCAGTCTGGAATAGAACTCCTGGCCTCAAGTGATCCACCCGCCTTGGCCTCCCAAAGTGCTGGGTCCTTCAGTATTACTGGATTTATATTGGATTTATCACTGCCACTACTAGAAAAGATTTTACCAATAAAGTAGATAGAGATGCTTTTCTTTCCTTTTCTTAGAAGGGTCCTAAGGCGTCTCTAAGCTAACCACAAGAGAATATTTTGGTTCCACCCTCTCATCTCTCTGATGATAAAACTAATCCTTGCGGAAGGGAAATGACTTGCCCAAGGTCATTTGGTTAGTGAGCAGTAGAAACCCCATCATGGTGATCTTTTGAAATCACACCAACTCAGAAGTCAGGTTTTTCCAGATTAATGTGTATTCATGGTATGCGACCTAGGAAGAATCCTTTTATCCTGGATGAATTTGGAAATGAGGAAATAGTTACTGTGGTCTCTGACTCTGCACCATAAATGTCAAACACCAGGTTTTTAGACTCATCTATCCTCAACAGCATTTATTTGGACATCAGTCTCTATCGGATGGTTCCCTTAAACTTTATAGGAGTATTCCAACCCTACGGCTCCTCCCACTCCACCCAGAGGGTTAACATGTCCACAGAGTTCAAGAGCAAGGTCGTAATGGACATTAAAGATGTCCTTTGTACTACCTCATTTGCTATTTCAGAATCGCATTGTCTTAGAAGTTTCCCTGAAGTCCTACGTTGCTGCGGATGTGGTAAGATAATGCAGGCTGATTTCTCCTTGAGAGGGGACTCCCTACTCTGGGACACTGGGAAAGGAAAGTGTGACCCAGGTTAAGAGGCCTGCCTATATCCTCAGCCTAAGTGGATCAGTGGACTGACTCGTGGTTCAATCTATGCCTCCAAGGACAGAGGATTTCACACAGAGGTCTGGATACAAAAACTTTGCATCATCCTCAATGTGCATGTGCTGAAATGTCCTCTGAGCACATCTCCCTCTGGAGCCAATTAACGGTGTTAGACAGATGGTCTAGGATTCGGAAGGTTGAGGCGCTGGCCAAATATGGTGCCATGTCATTATGAATGGTTGAGTAAATGAGCTTGGCCCCAACCCCAAGACTGCTCTGTTTCTGATAGACCATAGAATTCACTGCCTATTGGTTCCCTCTTCTCATTTACATCATTGAGAGTTTAGAACCTGCAATACTACAACACACACAAATGAATGCACACAGGGTTCTGAGTGCCCTGGAAGAAGGAGTGAACAAAGAGTGCATGTCTTTAGAGGGGAGTAGAGAAAGCAGCTGACCTCCACTACCTTCCTTGTCCTTGCCCTACATCCCCCTATTTAGGGCTTTTTTTTTTTTTTTGATGGAGTCTCACTCTGTCGCCCAGGCTGGAGTGCAGTGGTACGATCTCGGCTCACTGCAAGCTCCACCTCCTGGGTTCAAGTGATTCTCCTGCCTCAGCCTCTCGAGTAGCTGGGACTACAGGTGCATGCCACCACGCCTGGCTAATTTTTTGTATTTTTAGTAGAGACAGGGTTTCACCATGTTAGCCAGGATGGCTAACGATCTCCTGACCTCGTGATCCGCCGGCCTTGGCCTCCCAAACTGCTGGGATTACAGGCGTGAGCCACTGTGCCCGGCCTTTAGGGCCTTTAGTACTGCATTGCAGAGTCACCCAGTCACTGAATCAACAAGTCTTTTGGGGTCAAGGAGGAGCATATTAGACATCGGCTGTCCCCATTATTGTTTTTTGGCATTGTTAACTAGAGATTGCATATAATCATAGGCTTTCAAAGCAGGAAAGACTGAGAGATCAACTAAGCCAACCTCTTCATTGTACCACTGAGAAAGTTAAGCCCAGGGAGGAAGTAATTTTTCCCAGTTTAGCTACCCAAATCAATGTCTCTTGACATCAAGTCTTTTTTTTTTTTTTTAAACATGGCACACTTTCCTGCAATTATTTTGCTTCTCTAGACTATAAAACGTGAAAGTACATGGGGAAGATTTCTTGCCATTTCACTTCCTGATGCTGTCTTTTTTTTAAATGAGAAATGTTTCTTTCCCCCTATTGTTTTGGAATAGGCATCCTACACCAAAAATGGGCTTGATTCCATTTGGTGTTGTAAAGCTCGCTTTCACCTAAAGGTTGTCAGTGCCCCGGAATTAGGGGCTGGAATTCCAGATGGAGCTGGACAAGGAGATGGCCATTTCTGGGTCACCCAGCTGCCCAATGCCCTCGGGTAGCCGCAGCAGTGGGGAGGGTAACCTAGTTTGCTTAGGAAATATTGCAGATGTCCCAGTTTATCCGATGCAGTCCTAGAAAAGTATTGGCACTGTCCTGTTTCTAGAGCTCGTGCCATTCAACCTGCCAAAGCCCTGCTGCCCCTTCAGCCTGATGAACTGAAACACAGAGGCCAGCATCCCTGCTCCTGCTCCACTTTTGGGCCCGCCTGGATGTGCCCCCAAGTTTATCATTTCCATCTGGGGTGATCCTCGCCTGGATCCAGGCTGTCCTGACATGTCAAGGCTGCCATCTGAGAATGATGGCACATTTCTCAGAATGATTTTCACAGATATTTGACCCTTACCGGGTAAGAAATTGGAGCCAGAAGCTAGGATGTCAGGGTTTGCTTGGTTGTGAGGAGCAAAATTGGCAAAAGGAAGATCTGGGGCAGAACCAATGAGGTGGGGAGGGCTCCAGGGACCAGATAGGCAGGTGATTGGAGACCCGGCCCTCGCTGTGCTACTACTTAGTCAGGTCACTTTGAGTATCTTTGATCACCGCTCTGTGAGTTTCAGCTTCCTAATTGTGCACTAAGAAGACCAAAGCATAACAGGTCGGATGACATGGGATAGTAGTTTGAGATTTTAAAGTAAATCTAGATGCCATACCTCACAGATCTCCAACATATAGTTCCAGATTCTCCAGCTTGAACTTAGAGGCTTGAAGAAAAATCACAGAAGGGTCTTGAGGAGTTGAACGAAGGGGAGGATTATGGCTGGTGTGGCCTCTTCTCTCCACCCCCCAATCTGGAGCACAACTGTGTTCTCCAGCCCCAATACCCCGCCTACCACCCAAGGTCCATTTACAGATTTCCATGAAGGAAAAGAGCTTCTACTATCCAGGAAGCTATTGGTTCATTTCCCATGAGGTCCACGAGGTCAGGGGCCCTGTCTGTTTTGACCTGACAAGTAACCCCTGTGCCCAGCACAGGCCACAGCACTCAGGCAGTGCTCAAGAGTTACTGGATGAACAAATAAATACGAGTTCCTTCTTCTTCTGTTCATGCCAAAGACAGCTCACAGATAATTTTCCTTCTAAATGCTGTGTTACGGGGGAAAGGAAGAGTGTCATCGACAGGAAAAGGATTGGAAAGTCTTCCCTTGTGTATGGGCATCAGACTCGACAGCCTACGTGTGCCAGTCTGACACACTTGCATGAATCTTTGATAAGATGAAAACGCGGCACCAAAGCTGAGAAGAGCTGCAGATGGACGGGAAATATTCCCAAGAGATGTGGGGCCAGAAACTTAGAAATGTGGGCCTTTGTGGGTTGTCACTTCCGTGAAATAGGGGTGCATATACCGCTGGGTGTGCACGCTGAGATGTCAAGGGCTCCCTCAATCATTTTATTTGTTATAGCCCTCATTCTGTATTTGACATTTTGAGATCTGGGATCCAGATTTCAAGCTGCAGCAAAAAGTAAATGAAAAATAAGTGCTTTGGATCATATGTAAATTATATCTCAATAAAGCTGTTTACAAAAGCAAAGGAAGCTCAGGTAGAGCTGAGACTGTGGATGAGGGTACTATACCCATGCTGAGGCCCCTGGAGCGTAAGGGAAGGAAAGGGGTCATTGGCGTGCTGCAACCTGGACTGGGAGAGCAAAGCCTACAGGTTGAAGTCCCAGCTCGACCACAAAGTATCATGTATTATTATTATTATTATTATTATTATTATTTTATTTATTTATTTTTGAGACACAGTCTCACTCTGTTGCCCAGGATGGAGTGCAATGGCGCGATCTCGGCTCACTGCAACCTCTGCCTCCCGGGTTCAAGAGATTCTCCTGCCTCAGCCTCCTGAGTAGCTGGGATTACAGGCATGCGCCACCACGTCCGGTTAATTTTGTATTTTTAGTAGAGACGGGGTTTCTCCATGTTGGTCAGGCTGGGCTCGAACTCCCGACCTCAGGTGATCCACCCGCCTCGGCCTCCCAAAGTACTGGGATTACAGGTGTGAGCCACCGTGCCCGGCTCATGTGTTATTATTATATGTATTTGATTGTTATGAGGACAATGACCTTGAAAAATCCTTTCTCTCTGTCTCAGGTTCCTTATTTGTATCATAAAGGAAGTTGGATGAGATGAGAGCCAGCTTTCTATTATTCTTTGGTTTGGGAATTATTTTAAGACAAGCTAATGAAGTTTAGATAAAATTAGAACGGTTTGAGATTTAAAGAACTCACCCTGTTCTCAGTGATAGATTAAGGAACAGAATGGAATTCCAAGTTCTTTTGTGAACTTGCTTGCTGAAGGACTTGTGAAACATTTGGTCCTGTGGGCATAGGATGGGAAGACTGGTTAACCTGACCCGAAAAGAATTTTTCAAGAACACCAATGTCAGAGTGAATCACTCCTTTCTTCCCCTAGTTTAACTCTTTCTGCCTCTTTCTCTCAAACTTCAAACCTTTGGGAACCCTTAACTTCTAAAGAAAAATCTCAAAATTTTCTCCTCAACTAAGCACCCTACTGATACCCACTCTTCCATCCCCCACCCAATGTAGCCTTTAAAGAATGGATGTAGTTCCACATTTCTTTTGTAGGAGCCTGAAAATCTTTAGGTTAGATACTTGATAAATGCACTCAAATAGAAATTCAGCATTTCACATTCAGATCAACCCATGTATGCACATAAGAAATTCTCCAACAGGGATCAAATATACTGAATTGGTACCCCTAAGAGGAGAATGATTTTTTGCAAATTAATTAATACAAGTTAGGTTTTTGATTCTAGTATAACTAAATAGGAATTGTATGCCAGTATCTCAAGTCCTCAGCATGTCCTTCGCAACTTTTCTGTAAATCTCATACTGTTCTAAGTTAAGATTATTTTAAGAGAAAAATCATAGCAACTCAAAGATATAGATAAAATTTAAAAATTAAGGGCAAGGCAAAAGAGATGTTTTCAGATAAATACAAGTTAAGAGAATTTATCACCAGCAGATTCACTCTATAAGAAATTGTAAAGAAATTTCTTTCTACTAAATGGAAATAGAGCCAAGGGGAAACCTGAATATCTAGGTGAGGAAAACAAGTCCTGGAAATGGTAAATATATAGATAAATACAAAAAACTCTTTTTTTCTTTTTTACGTTCTTTGACTGAAAAAAAAGGTGAAACAATGTAGAGTGGGGCTTAGAACATATGTAAGAGTAAAACTTATGTCACCAATAGACAAAGGATGGAAGGGATATAAGTAGGATAATACTGCTGAAAAAACCTTACATTGCACATGAAAATAATGTTAACTCATAGTAATGGTAGATACTGATAAATTAAAGAGACATAATCCCTAGAGCAACCACAAAAAGAGTTGTTTAAACTTAAACAACTTAAGTTTTAAATTACTTTAAAAGCCTATAGAAGAAGGGTGTCCAATCTTTTGGCTTTCCTGGGCCACAATGGAAGAAGAAGAATTGTCTTGAGCCACACATAAAATACACTAACACTAACAATAGCTGATGAGCTGAAAAAAAAATTACAAAAAACTCTCAATGTTTTAAGACAGTTTAGGAATTTGTGTTGGGCCACATTCAAAGCCATCCTGGGCTTCATGCAGCCTGTGGGCCACAGGTTGGACAAGCTTGCTATAGAAGAAATGGAATCCAAGCAAAGAACAAAACAACAATAGCAGCAAAAACTTGATTAGCCTGAAAAGGATCAACAAAGAAACAAAAAACGGAGGGACCAGCTAGAAAATAAATAACAAGATAGTAGATTGAAACTCAACTATATAAATAATTACATTAGATACAAGTAAAACAGTGCAATTAAAAGGCAAGGATTGTGAGACTAGCTACAAAAACAAGACCTACCTATACGTTTTTGTAATTGATGCTTTTTAAAAATAAAGTCATAGACAAGCTACAAGTAGAAAGATGCAAATAATCTACCGTGCAAAATCTCAAATCCCTGACTAATATTGTTGGTTGCCAATCCAGAATTCATTCTCATTCCTTTTCTTGTTTGCCTACCTTTCCTAAAGAAGCTGGAAATGTTAACCATTCATGTTACTAGCCTCTCTTGCAGCTAAGAGTGGCCATATAATCTAGTTCTGAGGTAGAGGTATGAACAGAAACTTCCTGACACTGCATTAGCTTTCCTGATACATACGATACATATAGCTAAAATCCTATATCTCCATTAACCCTACCTCAACTATAAAAGTGATGCATGGCACTATAGTAGATAACTTGTGACTTGAGGATCAAGGCCAATACAATGACAAAGATGCTGGCTAGTATATCACTGAGCTGCTTCATAAATACTTCATCCCTCTTATTTGGTGAGAAAAATATACGCCACTTTGTTTATGTGATATTAAGTAGGTATTTAGTGTTTTAAAAAAGCAATCCAAATTTCTAAGTTTAATACAGACATGAAAGAGCATTTTCTGGAATCTACATCTGTATATGATCTGTCTGGTATCACATTTCCCACCCTGAATTACACTCAGATGATACATTTTCACAAAATGATGATTCTCTGGAAAACAAGGTATGTCACACCCATACATGAGTTCTCTGCCTCCTGAAGGCATTATTATGTCATGCAAAAGAAAAGGATGTAGGCTCTAAAAATGAGTGCTTCTCACAGATGTCCCTTTAGTTGCCTGTGTTTTGCTCCGGCTGCTGCTGCTCCTCCTCCTCCTTGGTTTCTTCTCTCTCTCTCTCTCTCTCTTTTTTTTTTTGGTGATGGAGTTTCGCTCTTGTTGCCCAGGCTGGAGTGCAATGGCACAATTTTGGCTCACTGAAGCCTCCACCTCCAGAGTTCAAATGATTCTCCTGCCACAGCCTCCTGAGTAGCTGGGATTACAGGTGCCCACCACCACACCCAGCTAATTTTTGTATTTTTAGTAGAGACGGGATTTCACCATGTTAGCCAGGCTGGTCTTGAACTCCTGACCTCATGATCCACCTGCCTCAGGCTCCTAAAGTGCTGGGATTACAGGCATGAGCCACAGCACCCAGCCTCTTCTCTCTCTCTCTTATACCAGCCCCACCCCCCATGCACAAACACCAGGGAATTACAGACTGGGGAATTAAGACCTATTGCTTCCCAATTTCTCTGAAACAGCTTATTTGTCACTTAATTGTTAAGCATCAAAGCTATCTACAATGTACCCAAAAGAGTCGAGATACAACTAAGGTTCAGAATAGTTTTCTTCACTATGTCCACATAAATGATTGAAAATATTTACTTAAGAAATAGAAGACTTCTGCTCCAACAGCCTACATTAATTTCCTCATTCCCTGAATGCCAGTTCATCTATTAAACATGAAGTATTTACTATCTTTCAGAACCCTAGGGACACAAAAAGGAAATAGCCACTGATTTTCAGAACCCTAGGGACACAAAAAGGAAATAGCCACTGATTTTCCCTTTCAAACGTTTTAGAACTTTTCCAAATTCTTGTCTTCTAGTTTTCTTTTTAGGCAATCCGCTGTCATAATTGTTTTTAACACTGCAGTATTGTGACCTGTTTACATGTACTTTCTGCCTTACTTAACCGAACTGATAAGGAAAAGAACAGAAACCTATTCATGTCTGTCTCCAATGACTAGCAATGTGGTTCTCACTTCATGTTAGCTAAACACTTTAAGGAATTGAATACATTTTGAACAGTGTTTATATCCTCAAAGAGGGAGAATTAGAAGAATTTGAATAATCATAAAGCTACTATGTTATCATTTTCTTTCAATTTGTAAAAGAAGGCTAGTCAAACATGACTTATTTAGATGGTTAGAGTATTAATTTTAAAAGTAAGAAGGCAATCCACATTTGCAACTCCTCAAGGAGAACAGCAGTATGAAAAAGATGTATCAGAGCGAACCAACTAAAGAATCCCTGAAGATAGAGTGAACTCAAGAAACAGAAAACAAGTTTAAAACAAGTAAAATCAGTATTCTCAGAGACCTTTGAGAGACTATTACACCAGACACAACCATACCCTCTTATTAATAAGAAATACAGTCTGGCTGTGGGGCTCACACCCATAATCCCGGCACTTTGGAAGGGCGAGGCGGGTGGATCACCTGAGGTCAGGAGTTCGAGACTAGCCTGGCCAACATGGTGAAACCCCGTCTCCACTAAAAATACAAAAATTAGCCAGGCGTGGTGGCACAGGCCTGTAATCCCAGCTACTTGGGAGGCTGAGGCAGGAGAATCGATTGAACCCGGGAGGCGGAGGTTGCAGTGAGCCAAGATCATGCCATTACACTCCAGCCTGGGTGACAGAGCGAGACTCCATCTCAAGGAAAAAAAAAAAAAAAAAACATAAGAAGAAATACAGGTCTTAGAAAATAAAATATAATAAAAACAAAAACCAATGAAGAGCTGAATACTAGAATAGACCAGGTTGAAGTACAAATTAGTAGACTCTAGCCAAAAGGATAACAGATCCAAATTATGAGAGAAAAGTTAAAAGCCACTGCAGATAGTTTGAGCAAAATCGAATATCCTTCTAATGAGAATTCTAGGAGCAGGGACAGAAAAGGACGGAATGAAAAAAAATCCAAAGTCATTTACATAATAAAGACACTGAATACCTTATGAGGATATTTGTCATTTATTCCTCCAAAAATTCAAGCATTTAATAAACGTTTATCAAATGTGAAGAACGATGGTAGATACTGCATATGCAACGAAGAGTAAAAACAGACACAGTCCCTACTCTCATGGAGCTTATGGTAGTAGGAAAAATAGATATTATACCTAAACACATACGTACATACATAAAATGCACATTTGCAGTTCTGATAAGAGCAACCAGGAACAGGTAAATGGTGTTATAGCAGTGCAAGCCAGGAGGGTGCCCAGGTAGCCAGTCAGGGAAGCAGGGGACAGGCTCACATTGAAAGAACCTCCTAGGGGGTGGCAGATGGTACATGTGAAGACAGCATTCTAAGAAGATGGAACAGCTTGTGCAAAGGCCCTGTGGCTTGGCACAGGACGAAGCCAAACGAGGCCTAGTGTGGTCGGAGCTCACAAGATAAGGAAATACATGAAATATGTAAATCCCAAGTAAAAAAAGCAAATATTGCCAGTTTCCGAAAAGCAAGACTAAAGGCAGTTACAAAGAGAGATTAGTATTATACTTCTCAGCTGCAAAACTAGGTGTCATAAAACAATGGAACGATGATTTCAAAGTGTTGAAGTTCAGATAATTTGAATCTAATTTCAATGTGCTAAGGAAGTAATGCTCCATTTTTTCCTGTGATAATGGCACTGTGATTATATTTTCAAAAAGTGCCTTTGTCTTTTTGTCTTTCAGAAATACATAAAAAAAATTTACTATTTATGGATTAAATTATGTGATGTCTGTGATTTGCTGCAAAATAATCCAATGCAGAAGTGTAATAATCCAGGTGGAATGAGTGGCAGGGACAGGTTAGATAAGCCAAGAATGGCTGAGGGATAAGTAAAAAGGGTTTACCTTACCACCCCCATATATTTGTATTTGTCTAAAATTTTGCTATAATAAAAAAAGTTAACAAAAAGAATTAAAATAATTATATCTAGAATAATAAAATAAAGAATTTTTTCAGAAATATAAACACTCATAGAATTTGCCAACCAAATATTCAATCTGTTTTTAAAACGGAAAGAAGACTACCAAAATAGAAACAAAAATAAAAGCAAAAGAAGGAAAGAACGGAGGGAGGGAAGAAAGGAAGAAAAACAGGCAGACAGGCACCCAAGTAAGTAAGCAAAACAAAAACAAAGTTTAAAAAAAACAAAATCGAAATAATTATTTAAACTGCGGTTGTGAAATGCAATTCAATTATTTTTCAAGGATTCCTAAGAAGTAAAAACAAACAACCACCAAATATACATATGTGTATTTATGTATATATATTCTATAAACAAAATGATACAGAAAAGCAGAAAAAGTGCTGAACAAAGATAAACTATATGTTTATGATCAATAAGAAATCAGGACTAGAAATATTAGGTAACAGATAATACAAGGCAAAAAAAAAGCATCAAAACAGATAAAAACAAATACTGCATTTTGGTAAAAACTATAAACCAAAGTAATAGCAATCATAAATTTTTTTGAACAAAAATAAAATACAATAGAGAAACATTTAAAGCAAAATTCAAAGAAATAAAAGAGAGTTTGACAAAACTACAATTATGACAAAAGACATAATAATTCACTAAGGTTTTTAAAATATAGAGCCAAATAGTAAATAAGATATATAAATTATACACAAAAACAGGTAGCCATATAAACATAAAATATGTATTTTCCAAACATCTATAAAACATTTAGAAAAATCAGTCATTAAGCCAGAAAAAAATATCAATAAGCCTCTCAATGTAGAAATGGTAACAGGAGCTCATTCTCAAATTAAAATACATATTAGTGAGTAACAGCCAAAATCATAACTGTCTGGAATATTTTCTAATGTAAACATAAAAACTCTTCCAAGTAATTTTTATGTAAAATAGGACATTAAGCTAAAATTACACATCATTTAAAAAATAATAAAACAAACTCCTGCTATATTTCAAAGTCTAGGAGATGTGGCCAAAGTCTAACTCAGAGGAAAAGTTATCAACTTAAATACATTTGTAAGAAAATAAGAATGAACGAAACTAAGTCTACATAAAAGAGAAGGATGGGCCGGGCGTGGTAGCTCACTCCTATAATCCCAACACTTTGGGAGGCCGAGGTGGGCGAGTCACTAGGTTAGGAGATCGAGACCATCCTGGCTAAGATGGTGAAACCCCATCTCTAGTAAAAATACAAAAAATTAGCCGGGCGTGGTGGCACGCACCTGTAATCCCCATTACTTGGGAGGCTGAGGCAGGAGAATCACTTGAACCCAGGAGGTAGAGGTTGCAGTGAGCCAAGATCACGCCACTGCATTCCAGCCTAGGCGACAGAGCAAGACTCCGTCTCAAAAAAAAAAAAAAAAAAAGAGAGAGAGAGAGAGAGAGAGACAGAGAGAAGGATGGAACTAATGGAAATGCAAGGAGATTCCCATTGAATACAAAAAAAAAAAAAAAAAGACCTGAAAATCAAACCCAAACCTTGTTTACTGAAAAGTCCAGTAAATAAAACAGAAAAACTGGTCTTAGCTAAAGAAAGTAAACTCACATGAGCCCACACAACATCAGAAATGGCAAAGCAAAAGTAACAAGAGTTACTGTGAAAACTTTACAACTAATTTTTTTTTTAAAAACACTATGTTCAACTTTATATCAATAAATTCCAAGCATTAGATAAACTAGACAAAATTAGCTCAGGATATAATGAAAATTAATGTGTCAGTAGCAATGAAGATAATGAGCAGATAGGCAAAGAGTGACTTTCCTCAAAATGCACCAGATCACTTGATGATGGAGTTTGATACAACTTTTAAATAATATATATCACTTTTGTTATTTAAACCACTTCAGAGCATAAAAAATGATTAACAAAAAATTCAGTGATTTTTAAGTCTAGATGATAAAATGTCTTGTAATAAATATAAGGGAAATCTCAGAACTCTATGTTTGGCTCTCATACCTAAACCAAACCAAATTTTGATGGGAAAATATCTGAATAAAATGTTGGCAAACAAATTATCAGTGTAGTAATACAATAAAGCATCAAGGCCAAGGTGAATTAATTCTAGGAATGCAGGGAAAGTTCAAGAATGGAAAATCAAAATATGTTATATAATTCATGACATAAAAAAGAAATATCGTATGATCATTCGAAGTGCAGAAAAAGTTATTTTTTAAAAAAATCTTTTTTAAATGTCAATATTGTAATCTGAAAAGTCACTTTTTAGTAAAAAGCCATTTTTTTGTAACCTGTAAAGATTAACTAAGTGATGTGTCCCAGAAGACATTTCTATAAGGGATGCCTGTTACCGCTATATTTCTCTTTTTTTAAAGAGGTCGGAATCAATGTAATAAGAAAAAAAAGAAGAGAAATAAATATTGAAATAGAAGAGGCATAGCTGTCATTCTTTGCAGGTGATACGACAGTTTACTTACAAAATCCAAGGCAGTCAACTGAACCACTATTAAAACTAGGAAGAAAATTCAATAAAGTTACAGAAAAACACAGAAAAATCAATAACTTTCCCCACATACTGGCAAAATCCAATGAAAAATAACTCCATTTATTTAATAAGAAAAATGATAAAATGCCTTGTAATAAACACAAGGGAAGTATCAGAACACTAGGATTAAAAACTGAAAATTTTGCCAAAGGGACAAGAAGGAAAGTCTGAACAACTGAAAAGACATATTTCTGGATATGAAAACTCAAGATGTTTAAAATGTCAATCTGCCCCACATTAAGCTATGAATTCCATTCATGTCCCCTTCTAAAATCTCACTGATTTATTTAAAAATAAAACTTGAACAAACTGATTCTAGAAGTCATAAAGAGAAGTGGATGCACATGAACAACCAGTAATATTTTGTAAAAGAATCTGATGAGGGGTGATTTACACTTCCAGACATCAAAATGGATTATAGAGCTCCAATTGAAAAAACGAGCATGGGCCAGGTGCAGTGGCTCACCCCTGTAGTCTCAGCACTTTGGGAGGCCGAGGCGGGTGGATCACCTGAGGTCAGGAGTTCGAGACCAGCCTGGCCAATATGGTGAAACCCCGTCTCTACTAAAAATAAAAAACAAAATTAGCCAGGCGTGGAGGTGGTCAGCTGTAATCCTAGCTACTTGGGAGGCTGAGGCAGGAGAATTGCTTGAATCCGGGAGACGGAGGTTGCAGTGAGCCGAGACTGTGCCATTGTACTCGAGCCTGGGGAACAAGAGCGGGACTCCATCTCAAAAAAAAAAAAAAACAAAAAAATGAAAAAACAGTATGGAATGACGTAAAAGTACACAGTGAACATGTATATATTCACAAATATATATATAATATATATCTTAGTTTCCTACCTTATTTATAGACCAAAGTAATTTACAGATTCATTTTAAAATCTAAAGTTTTTTCCCCCAATATAGACATTGAAAGAAAAAAACATGCAAGCATATTTTATAAATTTGCAGAGGGGAAGCTCTTCCTAATGTGACAAAAAAATACTCAGCACCAATAAAGGAAAAAATGAACAAACCCAACTTCATGAAAATTTAAAATGTTAATACTTTGAATCATGAAATAGGTTATAATCAACTATGGAAAAATATTTGCAACTTAAATAGTAACCAAAATGTATCTATTTTCTAAAATACTCCTAAAAACCAATAAAGAAACAAGGGCATAGTCTGTCAGTTTGGTCCACAGGGCTGTCAGTAACAGCAGAGCACAGAGTTCAGTTTGAATGGGACTCTCTGAGCTGTTCACTGGGATGATCACAGCACAGTCTCTTTTCACTGACTCCCAGATACCTCTTTTGCCTCTCTATAATCTATTCTATGCACAGTTGTAAAAGATATTAGTATATCTTTATTTTCAATAGCATTACATCATTCTCTACCTAAAAACCTTCAGTGGCCGGCCATCCAACCCTGGTCCTTCTCTCTCTCTCTCTCCGTCTTCATCTTACTCATCTCTCCTCCAGCATCACCAGGCTCTTGACTTGCTGGTCTTCCCTAATCTCCCTGAGTTCTCAGAAAGATTGCAGAGATTGTTGCTGCTGTTTGGAAGGCTTAGCAACACCACCTCAATTTCCCAGTTGTCAGCTCACCCTGTTGACCTGGCTGACTCCTCCATACCCTTCAAATCCCTGCTTAAATGCCGCCTCCCCAGGGAGGGCTTCCCAAAAGGTAACGGTTAAAAGAGATGCCCCTTTTAATTTCTAGTTTAGCTTCCATGTATAGCTCCCACCTTCATAGTTTGCTTCCAATTTGCAATAATTTTGTCTGTCTGATTACTCGTTTCTGGATATCATGTCCCTAGAATACCTTTACTAGAACAGAGAAAAGAATCCATCTTGTTCGCTTTTCTATCCTTAGCAGCTACAGGAATTCACAGTATGTAGAAAGGACTCAAAATGTTGTTGAATTTAAAAAAGAGGGTAGGAAAATAATATGAATAAGCTATTCATAGAAGACATATAAGTGGTATTTAAACACATGAAAAGAAAAGCAAACTAAACAACAGTGAAATACAATTTTTAAAACTCAGATTGGAAAAATAGAAAAATTCTTAACATTCAGGGTTACTGAAGTTATAGAGAGAGGTGCACTACCAGATACTGCATGAGTATATACTAACCCAATAATTTTAGAGGCAATTCAGCTTTTTGAAGTGGTGTGCTAGGATCAGATGGAATTGATTTGAACTGGCTTACACAAGTCTGTAGTTAAATATTTAAGAATATTTTTTAGAGGAGTTGGTAGCTTGAAGTTGCCCATGGTGGGAATTTTTACACCAGGGAAATTGGCAAATGGTACAAATCAAATCGTTGTTTTTGTTTGTTTGTTTGACAGAGTTTATAAGCACATCAACGCCTTTACCTATAAAAAGAAAAAATGGGAGTAATTTTGATCTAGCATTCTATACAAATTTTGCACAAGTGCACAAGGAGAATATATATTGTTTTTAAAAAACGACAACCTAGATGCCTATATGCTCACTGGTAGGGGAATGATTTGATACATTTATTCCATATTATAAAATGACCATTTAAAAAGAATGAAATAGAACTATGGATACTGCCATAGCTTATTCCTGAATAAATAAAGAAATTGGGAGGACATCTATGATATTACTTCATTTTGACAAAACCATATATGCTTATATTGTTTTATATGTGTTTGGACAAGGTCTCTTTGGATGCTTCCTCTTAAAGGTAGTGATCCCTTTGGACAACTAAGGAATCATTGATCTAGGAGTAAAAAAGGAGGTGAGTGGTATATTTTGCTTTTTAGCCTATTCATTTATAGATGAAGTGCGTTTTCAAAGCAACAGATATTATTTTCAGAAAAATACAATCTTAAGTAACTTTTGTATTAAAGAGGTAAACAAATTGACTAATTAAAAACCATAACAAACAGTGAGAATAATACATAGCAAAAATTACAAAATGTGAAAAGGGTTGTTATAAGAAGGAAATTCATAGTTTTTATAATTTAATAATTAAACAAAAACATGATAATAAATTAATTAAGCCCTCAACACAGTATATTAGATAATAAAACTCAGGGAAATGAAGAGAAAAGGATTAATGGATAAAAGTGGCAATTAATACATTTAGAAAACATGTAAGTAATAAATAAGTCCTAAACTTAGTTCAGTGACCAAAAAAAATAAGTAAAGCGTTATAATTTCTGACATATTTTATCAACAAAAGAAAAAATAACAGCTGGGTGTGGTGGCTCACACCTGTAATCTCAGCATTTTGGGAGGCCCAGGCAGGCGAATCATGAGGTCAGGAGTTCGAGACTAACCTGGACAACATGGCAAAACCCCATTTCTACTAAAAATACAAAAATTAGCCAGGCGTGGTGGCACATACCTGTAATCCCAGCTACTCGGGACACTGAGGCAGAAGAATCGCTTGAACCCGGCAGACGGAGTTTGCAGTGAGCCAAGATCGCCCCACTGCACTCCAGCCTGGGCAACAGAGTGAGACTCTGTCTCAAAAAAAAAGAAAAGAAAAGAAAAGAAAAGAAATCTAAATATCTAGCTAGCTATCTCTAGCAATAAGAAAGAAAATATAATTAACAATGGAGAGATTAAAACTCATCAGAGTAGTTATATGAAAATGCCAATAAAATGGGTGTGCTATTTTTTAAAGTATAATTTAAAAAACATAAAACACTGTTGATTATGAAAGAATTTTCCAAATTTGTTCCCCCACAAAAGAGGTTTTGAAGCTTCAAGGAATGCCTTATACTTATGCTGCTAAGGAAAAAAGAGGTAAGCATTCCAATTCATTGGACTAGTATTGTGTTACAACAGATTTGTAATACATTTTCCAATGCATTTTACTAGTATAGCCATGACTCCAAGACCTGCCACATCATATAGTAACAAACAAGAAAATCTCACCTGCATAAATGCAAAGATTCCAAAGAAAATACTTAGTTTCCTGTCCACACAACAGCCAGAGGTGATTTTTTTTGTTTGTCGGTTTTTTTTTTTTTTTTTTTTTGACGAAGTCTTGCTCTGCCTCCCAGGCTAGAGTGCAGTGGTGCGATATTGGCTCACTGCAACCTCTGCCTTCCAGGTTCAGGCGATTCTCCTGCCTCAGCCTCCTGAGTAGCTGGAACTACAGGCGCCTGCCACCACACCCGGCTAATTTTTTTTTTTTTTTTTTTTTTTTTTGAGATGGAGTCTCGCTCAGTCACCCAGGCTGGAGTACAGTGGCGCAATCTCAGCTCACTGCAAGCTCCGCCTCCTGGGTTCACGCCATTCTCCTGCCTTAGCCTCCTGAGTAGCTGGGACTACAGGCACCTGCCACCACACTGGCTAATTTTTTCTATTTTTAGTAGAGACAGGGTTTCACCACGTTAGCCAGGATGGTCTCGATCTCCTGACCTTGTGATGCGCCCACCTAGGCCCCCCAAAGTGCTGGGATTACAGGCGTGAGCCACAGCGCCCAGCCTAATTTTTGTATTTTTAGTAGAGACCAGGTTTCACCATGTCGGTCAGGTTGGTCTCGAACTCCTGACCTTGTGATCTGCCCACCTCGGCCTCCCAAAGTGCTGGGATTATAGGCATGAGCCACCGCGCCCAGCCCAGAGGTGATCTTTTTAAAGCATAAATATGATCTTGTCTGTTCCTTGCCCCTAACCCTCTAAGAGCTTCCCATCTCATTTAGAATAAAGTCCAGAGCTTTCCTCTGGCCCACGAGGTCTTTCATGATGGGCTCTAGTGACCTCATTTCTTCTGTCTCCTCATGCTCCTTCTGTTCCAGCCATTCAGGACTCCTTGATGTTCCTCAAACAACTCAACTGCAGGCCAGTCTCAGGGCATTGCATTCTCTGGCTTTGTCATTCTCGACCACCCTGAGCAGCAATTTTGATCATCTTATATCCCCTAACCTGCATTATTTCCCTTCATACAGTTTGCCATTATGTGAAGTTATACAATGGACTTAGTTGTCTATTGATTGTCAACAGCCTTGGGTTGACAGCAGTATTATGACACATATGTAAACAGATTTTGCTCATTCTGGTAGTCTCAACCCTAAAACAGTGCCTGGCACACAGAGTCATTATGAATTTGAATATTTGTTTACCTCCTCAAGTCAAGACAGTAAGAAAATAGCATGTATAATGGAGACTGTCCATCCCAATCCACTCTCCCCATCTTCTGTGGTATAACTGCAGCCTAACACACATGGCTAGCCAGACACACTCCACTCCCCAGCCTCCCTTGCTGTCAGATGTGGCCATGAGCCTAGGATCTCACCTAAGAAAGGTGATTAAGTACCATGAGCCACTTCTGGGCTGAAGCCTGAAAAGTGCTGGATGTCCTCATGCTGCAGTTCAGCTTTGGCCATGCAGCTGAGGACAATGCCTCAATAAGTGAGTGAATGAATGACCAAATCCCTTTTCTTGACACTTATATTCCAGATTTGAAAATGGGGAAAGGAAATCCAAAATCAAGATAAAGCACAGAAATCTCTCTGTACAGGAAGAACCTTAAAAGAGAAACAAGCACTTTTTCTAAAGTGAGCTGCCAAAGTTATCACACAAAGCCGGGGCAAAGCAAATGCTTGCATAGGGAACATCTATTCACTTGATTTAATAAAGAGCTAAAGTTATTGACAAACCACTCTGTAAATTATTGATGATGCCTTAGAGTATGGCCACTGCACAGAATTCAGTTATCACCCACAAGAGGGTAAAAATCTAACATCAGAAGTTAAAACATCAAAGCATCAGAAAGTAAGAGAACAAAAAAGGAAAAGCAGGGAATGGCCCAATCCAGGTTCTCAGGTTATCTTCCTGCTTCCAAAAGAAGAAACACAACAGATTGGTCACTGATAAGATGGATCTCCTACAGAATAGATACAGGTTCCACATGAGAAACAATCATATTCATCGACTGAAATTATTACAGAAAACAAGCTGCAATTAGGCCCAACTAGTAACTTATTCTCCCTAAATGATGAAGGCCAGTTCTGTATAACTTCTGCCAGCAAACACTTGCTTCATGTGGAGTGGGGCGTGTTGGCTTGAGCCTGTAATTCCAGCTACTTGGGAGGCTGAGGCAGAAGGATCCTTGGAGTCTAGGAGTTCAAGACCAGCCTGGGCAGCATAGCAAGACCCCATCTCTAAAATCATTTTTTAAATTGGCTAAGCATGGTGGCATGCACTTGTAGTCCCAGCTACTCGGGAGGCTGAGGGAGGAGGATTGCTTGAGCCTAGGAGTTTGGGGCTGCAGTGAGCTATAATGGTGCCACTGCATTCCAGCCTGGGTGACAGAGCAAGACCCTGTCTCAAAAAAAATTTAAAAAGCCACGTGGATGATTCGTGCTCCACTGGCAGTGCCCAATCTTTGGAAGTTTAGTATCTGGTGAAAGTATGAAACTGAGAGCCTACAGGTTTACCGAACTAATTTGCCACTGTGCCTTCCAGTCTGACTCTGAAAGGTTGCCTGTTCTTCCCTTTACATAACAAAGCATTTTCTTTACAGCTGTTGCCTGCATCGCAGCCACCGAGCATGGAGAGATTCCCCTGTGGATACTTACCCAACAGAACTCAAGTATTGGTTGCAGCCTGAGCCCTGGGCAAAGATCAGCTGTGAGATCGCAGAGTTTCTTTATTAAAGAACAAATCATGCTGGACAAACTTGATTGCTTTTTGGATCAGCTTGTGAAATGAGGAGGGCTTAGCGAACGTAGCCGATCACAGTATCTGGGGTGTTTAGTGAGTTATTTAATAAAGCACTCTGGAAATTGTACTGGGAAGTCTGAGATACTGTGGCCTTTGGTAGAGGGGAAAAGAGAAAGCTCCGTTGGTATCCTTGGATGCAGAAGGGAGAAAACCACGCTCCTGCCATTTCCAGGAGGTTAATTTGCTGCATTCCTGTGCACATATGAGGTTAGGAGGAAGGGTTGGGCAGAGGCAGATGTTTGTGTGTTTAGGGAGCTGGGATCACCCTGATGGAATTCTGGCAGTTTGCTTCTTTAGCTGTGCCTTCTCCACCCTGGCATTTCTGCCTGTTACATGGCCATCTTCCTGAACAGAAATTGTGAAAAAGCCAAAACACTAAGGAAATTCAGGGCAGATGGTTCGTCCCTCTGGACTGCAGGTTTCTCACCTATAAAATCAGAGATTGGGCCAGCATTTCTAAAGGCCCCCTAACCCTGCCCTTCCATGATAGATTTTGGTGACCTGGGCATCAACCTCCCTAGTGCCCACTTCCTTACCCCACCAAAGTCAGACCATCAGGACAACAGCTCAGACACCAAACTCCGCTGTATTATTTGGAGGCACCGGAAGAAACTGCCTTTTTTCTAGTACACTCCTTTCATTTGCTTGTTGATACTAAACACTTCTTAGTTATTCTACCTTCAACATTCTCATCTGTAAAATGAAAGGCTGGGCTGGCATTTCTAAGGGTCCTCCAATCCTATCTATGTAACAATTTTCGTTATTCAATATCCCTTTACTCACATTATTTTTCTCCATAGCATGTACCATTATGTGAAGTTATACTATGAATTGGAATATTTGTTTACCTCAAGTCAAGGTAAACTTCATGAGAGCATAGACTTTATGCAAACAGCATGAATGATGCACACTGCTCAATGTCCATCCCAATCCATTCTCCCCGTCTTCCATGGTAGGAGAACAATAACCTGACACACAGGTGGCCAGACACACACTCCATTCCCCAGCCTCCCTTGCTGTTAGGTGTGGCTATGTGCCTATGAGCTCAACTAAGAAAGATGAATAAGAGTACTGTGAGCCACGTCTGGGCTGAAAGCTGAGAGATGATGGACCTGCTTCCTTCCTCTTGCTTTCCTCTTCCGATAAGCTGGAGAATTGACACTGGAACCCAGCTTTGGCTATGCAGACACGGACAATGACTTAATGAAGGCAGGCGAACAATATGGAAGAAACCTAGCTCCCCAAGCTAATGCATGGAGCAGAGCTCATTGTCAACCTGAAACTCAGATAGTTGTGTAAGCAACAGTTATCTCAATAGAGCCACTGCATTTGGAGATCTCTTGAGTAGAGCAACTTAGACTCTAACTGGTACAGACAACAGAGTACTAAATATATCCCTAAAACTTAAAGTATAATAAAAAAAAAAGAAAAAAAGAAAAAAAAAGAAAACAAACAAACAAAAATAAATAAATAAATATATGGCACTGTCTTAAAGGTTATTTTGCAAAGAGATATAGAAGAAATAAAATTTTTCCACTGGGGGGTTGCGAGAAACAGGGCTTGAAATGCCATCTGCTTCCATATTCTGAACATCAGGAGATACACTGCTTTCTTCAAAGCCTTCTTTCAGAGGCATCTTTTAGGCAAAGATCAACTTAAGGATGTTGCCTTCCCTTTCCACCAACTCCTACGGCTGGTTTTGGATGGGACAAGTCACCATGGAAATAAAGGAGATGGGGATAGGTCAAAGAAGCAAAGGATAAAGCAGATTTAAGAGCGATGTCTAGGAAAGAATACTAAGTGCAGTTGCTGGAACATGGAACTGACAGGAAGCAAGTAGACCAGAAGCCTATTAAGTCATCTGTGGGAATTTATTGCCAAAGAAGGACTGGACTGGGCCTGAAAAAACCTGTGACTGTTCTGTGCCTAAAGCCACCACAGCCCTTATCACATCCAAAAAATAAGCAAGTAACGAAGTTTTCAGACTCCAAAGGGCGGGCTCACCAATGCCCACTCAGGTGCAGTCACAGAGGACACAAACGAAGACCCCAAGGATGAATACAGTGGACACAGTATATCATGGCCATAAACAAGGGCATGCTTCCCAGAGAGCGGAACCAGGGTCTCAATCAGAAACCTCCTCCACTCTCAAGGCAATTTCTACCCAGCAGAAGCCCATCATTGCTGTGGCCCAGCTCTGTGGCCCTCCTTCTCTTTTCTCAATGGAAACTGTTCTTGTGAATTGTTCGGCTCTGCTCCACCATTGCATCCTGTATGGGGAGGTCTTGGGGAGATGGATGAAGGCTTGTGGTGGGGGAAGGCTGAGATCACTTACTTTCCTTTTTCAACCTCTGGATCGGGAATCCAGACCTCATGAGAGGAGAATTGCTTAAGATCCAGGGATCCTGAACTCAGACCTAGGTAAGATCAACCTAATTAGTGGTATATGGTTTGCAGTGAATAAGCAACAATT
Organism: Homo sapiens; assembly: GCF_000001405.40. Classification (NCBI taxonomy): domain Eukaryota; kingdom Metazoa; phylum Chordata; class Mammalia; order Primates; family Hominidae; genus Homo; species Homo sapiens. The sequence goes on along the minus strand of NC_000017.11, from coordinate 11,306,114 downwards.
TATAAAACACTTAGTACACTGTCAGCATTCAGTAAAATGAGCTATTTTTTCAGGTCTTCATAGCTGATGAGGTTTGGTGGGGTTGTTTGCTTTGGGGCACGGTGGCAGATGTCCTGTTTGTAAGAAGAAGGGTACGCACAGGCATCTGGTGTTCAGAGGCGCTGACTATGACAGTGAAGACCACTAACTGCCCACAAATAATGCCTTCTCCCTTTCTCTGTGGTAATAAAATCAGAGCCTGGCCATCAGCTGGACAGTCCACCCCATCTCCCAGCCTCCCTAGCTGTTGGCCTCCGCTCCGAGACATAAGCAGACGTGATGGTGCTACACGCAGGTGGAGGCTCGGGGCAGGGTGGGCCTGTCTCCTCCACTCTCTGTCATGCCCTGAGGGCTGAGCACAGACTGTTGTGGTCCAGCTTGGACCACAAAGAAAATGTTCCGGGTTCTGGGCCTAGGGAATGGCAGAGCCACCCGCAACACCAAACTCAAAGACTGTTACAAAAGAGAGAAACTTCCGATTTCTTGATGCATGTTTGAATCTCTGTCACAGCAGTTGAGTGTGTCATCCCAAGCGGGCTTCATCAGTCAATCCAGCCTGCTGTGCAGCAGTCTGTGAGGCGACACAGACAATGCAACCTGAACTCGGGCCCTTCTCCCGCCATTTCAGGGGCTCTCCAGGACACGTTGCAATTTGTTTCCATTAGCTTTGCTCCCCCTCTTCCTGTGCATTGCTTATTGATCTCAGAAATTTATTTAAATTCATTGAATCTTGGTTTTCTTACTTGTTGACTATAAAGATGACTTCATGGTTAAAAGGGTTGTACAAAGATCCATGAAGTAGCTAGTTTTATGGAATGCTGACAATGTCCTAGGTGCTTCATGAATGCTTGCTTATTCAGTGTAAACAGTATACCCCTAATGAGTTGATCTTAGGAGCCCTGCTTTTTGTAAGAGGAAAAGGAGGCACAAAAGTTGTTCCAGAACTCGCCCAAGGGCACACCACCAGCAGGTGCTATGCTTCACCAGGGATGAGATGTGACGCATGAAGAAGTGCCTCAAAAGCCCCAACACCACAGGTCAATGTGACATCTAGTCTTGTAACTGTGGAAGGACTCTTTGAACCACATAAAAATCGGAACAACAAAGCTGTGCATCGAAACATGCGGTCTGAGGAACTATCACAGCACTGCTTCTGCTTCTCTTTGGTCCTCTTTGACCAACCAGCCACCCAGAAGCCCAGCAGGAAGAGGTCTCTTACAAGTGGCCAAGCGCAGTGAGACCTGCCTGGCACCGAGCCCTCATCCCCAGCTCCTACCGGGAACAGTTCTGGCAAGTCTCAGGGCTGAGTTTCCCTACACTCCGGCTTGAAGTGTCCCTGGAAAGTTCCCAGAGTTATTTTGGGATCTTCTCTCTTCTCCTCCACACCTCACTGGCACTCCTTCCTTGGCATCATCACTGAAGCATAGCCCTAAAGGGTGCTGTGGTCCCCACTCATCTCGTCTTCTGATGCCTCCCCAACCTGTGCCCACTCCTCACTTCCTCTCCAATCAGCTCAAAATGCTGCTGGCAAAATACCCTTTCTCCTACCTCCCAGCACCCACCCGCCCTTTGCTTCTCTCTGCTGGCTTCTCCCCATTGCATCCCAGTACCAGGCATCCCAGGCATCATTCCTCCCCACCTCACAGAGCAAGGCTCAAGCAGGGGCCGTCATCTTTTGACTGCAGGTGTTGAGATCAAAGCTGTAGGAGGAAAAGGTAGATCTTGAGCCTAGGACGTGAGATGCTGTGTGATCATCCTCCCTCTGCTCGTGAAGCTCACATCTTCCTGTTCGCACCACTTCACACTGCCACCCGGCCACCTCCCCAGTGCCTTCGTCCAACTCCAGGCACTGACCCCTCCAGGGCCCCTCTCACTGGAGCAGGGCAGCTCCCCTAGAGCAAAGGGGCCTCTTGGCCAGTCAGGCCCTCGTTACCCACTGGGGACCCTATCGCTCACCAGGAAAGGTGCAAACTACCCAAAGCTTCCCAGGAAAGGGCTTCTATCCTAGAAGGCCTTCCTGATATGGCCTTCTGCTCCATTCGTCTGTGCAGAAACAGTGAGGCCTGGGGATCCTCACATCTGCTCCTGGATATGGAGCCGGTCAGGCCCTGCAGCTTTTGGCACGCTGGAAACATGGCCTCTTCTCGGGCACCTGCCCTTCCACTGCTGTACCCACCTCAGGCCCACCCTAGAAACACAACTGGAGGAAACACAGAAGCAGGGATGGCATGTCCCCATCCCCACATTTACCCCCAACTCAGCACACTCCTCTGAGGAGTCATCCTTACAACGAGCTTTTATTATGACCTTTTGTGCTGCAGGTATTGAGGGCAGAGAAGGGTCTTTGAGTGACACGCATGGCCAACTGGGACTGGGGGCTTGAGAGCACCAGGCCTGATGGCTCCCTTGTCCTCTGTATGCTGGAGATGGCTCCCCAGGCTCAGCCTTCTGCATGTGGCCTTTTTCTGTGTGGCTCTCCTACAGGTAAAAAATCCCGTCACCTCATGGCAGCATCAGAGAAGATCACACTCTCACATACACACAACCACACAATCACACACTCAACCATGCTCACAGTCACACACAAGTGATCACATATATTCACACACAACCACACATACAGCCATACAACTGCACACAAAACCACACACACATGCTCACAACCAGACACAATCACACACACAACCACACTCAGAATCATGCACAAAACACCACACACAACCATACTCACGACCACACATAACCAATCACATACATTCACAACTATACACACAACCATACAACTGCACATAAAACCACACACATACTCACAACCACAATCACACAACCACACTCACAATCACACTGAATCTTACACACACACACACACAAAACCACACAAGCACACACACTCAAACATAACTACACTGGTAATCACACACAAAATCACACACTGATACGTACACACACACAGGTAATCACAATTGTGTATGTATCACACAATCATACAAGCACATAGGCTGCTCACTGCACTGCACTGCACTGGGTTGGGGGCGTCATCACACTACTCAGTCAGACGTCTTTCTTTCCCAGGAGCCCTCCACACCCCATGCTACAGCCCAGCTTGATGGGAAATGACAAAGCCATCAGCCTTCAATGAAACTCCAGCAGAACCTGCAGGAAGTCTGTTTCATCTAGAAACCTCTCATTTCAAACGCCCCCCTCCTCTCCACCTGGATGACTCTCTGCTTTTTCCCCCACCCCCATATTGTTTCTATAGCAACCTCGGTCCCTGGGTAGGGCTGTTGCTGAGAGCTGCAACCCTTCGGGTCTGCCCTCTTGGCCCTATATGTGAAATGGTTGGATCACAAATCATCTTCCTGCTAGGACCTAAGCAGGACTTCCAATGTTGGAAGCAAAAGACGGCTTGGACTGGTCCAGATGTTCCAGAGGCCACCAATGCACTCAGGCTATTTCCTCAACATCTGCTTCTCTCCCTCTCTCTCTTGCTTTTCAAAAGCTTAGGCCTGGCAAGGAAATGCTTGCCTGTTTCTGGCACGTTCATGTACCAGATGTACCATCCCCTTATTGCAATAAAATACAGGCAGATGCATAGGTGACCACGTAAAAAATGAGCTGAGAAAAGATCTGGATGTCCTGGGACCTGGATTCTGGACACAGGTCAGCCACTTTCTGGCTGCTGGACCTAAGAGCAAATTCCTCATGTGCAGAATAAGAACTTTATACTGGACAAACTTAGGAGGTTCCTTCCAGCATAACATTTTGTGGTCTATTTCACTCTCTACAACTCCTCAAATTTTGCTGTCAGGAAACTGAGCCTGACAAAATTTGAATTCTTTCAGAAAACTCCAACAGAGGCCTAAAGTTAAGCTCTAGGCCTGATATGGTTTGGCTGTGCCCCCACCCAAATCTCAATTTGAATTGTGTCTCCAAGAATTCCCATGTGTTGTGGGAGGGGCCCGGAGGGGAGGTAACTGAATCATGGGGGCCGGTCTTTCCTGTGCTATTCTCATAATAGTGAATAAGTCTCACAAGATCTGGTGGGTTTATCAGGGGTTTCCGTTTTTGCTTTTTCCTCATTTTCTCTTGCCGCCGCCATGTAAGAAGTGCCTTTTGCCTCCCACCATGATTCTGAGGCCTTCCCAGCCATGTGGAACTGTAAGTCCAACTGAACCTCTTTCTCTTCCCAGTCTCTGGTATGTCTTTATCAGCAGTATGAAAACGGACGAATACAAGGCTCCTAAAGCCAAAACCATGCAAAGGGAGAGGACCCCTACAGCTGGCAGTTTCCCCTTATGAGAAATCTCTCCTTGAAGGAGTCACACCTGCATTCCCATCCTTTCTACCGGCATGACATTGACTTGGGGATCCACAAGGACACACCTAGATTGCAGGAACGTTCATAGGAAATGCAGTAAGAGTGGGAAGTTTTCTGGAAGCTGCCTCTGGCTGGAGGAGGCAGGAAGGAGGGGAACGGCAAGGAGGTTGACTGAAGGACGCCTGGAAGAGAAAGACTCATTCATGCACGGTGTGACCAGAGTGGGGAAAGCCTTTATCACAGTTCTCTGGTCAGCACCTTTGCAAAGGAGTGAATTTAGGAAGATACTGACCCAAAGTGCTGCAATCATTTGGACTAGAGCTCATTAGGCCCTAGCAAAGCCCGGAGCCCCCAAAGAAGTGGAAAATTAGAAAGACAAATAAAGGTCAATGTACCATCCCCTTATTGCAATGGAATTATTTACCCACCTGGGGAATTTGATGCCTGGAGAATGTGTAATTAATGGTCCTGGGGGCTGCAACGCACCCAGGAGATAAACAGTGCAACTTCAACTTGAGGGTCCAATGCTCCCCACCCCAGTACCCACCACTACATCATAGGCTGTTAGGGAGGAAGAAAACTAGTGAGGGTTCCAGCTGCATTAAAGGGGTCTGCTACCGGGCTCAGCACAGGCAGAGAGGCTCTGACAGCTAGACGTGGAAGGCCCACAGTGAAGCTGAGCACGGGACTCCACGCAGCTGTACTGGAGAAGTTCTTTTGCTTCAGGCCTTGCAAAAAAACTCTTTAAACGTGTTTCCCTTGACTGGTATTAAAGGCTGTTTGTTTTCTCTTCTGTGTGAACATGTTGTGATTTTCTCTCCCCCCACCCCATACAGGGCTGAACAATTACAGTATGTTCTTGAAGCACAAGCAGATGGGGCGGGAGGGTGGGGCTGTGTTCCCCCATGTGCTCCACCTCCCTTCCCTACCACCCAAACTGAAATTATCAACTAGCATTTCACAAAGAGCCAGGTTCCTGGCCAGTATGCCGGGGAATTGAAATAAGAAGCCTGTTTTTCCTAGAGCCATCTCTTATGAAGGGGTAATATTTAAACCCACAGTCACTGAATTACAAAAAAAAAAAAAAAGAAAAAGAAAAAAAAGTCCTAAACTGGCAAAAAGGGAATTCTCTCCCAAGAAGGGCACACAGGCTTGCCACAACTCACTCTCTAAAAGCTCACTGGTGCCACGGGTGTCTTGGATGTGACACCCAGATGAAAACTTAGAGATCAAAACTGAAAATGGCCCACAGGCTTCATCGTGCCTGACAGTTCGGGTCAACTGACAGGGCTGCCTGGAAAACAGTGTTGAGAAGGATTCTAAGATGCACTCGGATTCTGAAGGAAAGAGGGCTGCAGTCAGTTGCCAGTGCTCCATGGACACGAAGAGAAGGGCAGTGGCTTGCATGCCCCATGTTTGCCCATCCTAAGTCAGTACGGCACAGTGGTGCCCAGGGCCCAGGTCTACACTGGTTGGGAACTCATGCTTCGGGTATTGTGGTAAACAGAAAAATGCCTCCCAAAGATATCCACATCCCAGTCCTTAAACCTGTGAAGGTGTTGCCTTTCTTTTTTTCTTTTTTCTTGTTTTTCTTTTTTTTTTTTTTTTGTTTTAAGATGGAGTCTTGCTCTGTCGCACAAGCTGGAGTGCAGTGGCGTGATCTCAGCTCACTGCAACCTCCACCTCCCAGGTTCAAGCGATTCTCCTGCCTCAGCCTCCCAAGTAGCTGGGACTACAGGCACATGCCACCACGCCCAGCTAATATTTTGTATTTTTAGTAGAGATAGGGTTTCACTGTGTTAGCCAGGATGGTCTTGATCTCCTTACCTCGTGATCTGCCCACCTCAGCCTCCCAAAGTGCTGAGATTACAGACGTGAGCCACCGCACCTGACCTGAAGGTGTTGCTTTTCATGGCAAAAGGAACCTTGCAAGTGGGATCAAGTTAAGGTTCTTGAGATGAGGAGACCACCCTGGATTGTGTGGGTAGGCCCACACGGGATCCTTATAAGTGGACACAGGTTGGTCAGAGTCAGAGAGAGAAGGTGATGGGATGGGGAAAACAGAGATTGGAGTGATGCACTTTGAAGATGCAGGAAAGGACCGTAAGCCAATGAATGCATATGGCCTCTAGAAGCTGGAACAGGCAAGGAAATCGATTCTCCCCTAGAGCCTCCAGAAGGAACCAGCCCTAACATATCTTGACTTCAGCCCAGTGAAAGCTATTTTGGACTTCTGGCCCAGAAATGTAAAAGAATAAATGTGTGTTGTTTTAATCACAGGGAATAAATTTGTGTTGTTTAAATCTGCGGTAATTTGTTTTAGCAGTTAATAGGAAATGAATACAGCATGTTACTTATTCTCTGTGTCTCAGTTCCTGCATTGAAAAAAAAAACACCAGAAATAGTAATATCTACCTCTGATGGAGCTTTCAGGACAATTAAATGTAATATAATGTATGTAAATCACTTAGAATAGCATCTGGCACCCAGTAATTCTCAATAAATATTAGCTATGATTATTCCGATCCAACTGCTTTATTTTATGGGGGAGAACATTAAAATCCAGACAGAGAATAGAATGTACTAGAGGTCACAATGACACAATGAAGAAATGTGGTCCATCCTAATGCTTTATTACTGAAGAGTAGCTCTTTTATTTGTGAAAGGGACATGGGAGCTACAGAAGATTCAACCATTCTTGGTCATGGAAGGAAAGGGGATGTATTTTCGCCATGACTTTTAGTGGCAAAAACTGCAGTTACTTTTGCATCAACCTAATAGACTAGACCCAAAGCACATTCAGCAGCTGACTCTGATTTTCTACCATCCCTGAACAAATCTACCTCTAACATCAGTCCACCCTCAGAGAGCCACCTTGAGTAGCTGCAAAAGCTAGGCTCCTCACTCTCCCTTTAACCCAGCGATGAGGTCTGCCTCCTTGAGCTAGCTGCTGACAGTGAACTTGGAACATGGTTTGGCCACTGGGAGTCATTTGTTAGTGTTCTTGGTTCTCACTGTGCCTTCCCTCAGCCATCCACTCCAGACTCCTATGTTGGGTCTTACGTTACCAGAATCTGTACTGCTTTCAGAATCATCATGGCAAACACCCCACTGCAACACTGCCTAGCACATTCCCCAGCTGCCATGGCACTGACCCCACTGCTTTCTCACTGGCCATCACACCCTCCTTGTCATCACCTGTTGCCTGCTGGCCCAGCCTGAGTTCAGTAGTCTATCATGATAATATCTGCATGTCCAACAGGCTCCAGGCTCTAGCTGTGTTTCTCTTTGGTATACTCACCTGGAACACCCTAAACTACCATCTTCTCCTCACTTGCACTCAGCAGCTGAACCTTCCCAGAACTGTATGAGTGAGCTTATTGGTTTCACATTAAACTCACGAGCACAAATCTCCACTGGGCACTCAGTCTGGCCAGGCAGCCTCTCTTATTGTGTGTCCCACTCTTGAAGTGGTTGATCTCATATTTCTGGTTCCAGGCTAGAGGCAGTAGGCACAGAAGTAAAGTACATAGATGCTGGAATGAAGACGCTCAGGTTCAAGTCCAAGCTCTACCACTTACTAGCTGTGGGATCTTTATCAAGGAACTAACTTTCTTGGCTTCAGCTTCCTCATCTGTTCTTCAAAATATTACATAAATTAATTCATAGATGTAAAGGTTTTAGAGCAGAGATTGGCATAACATAAGCACACCATAACTAGAAACAATTATGATGATCTTTTCAACTCTTTGGCTTTCCATCCTCAACCTCTAATAACCTCACCTCAAGTATCATTCAGAAAACAGAAGGCATCAGATGGGAACTTTCTCGTCCTCCAACCACCAGATAAACAAACCCTCCAGCTCCGCCATCCATTTTCTCTTTCCTCCTGCTAACACCAAGGAATTAATTGCTCCTTCTTTCGCTGAAGGGCAATATCTCCCCACTTCATTTAGGGATTCCATTCCTATTTGACCATGACAGAAACCACAAGATACTGCTACACTTGGATGGGACAGGGTCCTAGCAGCTTCCCCTCCCTTCTTCTACGGTAAGAAAAACTGATTTCCAGCTAAGCACACAGATACTAAGAACAAAGGCTGTATTGCCCAGTCTCCTTTGTAGCTCAGCATGACCATGTGGCCAGATTCTGGTTAATATGACTTGAAAGAAAGGGATGTGAGTAACCTCTGGGGCACAGCCTCAGAAGGACAGCTTGCTCCTTTGTTGCCCTCGCTTCCATCCTGATGCTTGGAGTGTGGATGCAGGGTTATATTGTCCTGGACCCCCTAGACAAGGACCCTAGAGATGGAGGAACAAGCTGTATGAAGGGGCCAACTTCGTGAACAACCTCGTGTAGTAGAATGATCATTCCAGTTCTAGAACAATTATCTTGGGCTATTCATTGCAGAGGAAATAACCTTTCTTATTTAACCACTGCTACTCGAGGTCTCCCTTACATACAGCCAAACCTATATACTAATTAATACACTCAACTTCTCTTGGATTTCACTCCTCTGCATGCCCTCTCTCCATCTCCAAACTCTTACTCTCCACTAGATGGAGCTCTATGGCAAACACGCATGATCTGGTGTCTTCCATCTATAAGAGGTACGTTCTTGATTCCATATGCCCCCAGCACCATTTCTTTACTCCTTTTCCAAGCAAAACTTCCCAAAATGTCATCAGCACAGTTCTACTTCTCCTCATCCACCTCTTTGCTTCATCCAAATTGGCCTCTCGAGTCCCTGAAGCCCCAGTGGGACTGCTCTTTCTGAGGTTGCGGTTGACTTCCATGTTACAAGCCCAGTGGTATCCTCCGTTCTCTAATCATTTAGCCCCTCCATGGCTTTACACATGGTAAGTTATTTCCCCTTTCTTGATGCACTCTCTTCTCTAGCTTCTGGGACACCACAACCTCCTGGATTTCCTTCTACTCCCTTTCTGATCAGCTCCTACCTGGGGCTCTTCCCACGCTCCTGCTATGCAAATGACCTCAAGTTTTCGAGTCCCTCAGTACTTAGTCCTAGGGCCCCTTCTCCCCTAGCTCAATATTCTGTTCCTAGGAGACATCCCCCCATCACTTCCAATACTCCCTAGAGGAAGATACTCACATTTATATTTCAGCCCAGGCTGCTCCTGGGCTCTATAGGTAAGCAATGTCTCCTACGTAACATGTCCAAAACACAAGTCTTCATTTCCAGCATCCAGCACTGGCTACTGAGGACTCTTTTCTATTCCATTAAATGGCACCACTATAGTCAAACACCTGGGATCCATCTCAGTTACTCCCTTTCTAATCCATACAATCCCCACACCCAATCCATACACAAATCAAGCCCCACTGGTTTTGCCTTGAAATCTATTTGGTAGCCTTCCCATTCTCTGCACGCTCCTTTCCACCACCTACTCTAAGCCCCTATCTTCTTTCTTCCTTGGACTACTCTTATAATCTTAACTAGTCTCCTTTAAGTCACTCCTGTGCCCCTCAGCCCATTCTCCAAACAGCAGCCAGAAAGATCTTTCAAACATGTAAAGATGACCATGTCATTCCCAAGTGTCCACTCCATCAGGGCTTCCTATTGTCCCTTCCTGCAGCATGTATAATTCTGCATGCCCTGGCCTCCTCTCTAGAACCTTCCCTCACACCCCCTTCTTCCACTACGCAGGAGTCACACTGGTCTTCTGACAGTTCCTAGAGCAAACCAAGCTCTCTGGCTTATCAGCGCCCTTGCACTTGCTATTCCCATTGCCTGGAATGTTCTCCCCTGACTTTTTTTTTTTTTTTTTTTTTGAGATGGAGTCTCGCTCCATCACCCAGGCTGGAGTGCAGTGGCGTGATCTCAGCTCACTTGCAACCTCCACCTCCCGGGTTCAAGCGATTCTCCTGCCTCAGCCTCCTGAGTAGCTGGGACCACAGGCGCCCGCCACCACGCCCAGCTAATTTTTTGTATTTTTAGTAGAGACGGGGTTTCACTGTGTTAGCCAGGATGGTCTTAATCTCCTGACCTCATGACCTGCCTGCCTCAGCCTCCCAAAGTGCTGGGATTACAGGCATGAGCCACCGCACCCGGCCCCATGACTTCCTTTTAATCTTTTAGGTCTCAGCTCAAACGTCACCTCCTCAAAATGGCTTGCTAGGACTGTCCCTGTCATCCTTTATCATTTACAAAATCCTTTATGACTCATTTATTGCATCCACTTCTTTACTTCCAACATCACCTTCCCATCATTTATTGTGTCACCTTTATTTCCTTTATAGAGCTTACAATAATTTGTATTAATTTGGATTAAATACTGGAATGTGGGCATGTTTGTTATTTACTGTCTGTCTCCCCCACTGACTGTAAGTTGCCAAGAGCAGGGAATTCAGAGTCTTATTCACAGCTGTATCCTCAGAATCCATCATGGGCCTGAGACTTAGTAGGTGCTCAATAAACATTAGTAGAATGAATGAATACTCATTAGTTTGGATGGTACAATTGTGACTATGGTACTCCAAGAGAAGACTGATATGGTAGTCCCCTATTATCTGCCGTTTTGCTTTCTGCGGTTTCAATTACTTGCAGTCTGAAAATATTAAATAGAAATTTCCAGAAGTAAACAACTCATAAGTTTTAATTTGCTCACCTATTCTGAGTAGCTTGATGAAATCTCCCACCCACCCGGGACGTGAATCATCTCTTTGTCCAGTATTTTCACACTGTACCGGATACCTGCCTATTAGTCACTTTAGTAGCTGTCTTGGTTATCAGATCGACTGCCGCGCTATCCTAGTGTGCGGGCTTGAAAAAGCTTTATTTTGCTTCTTAATGGTTCCAAAGCACAGAGTAGCGATACTGGCAAGTCAGATATGCCAAAGAGAAGCTGTAAAGTGCTTCCTTAAAGTGAAAACACAAAAGTTCTCAACTTAATACAGAAAGAAAAAAGACTTATAGGCTGAGGTTGCTAATGTCTATTGTAAGAACCAATCTTTTAGTGGTGAAATTATGAAGAAGCAAAGAGAGATTTGTGCAGGGTATATATAAGGTTTGGTACCATCCTTGGTTTCAGGCATTCAGTCTTGGGGGTCTTGGAACGTACATAGCCCCTCAGATAGGGAGGAATACTGTATTTGACTTTCTTAGTTTCATCTGTTATCAACAGTAGAAAAATAAAGCTATGAAAAAAATATATATTGTCTCATTTGGGAACAAACTTTGCAAGACTGGCAGTGGGATTCTGTCTGTTAAATCAGCAAAAAGGAGCAGCCTCGCACGCGGGGAGCAACCTGCTCATGCCACTGTCTTCTTGGGTCCACAGCTGCTACCTTCTCCCTGCCCCTTATCCTGCCAAAGGCCTGGGGTGGACAGGACCCAACCCTCACACTGCTCAGAGCCTTAGGGACATGTCTAGAGCCTCTGGTTTAACTTAAAAACAAAAACAAGGCTGAAGTGAGAGCCAGTTGGTTACTAGGCTGGAGAAATGTATGGAAGAGTGAAGACTGTATGGGAGCCTTTGGGTATCTCTGAAGGTTTTGTTGGAGTCATTCGAGCTGATATCCCCTCAGTATTGAGGATATTAACAATAACACCAGCCGGGCATGGTGGCTCATGCCTGTAATCCCAGCACTCTGGGAGGCCGAGGTGAGTGGATCACGAGGTCAAGAGATCAAGACCATCCTGGTCAACATGGTGAAACTCTGTCTGTACTAAAAATACAAAAATTAGCCGGGCATGGTGGTGCGCACCTGTAGTCCCAGCTACTCGGGAGGCTGAGGCAGGAGAATCGCTTGAACCCAGGAGGCAGAGGTTGCAGTGAGCCGAGATTGTGCCACTGCATTCCAGCCCGATGAGAGAGTGAGACTCCATCTCAAAAAACAAAAACAAAACAAAAATAACACCAAGGATATTAATAATAGTACCAATAATAATTTATTCGAACTGCGCAGCGTGTGCCAGGACTTGCAACCATTTCACAAGTGTGACCCGGTTGAATCCTCAAGACAGATCTATGAGGTTGGTGTGCTTATCCCTACAGCACCAGAGACTGACTTCGCTGAGGCCAGATGCAGCAGATATCCATCGAGATCATACAGCTGGTGTGCTCAAAGCCCCACCAACCTCATCACCATGCTTGCGTTCCTACAGCATCATGCCTCCTCCCATTTGGGAATTTCTGTGCTCTGGGTCTGGGTGTCAGTGCTAAATGACCCAGCAGGAGGAGTGTGTCAGTACTTCCGAGGATGCCCAGGCTCCACCAAGTTTCCTGATCCATGCTCTCAGGGAAATACTAGGTTACTTTAATGTTCTCCCAAAGCCTGTTCTCTCATTCTTTCCTGTCTTAGTAAAGGGCACTGCCGAATCTCTGGAAATTATCCTAACTTGCTTTTAACATGTAGTAGTCGTCCTTGAAAATCCATTTCCCTTGCATATGACAAATCAACAGGTCCTATAGCCCCTGTAACCTTTTGCTAAAATGTATCCCCAATGCACCGACTTCACCCTGTCTAAGCCACTATCACTTTCAACTGACCTGCGAAAAAAAGCTCCTTGATTCCATATTGGCCATCTTTAGAATGCAACTGTGAAAAACTTATAAAAATATCAATCCATACAGCAACTGGAAAAACCTTTCAAAAATATCAATCTGGAGGCCGGGCGCAGTGGCTCACACCTGTAATCTTGGCACTTTGGGAGGCCAAGGCAGCTGGATCACCTGAGGTCGGGAGTTCAACACCAGCCTGATGAACATGGAGAAACCCCGTCTCTACTAAAAATACAAAAATTAGCCAGGTGTGGCGGTGGGCGCCTGTAATCCCCGCTACTCCGGAGGCTGAGGCAGGAGAATCGCTTGAACCCAGGAGGCAGAGGTTGCAATGAGCCAAGATCATGCCATTGCACTCCAGCCTGGGCAATAAGCGCAAAACTCCATCTCAAAAAAAAAAAAAAAAATCAATCTGATTGTGGCTCCTGCTTGAAACCCTCCAGTGACTTCTCACTGCTTGGGGAATTCAATCACAGTCAAGTTTATGTATCCCACCGGAAGGACGCAAGTTCATCTCGTCTCCTTGCTTTCTGCACCCCCTGCCCGCCACCACTGGTCTCCGGTTCCTCAAACTCACCCTGTTCACTCCCATTTCAGGACCGTTGCTCAATATAATCCTCCAACTGAAATTTTCTTCCCCAGGATCTTTGCATGTCATTCCCTGTGTTGCTAGGTTACTGAGATCTCAATGTAAATGTTACGTCCTGACAGAGGCTGCTGTGAGCTGAATTGTGTGCTCCCCCAAATTCGTATATTTTTAAAATTAATTATTATTATTTTACTTTATATTCTGGGATACATGTGCAGAATGTGCAGATTTGTTACATGGGTATACATGTGCCATGGTGTTTTCCTGCACCTATCAAGCCATAATTTGAACAATGAGAACACACGGACATAGGGAGCAGAACATCACACACCAGGGCCTGTTGCAGAGTAGGGGGAAAGGGGAGGGAGGGCATTATGACAAAATTCATATGTTAATGCCCTAACCACCAGAACCTAAGAATGTGACTATATTTGGAGAAAGGGTTATCAAAGAGGTAATTAAGTTAAAATGAGATCTTTGTGGGTGGAGGTGGGGGAGTGGGGAGATGGTCAAATTATACACAATTTCAGTTAGACAGGAAGAATAAGTGCAAGAGATCTATTGAATTATGGTTCTGTTCTTGAACGCTGCTAAGACAGTAGACTTTCAGTGTTCTCACAACAAAAGAATGATGGGTATGTGAGGTAACGCATATGTCCATTGGCTTGGGTTAGCCATTCCACAACGCATGCATATTTCAGAACAGTACCATAAATATAGAAAATTTTTATCAGTTACAATAAATAAATAGTTTTAAAATGAGGACCTCGGATGGGCCCTAATCTAGTCAAACTGATGTCTCCCTAAAAGAGGAGGTTAGGATACAGATGTGCACACACAGAGGGGTGACCACATGAGGACACAGGGAGAAGGCGGCCACCTACAAGTCCGGGAGAGAGGCCTCAGAAGAAACCCACCCTGCCCACATCTTGATCTTGGATTTCAACCTTCAGAACGGTAAGGAAATAAATCCATGGTGCTTTGTTGTTGTTGTTGTTGTTGTTGTTTTGAGACAGAGTCTCGCTCTGTCGCCCAGGCCGGAGTGTAGTGGCACAATCTTGGCTCACTGCAATCTCCGCCTCCCGGGTTAAAGTAATTCTCCTGCCTCAGCCTCCCGAGTAGCTGGGACTACAGGCGCCCGCCACCATGCCCGGCTAATTTTTGTATTTTCAGTAGAGACGGGGTTTCACCATGATGGCCAGGATGGTCTTAATCTCGTGATCTCATGATCTGCCCGCCTCAGCCTCCCAAAGTGCTGAGATTACAGGTGTAAGCCACCAAAATCCGTGTTGTTTAAGTCACCCAGTCTCTGGCAATTTTTTATGGCAGCCCTACCCAACTAATGCAGAGGCCGTCTCTGCCCATCCAGTCTCAAGAAGCCACCAGTAACTTATGATCGCATCCTCTATTTTAATTATATGCATGGGAGGTACCACTCTCATCCTTGTCCTGTGTTTTTATTCTCTCTCCCCGTCCCGAACTCTCACTCCCTAAGGGCAGATATCTGCTCACTACCCCTCGAATCGCCCACTACTGTGCATGTCACCTGGAAGTTTCTGAATACATAGCTACTGGATTATTTAGAATAAATAATTTATTATTAATAAATTAATGGAATTGAATTATTAATAAATTATTAAATTATTAATAAATTTATTATTAAATTAATAATAAATGGAACCTAGCAGAAAGTCAGGGCTGGCATCACCAGCGCTACAGCATGACACATTCAAGGCGAAGAGCATGGGGGATGAGAATGCATCCCCTGAAGCAGACACGAAAGTCCCATAAACCCTCACATATCAGTATCATAAACATAGGTTAGCCTGGATGTAACTGACAATATTTAATTGTTTTGACCTAGGAAACCAGCAATTTCCATGGCATAATGCAAGAAAATACAAAACACAATCACAGTGGAAGAAATTAACACATTCCTAACAACTTTAATCAAGAGAACAAAAATAAATATATAGAGAGAGAAAATATTTGAGGCCCGGCACAGTGGTTCACGCCTGTAATCCCAGCACTTTAGGAGGCCGAGGCAGGCATATCACGAGGTCAGGAGATCCAGACCATCCTGGCTAACACGGTGAAACCCCGTCTCTACTAAAAACACAAAAACTTAGCCAGGTGTGGTGGCGGGCGCCTGTAGTCCCAGCTACTTGGGAGGCTGAGGCAGGAGAATGGCATGAACCCAGGAGGCGGAGGTTGTGGTGAGCCGAGATTGCGCCACTGCACTCCAGCCTGGGCAACAGAGTGAGATTCCATCTCAAAAAAAAAAAAAAAGAAAGAAAATATTTGAATAACATCATAAACACACTTTCTCCTAATCATGATATATTAATTATACATTGTGAAGATACTCTTAAGTGCCCATATAATAGTTACAAAAATTAGTTGTACATATGCCATGCATACACACACAAAAACTACAAATTTCCAAAATTGGGTATAATTTAGGTCACAAAATCTACCTAAAATGCAATAAAATTAGACTTTAATAACAAAATATGAACAAAGAGCCAATCCAATTGAAATTTAAGAAACAGTCTTCACCGAGTAACCTTTGGGCAAAAGCATAATTCAAAACAACCACCACAGATATTTAGAACACACCAGTAACAAAAATATTACATATGAACACATCTAGGATTCAGTTATACCTACTGTTAGAGAAGAACTTACAGCTGCAAGTTCTTTTATATTTAAAAGGAAATAATAAATTAAAATAATTAGTAATCCAACACTAATTTGTACACTAACTGGTTCTATCAACTAATTAAATTTTTAGCAACTTCAGTCAGAAATAAGAGAGAGAGCACAAGCACTCAGTGATACAAAACAAAAAAGGTATATAATCACTGATCCAGAAGAGCTATTTCAGAATCAGAGGCTGTTTGCAGCTCTATGCCAATAAACTCAATGGAATCAGAATGATTTTCTTTGAAAGTACAATTGCCAAAATTAATTCAAACTGAGAAGAAAGTCTAAAAGTTGTACTAATTATAGAATAAATGGAAAATATTGTGTGTGTGTGTATATATATATACATATATATATATTTGTATGTATATTTATATTTTAAAAGATTCTTTTCCAGGGCAATTTCACATGTAAGCTCCTTCAAAATTTCTTGGAACAGAACATACTGGGGAAGGGGTGGTAAGGGAGATGGAGGATGGAAAAAGAAAACTTCCAATTCATTTTGCAAAGCTAGCATAACCTTGATTTCAAATCTTAACAAAGCTATCTCTGAAAAATCATGATAGAGGACAGTTTAACTCATGAAAATAGATGCACATACTCTAATAAAATACTAGAAAATAAAACCTAGCATTATTTCAAAAGGGTAACAAACTTTTGACAAAATTGGTTTTGCAGTCCAAGAAAGACAACTATATCAATGCTAATATATCATTCTATTAACAGTTTAAAGAAAAATATAAGTAATTATTTAAATAGATATCCCCTTAAGAAAGGCAGGAGTCAAAATTCAACATCCATTCTCAATTTAAAAATAAATCTTAATGACAGGAAATTAAAGTATACCTCTTTACCATGACAAAAATATAATAATAACAAAAACATTTGTTGTGTATTTATTATTTGAAAGATTCTGTGTTAAATGTTTTACCATGTTTGTTACTCCTCAGTTAAGATCAATTACAAACCAACAGTCACCATCAGGCAAAAATAAACCACACAAAGAACCATTTCCACTCTAGAAAGAAGTGAGACACTGATACCAACTGTCCTCAGTATCATTTAGCCTCATTTCGGGTCAGCCAGTGCAGTTAAACAAGAAAAAGAAATAAAAAGTAAGACTACTTAAAAGAAAGAGGCAAGATCATCCTCGTTATCAGATGATAAGAATATAGATCTAGAAAACTCAAGAGAATCAGTGGAAGAAAATGGAAACTAGTAAGAATCTTCAAGAAGGTTGGCAATGACAGAATTCACAACAGGAATACTGTGTAAAGTAGAATCTTATTCTAAAAATGTAGGTATATATGCAAATAAAGACCAAAATGTAAACTAGTCATTTTGAGTAAGATTATGAGTAGTTTTTAGTTTTGTTTTTAAACAGAGGCATAGCTTGCTATGTTGCCCAGGCTGGAGTGCAGTGGCTATTCACAGGCAGACTACAAGAATTAATCTTTTAATATCAGCAATAATTAGTGAGAGAAGGAGGAAAAAGAGAGAAAGAGAGAAGAAAATAGTGATCTTATTTACAATTATAAATGCTATATAAAATACCTGCTGTTTTAGGTGTGAAAAAAATTTTGTTATTTATTGAAACATTGTTTGCAATAGTGAAAAAGACTACTATCTTCCATGGCCAACAGCAGGGTACTCACTGAATAAATTATGCTTTAGACACATGAAAAGGTCCTATTGCAGCAATAAAAGAAGGTTTTGCAACTAGCTGGGTATTTGGTGAGATTAAGGAAGTATTGATCATTTATTTAAGTGAGACAATGGCATTGTGGATGGATTTTTTAAAGCATCCTTTTCTTTTCAGATTCATCCTTAAGATGTCACAGATGAAATGAAGTGATATCTGGAATTTGCTTCAAAATAATCAGGTGCTAGTGATGTGTGTATGATTGGGGAGTTATGGTGGGGCTATAGATGAGTAGGATTAGCTGAGTGGACAATTTTTGAAGTTGGGTGATGGGGCATGGAGATTCATTATACATACCATTCTTTCTACTTTTATATATGTTTGAAATTTTCCATAGCAAAGAAAAAGCTGTTACTAACAATGATCTACATGCATAGTTTATTTTTTATGTTCTTTTATGTTTGTTAATATGTAAATATATTTGTGATATATTATTAAGTGAGAATATCAATGGCCTTCCTTCTTTCCTTCCCTCCCCACTTCCCTTCCCTTCCCTTCCCAGCCCCTTCCTCCCTCCCTCCCTCCTTCCTTCCTTCCCCTTTCTCTCTCTCTCTCTCTCTTTCTGACAAGGTCTGTCTCTGTCACCTAGGCTAGAATGCAGTGGTGCAATCAATAGCTCACTGCAGCCTTGACCTTATGGACTCAAGTAATCCTCCTACCTCAGCCTCCCAACAGCTGGGACCTCAGGTGCATACCACCGCTCTGCTAATTTATAGAGATGGAGTCTCACCATTTTGCCTAAGATGGTCTCCAACTCCCGGGTTCAAGTGATCCTCCTGCCTCGCACTCCCAAAGTGCTGAGATTACAGGCATGAGCCACTGTGTCTGGCCAGGGAAGAGCAAATTTTGAAATATTGTATAAAGTACAATCTCATTCTAAAAATTTAGATATTTGGGATTTTGAGTAAAATTATGAGTAGCTTCCCTTCCTTCCTTCCTTCCTTCCTTTCCTTCCTTCCTTCCTTGCTTCCTTCCTTCCCTCCCTCCTTCCTTCCTTCCCTTCTTTCTTTCTTTCTTTCTTTTCATTACACACTACAGCCTCCAATTCCTGGTCTCCAGTGATCCTCCCACCTCAGCCTCCCAAGTAACTGGGACTACAAGCATATGCCACCATGCCCGGCTATTTTTTCTTTTACTCACTGCATTTTCACATGTTTCTAAAGTGAAAATATTTTAATTGAGTAATAAAAATTGTTAAAGTAAAAAACATGGGAAAAAACTGAATAGGAACCATATTCAACAAGAAAACAGAATAGTCATGTCTGCTGGTCAAGCTACTTCCTTCCTCATATCAATAAACTTAAACCAAAATATTCATATTCCCAGGCATTCAGGACATCACCTTTTCTTTTCTATCATTCTGATAAGAGCTGGAATTATTTCTCCTGAATCCTCCTTCCAAGGCTGGATGCAGTGTTCTGCCTCTAAGAGGTTCCCAATTCATGTCATTTAAACAAGTAAACGCATTTTGAGATTCTGGACAAAATATCCTGGGGTCCTATAAGGTCTGAATGGACATTTCACCCAATAAAAGAACCTTCCTCTGAACTGGGATCTGGTTCCTTTGGAGAGAAACTGAAGTTAGTCCTGACTCCCATGTGAGAAAATCTTTCCGTGATTCCCCAGAAACATTTCTTTCCTAGTAACAGCTACGATTTTCCTTACAAACATTCCAGCATCATTCAAATGCATAACTTGGGTCAAGGGCAGAATGAGTGGGAGTGCAACCGAGAGGTACAAGCCAAGAACTACAGGAGAAAGGGAGGGAGCAGAATGAAGGCGGTAGATGTACCACAGAGGGCTTCCCAGAGGAAGTAGCATTTCAGTAAGTCTTAGGGGATAAGGCTTCCGTAGGTGGTCAAAGGGGTATGGGAATTCCTAGGGCAGAGAATAGCAAAAACAAAAGCATAGAATTGTGTAAGCCCAGGATATGTGGATGTGTGCCCTTTGAATCTGTTCCTGAATCTTCAGTAGGGAAGGACACACAGATATGCTCTAGTCCCTCATATGGTCTGGTCTGTGGGGTAGATGTTAGATGGGCAGGGGTGAGGCCACTCTGAAAAACAAGGCCCCCCTTGTTGCAGGCACACTCATTCCTGCTGAGGTGGCCAGTGGTATAGTTCATGGTCTTGGATGCATTTCCTACACGGGGGTCTCACCTACGAGTTCAGGAGTTCGAGACCATCCTGGCTAACACAGTAAAACCTTGTCTCTACTAAAAATACAAAATATTAGCCAGGCGTGGTGGCACGTGCCTGTAATCCCAGCTATTCAGGAGGCTGAGGCAGGAAAATCGCTTGAACCCACGAGACTGACGTTGCAGTGAGCCAAGATCGCGCCATTGCACTCCTGCCTGGGCTACAGAGTGAGACTCCATCTCAAAAAAAAAAAAAAAAAGAGAGAGAGAGAGACACAGAGCCACACCACCAGCACCACCCTGCCTCTCATTCCAACCACTGTCACTGCAGCCACAAGCTTCTACAAAGTGCACAAGAGCCCTTTCCCAGCTACGCTAATCTGTGTCTTGACCACAGGTTTTCATAGTAAACACAGACCTCTGCAGCATGGGCGCATAGTCTGTACAAGCCCAGGGGCAAAAAGGGAAATTGATTCCTGTCCCATCAGTCCCTCGCTCAAAGTAAGCTCTCATTAAATGCATATTGGATCAAACTTGATTAATTCCACAAAGGCCTCCAAACTGTCAGTAGGATTCATTTTTTAAAAGGTGTCAAAATCATTATTTCAAACAATAAAATGACACCCCTTCTCCCCTTTTTAAGACAAAACTTTTCCCAACTGCAAGGCAAGATTTGCTCCTCTCAAGGATTGAGGGGTGGTGGGATATGTCCCCCAGATGTATCATTTGCAACAAGCTGAAGGGAAGAAAGCAAACGGCAGCAACTCCTGCAAAAATCATGCAACACCTCCAAGTCTCAGAATGAGGAATCCATCCCTGTCTGTCTGACACACCAAATGGGATGTGCAAACCTAATCCCAACTCAGACTTCTAACAACTCATTTGAAGTTCCTCAGATCAAACTGGAATAAGCAGACACCCTAACTGCAGAGCCTCATCCAGGAAGACTTACTTCTGGGGTGCATGTGTGTATAGAAGCACATATATCAATTAAACCTTGGAGTCAGTGAATATTTTCCAGGGTTTTGCCTTTGATGATTTCATATCAGCCAAAAGACACATGTGTTAGCAAGATGGCCCGTGTTTAGCATCCTGAGCTGAGTAGCAGGCCACAGGGCCAGCTGGAGAGGGCTCAGTTAAGAAACCAAAGAATTGAGTCATCCTGGGGAAACAGATCAACTGTGGTTAGAAGAAGTAGAGGTGGACAGAGGAATGGAGCCCTGGACAAGGAGGATCTGGGTTGAACATATCACTAAATTGCTTTGGTCCCAGCCATAAGAACTGTATCTCATGACTGCTGCAAAGTTTAAGTAGGATTCATGCCAGTGAAAATATAAAGTGCTATAGAAGTCTAATACAGCATCAATAGAATCATTAAAAAACAGGATGAATTCCAAGGGACATCTGAATTATTTTATTATAGAGAACTTTGTTCAAATGAGCACATAACCAGAAGCCATTCCTCAATGAGGAACTCCTATTTGAACCCATACAGAGAGAGAAGAAAATGCACTAAAAACATGGGGCAGACACTGTGAATTACCTACCTAGTAGTCAATTTGTCTCCCTCCTTCCCTGCCAATAAATTCCACATTATTTGGGGCAGCAATATATGTGCAGCTAAATGAGGGTCACTGACACTGCCCTTCTCCATTCCTGTTGCCTGGAATGTAGATAAAAAGCCTGGAGCTCGGGCAGCCATGTTGCAATCATGAGGTAACAAGCATAAAGATGGAAGCCAACCCTGTAAGGATGATGGAAGAGAAGATGGAAAACATCTGGTTCTCTGAAGGTGTTGCTGAGCAACTAAACCAACTCCAGAAATTGCCTACTTTGGGACTTTTGACTAGGTGAGAAAATCAACCTTTATTTGGTTAAGCCAAATAAAGTCTTCAGTTTTCTGTTACTTGAAGTTGAACATAATCCCAAATGATATGAATCATTTCCTTACTTTTTACTAGATGAGGTAGGGGGAGGATTGTGCATGCCTACGTGTTTGTACAAGTGCATGTAAATGTGTGTATGTCTGTGTGTGTGGTTTTGAGGTAGTAGTATTAGAGTCAGTTTTCTAATGGAGGCTTTCCTGTGAAGTGTAAGAATTTCCAAACAAGGAAAACTTAGGAGAACTAAAAAGGAACTGGGGAACAACAACCTACCAAAAAAACTATCAAGTCTGAAGCGCAAAGCACACAAAAAGCTTCAGCTAAACAATTCTATAGATTATTTTCCAATATGCCTCCTTAATAGCAATAGAAGCAATATAAGAGATAAGTTTCTCCACAGCACAGAACAGAACTGGAATTTTCCCATTAGTCACTAAAGTTTTCTGCTCTTGAAATCCAAAACTGCACCTTACTTTCATTATATGCTTCTTCCCTGTTCCAACAATAAAGGTGGCTGGCATCTGCAACGTTACATGACATCTATGCATTAGAAAATATTTACTGAGTTCATATGGCATGGTGCTAGGGTTATATATAAGCTTTGTGCAGTATCTGCTGACACCACTTTAATGTAATTGGCTTATTTTCCTTAATTCAGATTCAAAAGAACAGAAAAATTAGCACGTGCATGCATTTATTCAACATGAGGCTTTAGACCCACTTAATTTTAATTCTGTAGTAGACAAGTGGCTGTGCTTTAATAGAGGCAGGATGGAGAAATAGAAAGAAAATCAGACCTTGAATCAGAAAACTTGAGTTGAAGTTTTGGTTTTAATATCCACTGGTGTGCAATGGTAGACAAATTGCTTAAACCTCCTGAATCTCCTTACAGAATCACCTATTAAATGGAAACAATTACTTCTTCTTCAATAGATTCATATGATGATTAACTGATACATATATACATTTACAAACTATGTACATATATAGTTGCTTTCAAAGAGTGCTATATAAATGCAATTTATTGCATATTTTGTCTAAAAGAGCAGTAAGTATCAGTTAATATTCATGTGGGCACACTTAATAGAGTTGAATCCTGCGAAGTTAAGAGATTATGACTTCACTTATCAAATGAAAAACTTGAAGATTGGGTTGGGACAATATCTAGGTCTGGTGCTCCAAATTCAATGATCTTTACACTTCGCTAGATCAATGAAACTATCCTGGAGCAAATCATATACAAACAGCAGGACTGTTTTTTAATGTAAACCTATTTTGAGCTCTCCACTCTATAAACCTGAATGTGGAATGTGGTTTTGGGGAAAATTGGAGTGAATGATTCCATCTAAATCCCAGTTTGCAGGCTCAAGTCTAAGTGAGGGCTCCTCCTCCCACTTGCTGCTTGGCAGCTGCCCCTCTGGGTTGGGGCTGGACAGATGCTTATTCATTTGTCTCTCCGGGTTACAATGGTGAATATGCAGTGTGATAGCAGATGGAATACCATGTATCTGGATGAAGCTGGAAACCAGCATTCTCAGCAAACTATCACAAGGACAGAAAACCAAATACCGCATGTTCTCACTCATAGGTGGGAATTGAACAATGAGAACACTTGAACACAGGGCTGGGAACACCACACACTGGGGCCTGTCGGCAGGTGGGGGACTGGGGGAGGGATAGCATTAGGAGAAATACCTAATGTAAATGATGAGTTGATGGGTGCAGCAAACCAACATGGCACATGTATACCTATATATCAAACCTGCATGTTGTGCACAGGTACCCCAGAACTTAAAGTATTAAAAAAAAAAAAGAAGAAATACCACGTATCTAGTCCAAATCCTTTGCTCTCTTGCCCCTTCCCTACCTTCTATGGAGAAAGAACTTTCGATCTTGTTGAATCGCCTCTAGAACTCTACTCTGATGTTAAAAATCTGGGCAACAAGTGAATAAGAGAACTATGCAGAGCAAGAGTGTCTGCTGATTTACATAGTAAAGAGAGGTGGTAACACCTGCAGACGCACTTAGGTTAAGTTTGGGGACCTCTTTTGAAAAAGGAGTATTTGGGGAAGCAGCTTCTGTGGCTATGAAAGGCATTGAGAGTGAGGAAGATGAGGAAAGGTTTTGTAAAGATAATTTGGCCTATGCCACAAATGTATCATAGATCCCTTTGGATTTTCTTCCAAGAGACCAAGCAAAGATTGAAATTGCTCTTAAAAGAGAAAAAAAAACTTTTATGCATTTGACCATTGCTTACTTAAATGTCACATCAACGCAAGATAGCCAGCTGAAGTCACTCTTGCTTTGTGTGAGTTATATTTTGAGAATGTTCTAGGATCAGTGATGTTTTCAAGTACTTTTTAGTCATGCTTGGTTGTTCCTGAAAGAAACAGATACCCTGAATAGCTTTACACTTATTTTAAAAATTGAACTTGTAGTTTAAAATCTTCCTACAAAAAATAAACAAAAATTCTAGGCATTGATGCCTTCACTGGTAAAGTTCTATAAAAATTCTTCCACAAAATTGAGAGAAAAAAACATTTTTCGGCATATTTTATGAGGTCAGCATTACTCTGATACCAAACCAAAATGACAAGAAAACAGAACTATGGACCAATATGCTTTATGAACATAGACACAAAAAGTTCTTAACAAAATTTTAGCAAATAAAATATAATAATATATAAAAATGGTAAGATATTATGACCAAGTAAGATTTATCTTTGGAATGCAAGGTTAGTTTAACATTTGAAAACCAATCAATGTAATTTTCCATGTTAACAGGCTAAAAGGAAAAACTGTATCATCATCTCAACAGATACAAAAGATGCACTTGACCCAATCCAATATCCACTCCTCATAAAAACTCTCCACAAACTAGCTATTAATGAAAACTCTTCCTATTTGATAAAGGGCATCTCCAAAATACATAGAACTAACATCACAATGCAAAAGACTGCTTTCCCCCTAAGATTAGAAAATAAGTTGTCACCACTTTGACTGTATGTTATACATGATATATTATATACATCCTTGCTGGAGCAATAAGGCAAGAAAAAGAAAAAAAGGCATCTAAATAATAAGGGAAGAAGTAAAACTAGCTTTACTTGCAGATGGTATAATTGTTTGTAAAAATTCTAAAAATCTATGAAAAAGCTAATAAAACTGATAGGACTATGCAAGTTTGTAGGACAAGGTGTTTATATAAAAAGCAATTGTATTTTTATATACCACCAATAAACAATCAGAAATTGAAATGCTCAGTTCTTTAAGAAGGTGATTATGAATGCGAATGTAAACACCACTATCATGATGTTGTCTCAAGAATTCCCTTTGAACAAATCCTGCCATTCAAGGCCTCCATTTCTATTTCCAGCCCTCTTCTCTAACTTGCTCTCATGCCATTCAACCCATTGAGCACGCTGCTTCAAAAGGGGAGATCTATTCCCTCTCCTATGAGGCCTGATGTTTCTACCCTGATAGTTTTCCTTAAATCAACCCATTCCTATCTTGGTCTATTCCTCCACAGCTTTCTGACCATTCAAGTCTTATTTACCCTTAAAGGTCATAGTCAATATCCAACAGCTCTCAGGCTACCTTCTTGAACATTTGAACCTCTGGCACTAGGCCTGGTATGCAGCAGGCACTCAACAAAGCTCAAGAGAGTGAATGAACTTTCAGCATGCTCCTATTTATGTGGATGTCCATATACAATTCTCATCTGTACTCCTGAATTCATGCTAGTCTACCTGTTGTATTGCAACCTCTCTCGCCAGACGCCTACATGCAGCACCTTATTCTTAAGGATAATAAGTGAACATTTCCATAATCAGTCTTGTACATATTTTAAATCCTTACACAGCTATTATATTTAACTATTTATGCATATACATCTTGTTTACTCAGATGGTAAGTTCTCAGTGGGCAGAGAATCCCATCATTTGTTGCATTTGTTTGCACAGATTAATGACTCTCAATCTACCTGGAGTAAATTTCAATCACAGCCATCGTAGATCCTAAAAGTAGTTTCAAAACAGGACTTGCAAGGTGCTTTAGCAAACCTTTATGTAGCACCAACATAAACAGAAACGCCACCAAGGCTTGTTGATTCAGTGGCTCTTATTTAAGAATGTTTACATAGGAAAACATTTCGCTCCTTCTTAGAAAAAGACAAGGCTCAGAACGCCCAAGCAGCCCTTTTGACTCACTCGAGCCCACAGACCTGAGGGTGCTGGCCAGCCTCAGCTAAACCTTTATTACCCTCAAAGTCACCACAAGCTTCTTTTACAGGAAAATCTAAGGAGCCAGGTGTTTGCCCAGAGCAGCACTGAGAGCGTGAGCCTGCTAATGAAAACTGAAAATGCAGGTCATTTCCTTAGCCTCCTCTCTCTCTCTCCCTCTTTCTCTCTCTCTTTTTGCTCTTTGCTATTCTTGGTGACAGTGACCTTACGGCTATGGATAAAAAATAATAGAAGGGTGGGAGGCAATACCCAACCACGGGAGTTGGGAGAACCTATCTTATAAGCTCTTGTAACCACTGCAGGCACCACCACAAGAAACTGTTTGACCTTGAACAAGTGAGTCAGCCTTCCTAAGACTCTATTACCAAGGTGGTAATAGAAATAATAATATTACTGACCTTACAGGATTCCCATGTAACAGCCTCTTAGGAAGAGGGCTCACATGGACCACAGGGCATTGCAGAGTTTCCGGTCCTGAAAACTATGGAGGAAATGGCCTGAGATCACCTGGATTATTGTGTGACACTGATCCTAGCTCCCTAATAGTAATAATACAAAGGGCTACCATTTTGTGCACATCAAACATGTTCCAGGACTGTCTTTGTTGCTTTATGTTTATTGTCTCGTACCTCTACGAGGGTCTAACAAGTTGATATGAGTATTCTTAAGTAGAGAAAAGCAAGCAGAGACCCAGCAAGGTTAAGCAGTGTCTTTGCTCAAGGTTACATGCCTCACCCTCTCTTTCTACGATGACAGTGCTTCTCTGGTTGCCCTGGAGCTGAAGTTGTGGCCCGAGGAAGACCTGCAAGCCCTGAACTCTCACCCAGGACTCTTGCAAATAATTGCAGGAAGCATGCTTGTAGCTGCACCACAAGGAGTGAAGCCAGCAACCCCAAACTGGCCACTCAGGAGGGCTCCACAGCACTTACAAGACTTTGCTGTTTTAGCTTCTTTCTGTGGAAAACACGAGGCTGCTTCTCTGTGGCTCACTCTTAAATGGCCCCGAAGTGCACCCCAGCCTCTCCAAGGCTTGGCTGGCAGTGTCTCTGCCTGCCTCGGCCACCCAGCTCCACCTTCCTGCCCTGCCCCGCCTCCTCAGAGGCCCCATTTCCTTTAATCTAATTCTTATGGGGAAAGAAACGCCACGTGTATTAAAGTGCAGGCTTATCTATTTCATCACAGATCTAAGCCACGGTGATAAATCCCTAAGCTAAACACACACAAAGGGAAATACGAAGCTTGAATACAGAGCAGAATAAAGAAGCAGGGCAGGGATAAATGTGGCCTTCGCCCAGCTGCTAGCTGGCGGCCCACCCACAGCGGGGTCTTGATCTGGGAGAGGCTGCTCCTGCCTCCTCGCAGGGGTAGGCGGATGGAGCTGAGGCAACGTCCATATCAACATACTTTCTAGATAGCTCTGGCTAAACTTTCACAAATGTTCTAGTTAGGAAAAACTGGCTTTGTTGCATCTTGTAAAACTTCTGAATAATCTAAAGTGATTGCCTTATCTTCACTCAACACATATGGGCGAGGAGACACAGGACAGGAGAGTCCAGAGCTCCTGAGAGTGCAGGTGCAGGGACCCAAAGATGAATAGGACGCAGCCTCTGATTTCAGGAGGCTCAGTTGGGACACAGACTTAGGGACTCTCTGCAGGGATTTCCCCAATGCCTTGGCTTTGTTGTGGGGTAACATTCTGCAGCCTCCATATCAGAACCAAAAGTAGGGAAAAACAGCATCCTTAGAGCTTTCACTAATCTCTCCAGGAGTCTCCCAGTGACCCTCCCCATTCTAAGCACTCACAGTCCATCTAGCGACATAACTGCTCATATTTACAGTGGAAAGCACAGAGGACAGCCACAGCAGCTCACTTCACCTGATATTTTTTAATACCAACGGTTTGTGGTAGAAGCATTACACAGTCCCCTTGTGGGCCACACTGTGACACAAATCATTAATAGCCCCCAATAGCCATTCTTCTCTAGTCAAAGAACTCCCATATTTTAATTGATCACAAGGCCACTGAAAAGAAAAACCACATTAGTTAATGTGATGTAAGTAGGAGTGGTATGACAACTTCAAACAAGTGTTCTTAAAGAAACGAGGTATGATCTTCTTGGTCCTTTCTCCCTCCTGATGTCTGGAACGCAGACATGATGGCATGAGCTCAGGCAGCCATCTTGGGCTATGACATGGAAGGCACGTGCTTAGGAAGCCAGAGCAACCAGATAGAAGGAATCTGGTTGCCTGGACACTGTAGAGCCCATATTCTCCCTGAATCCCTGAACTGACTTCTTTCACAGAAGAGAGAAACTTCTCTTCTGTAGCAGTAACTTTTACTTTAGATAATTCAGTTATTTGTGAGCATACATAATTATAATCGTTGCACTCTGTATAACGTATTAAATAAGGGCATTCATTCTGTCACTTGTTTATTCAAGAAATAGTTATTGAATGCCTACTAAGTGCCAAGATCTGTGCAAAATGCACTGGCACTGTGAATAGAGTGAGCAAAGCAGACATATCCCTGTACTCAAGGCACTTACAGTCCAATGCATCATTATTGATTTGCTTATCATTCTGATGAGATATGCCCATGGCTACACTCAGGTCTAGATCTCTGGGAGAAGAAAGTCTGTATACGTACATGCGGGGTGTGTGTGTGTGTGTGTGTGTGTGTGTGTGTGTGTGTGAGAGAGAGAGAGAGAGAGAGAGAGAGAGAGAGAGAGAGAAAGAGAAACCGGGGATGGGGAGGGAGAGACCAGATTCTTTGACTTCCCTTGTAATTACTCTGGCAACGTCCACTGGAGAACTGAACACCCCAGCTCAGCTCATCTGCCAAAACTCAAACATTTCCAATTTTCCTTTGGGTAAGACCTCTCAGCTATTCATTTCAAGTCCTTGGATTGACCTGGTCATGCTCATCAACTGTTTGGTCTGGCCAAAAGTCCTTGGAATCATCTGTGACTCCTGTCTTCCCCTCGTACCCTCCATACAATCCATTAGCAAATACCTACAAATAAATCCTGAACTCTCCTTTAGATATTAGTATTAAAACAATGACAAATTTCATAAACCTGGTAATTGTATCATAGTTATGTAAGTGAACATCCTTGAACTGAGAAGATACCTATTGAAGTCGTCCTGAATGAAGAGTCATAATATTGGCAACTTGTTCTCACATGGTTCAAAAATGATGATGATGATGATGGTGATGATGGTCGTGGTGATGATGGTGTTGACAGCAGTGGTGATGATGATAATGGTGGTGATGGTGATGATGGTGGTGGTGATGTCAATGGCAGTGGTGATGGTCATGGTGAGGATGATGATGGTATTGGTGATGGTGAGGATGATGATGGTGGTGGTGGTGGTGACAACGATGATGATGATGTTAAGGAAAAGGAGAGGGAGGAAGACAGAGAGATAAAGAGAAGCAAATATGTTACAACGTTAACAACTAGTAAGGGGGTATGGGTGTTCACTGTATCATTCTTGCAAATATTCCATTGGTTTGAAATTGTTCAAAATAACAAGTTAAGAAAAATAAACCCTGAAGAAAGTCTTTCTCACATCTTCCATCACTGACATTCCAGTCCAAGTCCCATCTCCCTCCCATCACCCGGGTGATGCAATAGTTTCCACTTCCTAGGCCACCTCCCCTCCGCCACCTTTGCCCCTCCAGAATCTAGTCTCAGCCAGGTGCAACGGCTCACACCTGTAATCCCAGCATTTTAGGAGGCTGAGACGGGCGGATCACTTGAGGTCAGGAGTTTAAGACCAGCCTGGTCGACATGGTGAAACCCTGTCTCTACTAAAAATACAAAAATTAGCCAGGCATGGTGGCACGAGCCTGTAATTCCAGCTACTTGAGAGGCTTAGGCAGGAGAATTGCTTGAACCCCAGAGGCGGAGGTTGCAGTGAACAGAGATTGCACCACTGCACACTCCAACTTGGGTGACACAGCAAGACTGCATCTCAAAAAAAAAACAAAAACAAAAAACAGAATCTAGTCTCAAGATGGTGGCCAGAGTGATTATGAAAACCACATGTCAGATCATATCTCTACTCGCTATAAGCCCTACAAGAACTCCCATGACATCCAGAATGAAACTCAAGATGTAGTGTGACCCATAAGGCCCCTCATCTCTGACTTCTAGCCCTTAACATGTCTCTATCCTGGCTCTCTCTACTCCAACCACTCTGGTCTCTTCTTCATACCAAGCAGGATTTCACTTCTGCCCTAAACACCCTTTCTCCAGATGGTCACACATGGCTCAGTCATTTGGGTCTCGGCTTCAGTGGTCCTTCCTCAAATCAGGTTCCTTCATTTCACTTCTCATCACTTCCTACTTTCTTTTCCTGCTCTCTTTCTCTTCAAAGCCTTATTGCCTGATTTCAAGTATATGTCCGTGGGTTTATTTTCTGCCTCCTCCAGCTGAATGTAAACACCATGAGACTAGGGACTTTGTTTTGTTCACTGTATTGCTGACGCTTGACATCCAATAAAGGACCAAAATCACTTTTGAATGAACGAAGGAATCAATGAATCTGGAGTCCCATCTTGCCATCCTCCTTCTCTGGCTCTCAAGGTGCTGCTAATGAACTATGCTCCTCACATCTCCTCCTCTGTGGGTTTCTCACTGTAGGCCCCCAAAAGCCTCCTCTCCAAGCCCCTTTGGAGGGTCCAACCTTGCCCCATTCCCACGCCATTAGAACAACTGAGCCATTTGCCACCTCCACAGCAGCGACCCCTACCTGCTCCCACACATCTTCCACCCCACCAGGGACACAGTCCATATGTTTAATGAAAAAAAAAAAAAATTCCTCCTGCTCAGAGCAGCCTTCCACACTAGAACACAGAGTTCCAGTTCCTTCCTGGCTGTTGTCCCAAATCTTTAATCACTCCTGTCTGTTTACAGAAAAGCCACAACCAATCTTTCCAAAGGAATTGATCACTGTGCCCTTCTGCAAACCTTTAGTCCCTTATGCATCGCCGTTTTCCAGGCTCTTGTGGACCCCCGTTTTCCATCCTCCAGGAGTACCCTCCACTCTCCTCCTCGCCCATTCAATCTTACCTGCCCTTCAAGCACTTGGTGATGATCACTCCGACCACACAACCTCCCTCTGAGCGTTCTGAGCATGTGGCCTATAATTCTGGAGGGGCACCTGTAGAGTCAATTATTTTCTTGTATTGTCTCGTCTTTCTGCTCCTGGAGTTAAGCCCCTGAGGCCAGGACTGTGTCTAATCCACCTTTCAGCTCCTGTAGGCCCTAACGAAGTGTTCAGTACACAGTTGGTGTGGCACATCTAGCTACGGATGCCGTCTCCTCCTCCATCTTTGGTTTCCCAAATAGCCTTTACTCTGTAGGCAACGGACATTAAGCCCATGAGGAAAAGACCGCTAAAGGCCACTCAGATGGAGGCTGGGCTCTCCCTCCTGGTGAGAGCTCCACGCTCCACATCCCTGGGGGCCAGGAGCATATGGCTGCTCTCCCTCACTTCCTGCTGCTCAGGGCCGCCCTTGCCCAGCACCCTCTCGCTCCTGTCACTGCACCGCGCTCTGTTGCTTCCTTCGTTTTGCCAACTCATGGAGGTAATTGCGAATTCTAACCCTGTCCTCCGTGCTTTGGCTTTCCCTCTGACCGGCACCTCATTTTGGGAACAGCCCGGCCATATTCTAAATCCTCTGGCTCCCTGGGTGTAGGGGTGAGTGATTAGTGAGCCAGCTCCGTGGTTCTCCTTTCTCCCCCGGCCACGTGGGGAAAGTAGGCTCTCTCTGTCCCCAATTCGGGCTGCCTCCTTGATGGGAGGGGCAGGGGATGGGTCCTTTCTGGCCAAGCCTGTGCAGCCACCAGGCAGGACGAAGCCCTAAGGGTGGGACAAGTTGGGCACAGCTGGTCCCATCATCACAAGGGCAGCTCCTCTGGCTTCTGGAAAGCTTTGCTTCTGGGCACACCTGTCCTTAAGGCAATCCTATGCTGAGAAAAGCCACTTATGTCCCAGGAGAAGAACACAGGTGCTTAGCACTCCCTTCCTGAATGGCATAAAATGATGCGCTTCCTCGCAGGACAAGCCTGGCACTGAGAACAGAATGGTGATTTGGCCATAAGTTTCGCCTGGGCTCTGACCCTGGGTCACAGAATCCCAAGAGAAGTGCAGCCAGTGAGAGAGTGAGTCCTGGACACTGGGCTGCCTAGGTCAGACCACACCCTGACATCGACAAGCCCTGCGCCTGCGGGCAGGCTGCCCATCACTCCATGTCGCTGTAGCCTCCTATCTACTGGGAGGGGGACACTGCCTACACGAGGACTATGATAATGAAGGCTCCTAGCCCAGGGCGTGGACAGTCAGCCCTCAACAAATCCCAGCTACTGTTTCTATTATGACACACGAAAAGTAGGACCTTGGAAGTTGCTAGGCCAGCCTTCCTCTCAAGCTGGAAATGCCCAAGTTGCTCCTCTCCTTTGCTTAAAATCATCACGGAGTGAGCAGCTCGTTGCATGGCAAGGTGGTCCGACCTGGAGCAGAGGGGCTCACATCAGGAGAACGCCTGCCCTTGTGCTGAGCAAGCAGTGGCCTCCTCTGGTGTCCTCCCCACAGCCCTAGATCCATGCACTGGGACAAATGAGAAGTGTAGACACACGGCTTCAGAACAGGATTCACGTAGCTGGAGGGGGCTCCCGGGGCCCTGTCTGTACCTCTGGTCAATTTGACCTCAGGGCTTGAGCTCTAGGGTCTGTGTTTAGCGCCCAGATCAGTCAGCACCCCCTCCTGGCTGTGTGACCTTGGTTAAGCTTCTAATCCCCATTGAACCTGTTTCCTCATCTATGAAGTGGGCATTATAATGGTACCTGCCTCATGGGCTTGTTACAAGAATTAGATAGGTCAGTCCATGGAAAGCATTTTAAAAGTACTGTTAGTTGCTAATATGATTTGAAGAACAGCGTTCTCCAGCTTTCCTGGGAGCCGTATCACTCTCTCTGGCAGGCCAGGGGCACGAGTGTCTACAACAAGACACAGGAACTCAGGCATCACACTCCAGCCATGAAAACAGCTGGCATGCCACCACCTTGGATCTGGATTCCAGGTTGTTTCAAAGCAGTCTAAAGACATAGCTGTTTCCAGACATCTCAACTTGCTCTGTTCTTTCATCCTAAACCTTCGTGACTCTGCCATATGACCTACTGTTCCCCGTGGGACTTACTGGGACTTCTGACCCAAATATGGGGTTCACATCATTGCTAGTCACTTTGTGAGTACTTACTGGACAGCTTGAGTATGCCAGGCTCTGAGCCAGGGATTAGAGATTGTCAGGTGAGCTATGCTGATACCAGACACACCTTAGAGAAACCAGACAGCCCAGAGGTGGTTAAGTCAATCTTCACAACACAAGTAGGAGAGTTTATACCCAGTTTACAGATCAGGAAACTGAAGCACGGAAGGTTAAGTAAAGTGATCAAGCCCTACTTCCAGCTAGTGAAGGCAGAGCGGGGTTCCAAACTGGGGCCAACAGTCCTAGTCAGCCCGCTCCACTGCCTCTCTGCAAGGACGGAGGAGCCCAGGATGCCACCAAGGACCAGTGGAGAAAGGCCCCCGGGCAGGGAGCCAGGGAAGTGAGAGCCACGCGGGAGCCTGGGAGATAAGGAAGAGCAGGCTAGGCTGAGGGAAAGTGAACGAAAAGAGAACATTCCAGACCAAGCAAAGAGCAGAGCATGGCTGGGGAGCTATAGAAGACAGAGAGTGAGTCCCCATAAGGACCCAAATGTGTTTGAGTAGGCAGAGCTTTGGTGTCCATGGAAGGAGTGGCAGGGTTTCTGATGGCAGAGCCAAAAAAGAAGCTGTTCCCAGAACCCCCCAAAACTGTGGGAAGGAGGGTGCCTGGTAGTGGAGCGGAGGAGATGGGCTGAGGAGGAGGTAAGGGGAGCTGAAGGAGAGGCAGCAGGTGTAGATAAGTGTTTTGCAAAGTTTGGCTGTCGGGGAGAGAAGAGACAGGAAGAGTGTGAAAAGGAGGGTGGGCTCATCCTACGTGAGGGTGAAGAGGCTGAACATATCCCCAGGCTGGAGGAGCAGAGCTGCTAGAGAAGGGCGCAGGAGGGGAAGGGTGGAAGTCCAGAGAGCAAGATTCTGTGGACCAGGAACAGATGGGGTCCCAGGCACAGAAGGAAAGGTGAGCTTTGGCCAGCAGAGGGGGTCTTGTTAAATGGAAAATGGGGCTGGGCGTGGTGGCTCACGCCTGTAATCCCAGCACTTTGGGAGGCTGAAGCAGGCAGATCACCTGAGGTCAGGAGTTAGAAACCAGCCTGGCCAACATGGTGAAACCCCGTCTCTGCTAAAAATACAAAAAAAAAAAAAAAAAAAAAAAAAAAAAAGCCAGGCGTGGTGGTGTGCACCTGTAATTCCAGCTACTTGGGAGGCTGAGGCAGGAGAACCGCTTGAACCTGGGAGGCAGAGATAGCAGTTAGCTGAGATCACGCCACTGCACTCCAGCCTGGGTGACAAGAGTGAAACTCCATCTCGAAATAAAAAATAAATAAATAAAATGGAACTTGGTGTATCTGCGCCATGCAAGACATGTTGAATCCCGAGTTTGTCATCATCTGAGGGGTGCTGACCATCCCTCCCAGTGATGTGTCACTTATAAATTTAATAACCATGCTTTCAACCTCATCACCTAAGTGATAGAAAAAAGCCACTGAGAAGGTCATGGCTGAGGAGAACCAAGGCCTGCCCAGGTCCCTCCCTTCCTGCACCCCTCCCCTCTGTACCCTTCTCCACCAGCTCTCTTTCTCCAGCATGGGCATGTTTTCATATTTCCCCCCACCCTTCACCCCTCACATAGGATGAGCACACCCTGTTTCACACCCTTCCCGCCTCTTCTCTCCCTGACAGCCGAGCTTTGCAAAGAACAGTTGTCTACACCTGCTGCCTCTCCATTTGCACCCTAGAGACCCTGGGCCCTGCTGCAACATGATTCATTCATCAGGCCTCATGAACCCTGGTTCAACCAGCTATAAAATCAGAATCAAGCAATACCTTGGCTACAGCCTCAGGGAAGGAAAGAGGGGAATGGGACCTGACATTGGCAGGGCACCTCCTGGGCTCACAGCTCTGTGTTTGCCATCCATTCCCCTATGGGATCCCAGAGAAGGACGTGTCTCTAGTCACATTCCACGTGGAAGGAAATACCGCATGGAAGATGGCTGGGACTTTCAGAGAGGGGCTGACAAACTAGAGCCCACAGGCCAAACCCTGCCCGTTACCTGCTACTGTAAATGACATTTTATGGAAACATATGTCCAAATTTTATGAAAACACGCATCCATTCATTTACTTATCATCTATGGCTGCTCTTGTGCTTCAAGGGCAGAACTGGGTAGTTGCCACAGAGATCTTATGGCCTGCAGAGCCTAAAATATTGACGATCTGGCCCTTTCTGGAAAACGTTTGCCAACTCCTATTTAAGAGCCCTGGACTAAGGTCCAGGCTGTCCAAACCAAGGGGCAATTTGGTCTTTGGTTTGTCTTACTGTGAAACCTACAAGCTCTTTCTACATCACCTTGGCCCCTCTATAGGAGGGTGTCTTCCTGTGGAAAGAGAAGTCAGGGAAAGTCATAGAAAGTTCTCTCATTAACCTGTGCTGTCCACTACTTGGCAATCAGAAAACAGAAATCAGATCATCACACTTAAATACACTCCTCACCGAGCACGGCGGCTCACGCCTGTAATCCCAGCACTTTGGGAGGCGAAGGCGAGCAGCTCACGAGCTCAGGAGTTTGAGACTAGCCTGACCAACATGGTGAAACCCTGTCTCTATTAAAAATACAAAAATTAGCTGGGGGTGGTGATGCACACCTGTAATCCCAGCTACTCAGGAGACTGAGGCAGGAGAATCTCTTGAACCCGGGAGGTGGAGGTTGCAGTGAGCTGAGATTGCACCACTGCACTCCAGCCTGGATGACAGAGCAAGACTCTGTCTCTAAAAACATAAAAACTTACAAAATAAAAATAAATAGGTAAAATTAATTTTAACAATTAGTGCTCAACAGTCGCATGTGGCTAGGAACCAATATATTGGAGAGTGAAGACTTAAAATTGTCTCGCTTTTGTGTCAGATGCGCTTCGATTGCTTTATACCTACATTGATGTCACCTCCCACTTAAGTGACCCCTGTGTGCCTCAGTTTCCTCACAGGCCAAGCATAATTCTGGCCAGCTAATCTCACCATCTCCATAGGGCTCCAAAACCTTATGAGGCTATCATCTCAGACTCCTCCAGAACAACAGTTCTGTTTCTTTGGGGATGACTGAGAAAAGAAAAGTCCTACTTCCTGTGAGAAGCTGAGACTCACCAGAAGTTTCCCAGTTCAGCTGCACAGCCCAGGTTTTCTGGCTTCATGGGCAGCCCTAAACCTGTCCCTGGGAACAGGGACTCTCTGGGTTGCCTGGGCTTCCAAGCCACCCGTGCTTTCTTAGCAGGGTGGAAAGAACTGGAAGGGCACCCTGGGTAACAGTCCCTCTGAGCCCAGCCATGGAAGCGAAGCTCCCAGTCCCTGGCTGCGCTGACCCATGGAGTTCTGGGTCAGCCCCAGATAGGAGGAGAGGGGCCACAGGGCTCAGTAAGAAGCCTGGGCAGGCCAAGCACAGTGGTTCACGCCTGTAATCCCAGCACTTTGGGAGGCCACGGTGGGTGGGTCACGAGGTCAAGAGATCAAGACCATCCTGGCCAACATGGTGAAACTTCGTCTCTACTAAAAATGCAAAGATTAACTGGATCTGGTGGCGGGCTCCTGTAGTCCCAGCTACTTGGGAGGCTGAGGCAGGAGAATCACTTGAACCCAGGAGGTGGAGGTTGCAATGGGCTGAGATCGCGCCACTGCACTCCAGCCTGGGCGACAGGGCAAGACTCCATTAAAAAAAAAAAACAAAACAGACAAACAAAAAAAACTGGGCACCGGATACCAGGACCTTCTGGCTCAACCAGCTGGCTGGTGACCAGCCTATGGTTTATGCAAGTGACGGACACCATACTTACTTTACAGAGAGGGCTACTACATGGGATGCAGTCTTGAAGGGAGTTCTTCAGCATGCAGCAGCTGCATAACCAGCATCTGTGCTTGGATCCTACGCCCATCCAAGTAAAGGACTATGTCATCTTTCATCATTCCCTGAACAAACAGCTCTTGAGCAACTAGGATTTTCCAAGTGATGTTCTTGGTCCTAGGATACCACAATGATAGGAAGATAAAACCCTTGTGTACCTGGGGCTTAAATTCTGATGGTGACAGATAATAAACACATGAACCGACAAATGTATGATGTTAGATGATGTAAGTGCTCTGAGAAAAGTAAAGCCGGAGATGGTAACAGAGAAGGTTAGGAAAGGCCTCTCCAAAACAGTGCTGCTTGAGCAACAGATTCCACAAAACAAATACCTAGTGCTAGAAAATTTGGGGCTACAGAAACAGAAAGGGGGAAATATCTCAATGCAAGAATACAAACAGCATGAGAAGAAACAGTGTGTCTGGAGAAGACTAGTGTGTCTGCAGCCTAGGAGGGAAGCAGAAGGTAGTAGGGGTTGAGGTCAGAGAGGCGTGGGGGGATGGGAACCAGGGCATGCAGGACTGTGGCAGAGTGCTCCTCTGCCACCTGTGCAGCCTCCATTCTGGGTCTCCATGAAGCTTAGAGAGTCATGACCCTTGGCTCCCTTTGTCTGCCATTAATGGATATGGCTTTGACAACAGGCAGGATGACTGGCTGTTCTTTTATACAACTCACAGTGGTATGTAGATGGGCATGAATATTTATTGTCTCCAGATGATGTCACTCTTGATAAAGTGAAGTTGGACATCAACATTCTGTAACCTCAGCACATGATCTCATTGCTACTGCCAGGAATGGGCACCCCACTCTCCCCAGAGGCCCCAGGACAGGCTCTTTAGGAGGGGGTGAGGTCAGGCAAACATGCTGGGTCTCTCCTGCTCCCCATCTACGAAAAGCAAGCCCACAGCAAGCCTCTAAGGTGCTGGACTCAGGGAACTGCAACGCTAGGTACGGTGCATCTCTTCATGACTTCGCTTGGTCCCCTAAACAATCTTTTTATTTCTACTTGTGCCCGCTTTTGCCCAGGGGTCTCCTTTCAAAGCTCCATACTGACCTCCTCCCTCTCTCAGATAAGCCTGAGTCTTCCACTCCCTTCAGCCCCACCCATTAAGGAGAGGACTGGTTACGACAGCCACACTCACTCTGCCTAGCCAGTCTGCATCTTGCAGATCTTGATGTGAACCTACATTCAAAATCTTCAAAGAATCTTTTCCTTATTTGACAGCTTTCCTCCAGTTCCCTCAAAACTTTAAGAGCTCAGTTCTCAAAGTTTTCTGGACAGGAGAACCACGTGGAAGTTTGTTTTTGTTTGTTTCTTTTTTAATATCAATGCCAGGTCCTACTATAGACCAAGTAAATTAGAATCTTTGGGATGGGGGCAGGCATTGGTATTTTCAGAATTCCCCACACAACTCCAATGTGTGACAAGGGCTGATAATCACTGAGCTAAGAGAGGTCTTCTTCAACTTCATCATGTGTACAAATCCTCTGAGGATCTTGTTAAAATGCAGCTTCAGATTCAGTAGGTTTGAGGAAGA
The DNA here is from genome assembly GCF_000001405.40 of Homo sapiens. Taxonomy (NCBI): domain Eukaryota; kingdom Metazoa; phylum Chordata; class Mammalia; order Primates; family Hominidae; genus Homo; species Homo sapiens. Next base: position 11,267,333 of record NC_000017.11, on the reverse strand, counting down.
GCCCAAGATTCTGCATTTCTAACAAGTTCCAATGGAATGCAGTTGCTCCTGGTCCATGGACCACACTTTGGGTAGCAAGGGTCTGCAGGCAGCCAGATTTGAGGGGTAAGGGATTAAAGCAGGGTTCACTGGTTTTCTACATTCAAACCAAGTGTTCCTTATGGGGCAATCTTTAAAGTTGGAAAGCTGCTTCCTGGAAGAGTTGGGGTAAAAGGCTCTTATAGAAGGGGACAGGATTTTTCTGCTAATGTGGGATTAGAAACTTTCACATCTAAGAAATATTACAGGATCCATTCGCTATTACGCATAAAGTGCCTAGCAGAGTACCCAATACATAGTAAGTTCTCAATCTATGGTACTTGTGTTATTATTGTTTTCATTATTACTGCAGGACTCTCAACCCACATCCCAAACCAACAAAGCATGTGCTTTCAATGTCCAAAACCCTGACCAAGCTCCACAAATTCCTTTCATCCCCAGAGGATGTGCCTCAGACAGGAGCCAACCACAGGAAGGCTTGAGTCCAGGGACCTTCATCCCACACACAATCCCATGGGCCCTGCCTGGTCTAAGGACACCAATGCATTGCCTTTGGTTCTTTCATTCATTTGATTCATTTTCCATGAGCTGTGGATGTGCCTTCATAGCCTGGTCATGGCTAACAGTCAGTGTTTGCTATGTATGGGGACCTGTCTTAAGTGCTTTACTTGGTTTAACTGATTATACCATTAAAACAACTCTGACCTACAGGTATGATTGGCTTCAATAGCAGACAAAGAAACTTGGAAAGACAAAGAATCTTGCCCAAGATCACATACATAGTAAGAGACAGGGCCAAAAAGCAAACTGAGGAACATACTTCAATGCTCAAGCTTTCCCAGTGCTTCTCAAACTCTAATTGCCAAGTGATTTCACCAAATTACAGGTTCTCATTCAGCAGGAGAGGTAGAGTCTGGGATTCTGCATTTCCCACAAGCTCTCAGGTGATGCTGATGTGGCTGACCCACCAACACCATCTTGAGTAGCAAAGCTACTCATATGCTCTGATGCCTGTTGGTGTTGCTGGATATCTCCCTTAATAGCCCCCTAAAAACTTACTACCATACTCCTACAATTGATGGTTTGTTGATTTGATGAGTGGCAAAATTACAGTAAATTTCCACTTTGAACACTCATGCAAAGTTCTGTTCAACTTCTGCTCAAACTGCAATATTTTGTGGCAAAGGATATCAACTGCTTGGAAAAGCATTGTGTCCATTATAATCTGTAGAAGCTGCGGCTTGTGATGAAATTGCTTTTAAATTTAAGCATCACAACTGAGAATGCTTTCTGGGCCAGGATACTATTCCCATCTCTAAGCGCAAAGTGAAGAGTTCCAATTTGAGAAATTTGAGGAGAATTTCTTGAAACATAGAAGTGAATCATGTAACTGGAAGCTTTCCTTCTCAGCTCACTAGAAGAGACGAGGTATACAGAAACCAGAAGAAATGACAAATCTTCCTGCCCTGTGAAGGGTATTTAAGGGCAAATCCAGACTGTCCACCTAATCAGTCTGTGTTCAGCAGTGGGGAACCAGCTCGCTTGAGAATGAGACAAAGAAAACCCGAACAGAGAGAGGGGAAGATAAACAACCAGGGGTGCTTTTGATGCCAGAGTGACCTGAAGTTTCAGAGTCACAACAAGGTTCTGGTGGAGAATGACTTCAAAGGATGAATCCTTGGAAAAATCAAAATACACTACTCAAAGGTGGTGATAATACCAGAGTTGGGTTCAACAGTGATCAATGACAAAAAGGATTAGTTACAATGGTGCCTCTATGCAACTCCCACAGCCCAGTGACTCTCAAACTTAGCTCCACATTAGAATCACCTGGGAAGTGTTAGCCACCAGCCCCCACCCACCTCCATTCTCAGGCCACACTTCCACATCAATTCAGTCAGTCTCTGGGGATGGGGCCCAGACATCCTTAATTTTTAAAGATCCCCAGTTGATTCCAATGTGCAGCCAAGTTTAAGAACCATTGGGCTTAGGTTTTCAGTGTCTTCACTCATAAAATGAATGAATCCTTCAGAACCAGTGATTCTGACCACTAGACGCATGTTAGAATCACCTTGGGGAGATTGTTTAAAACACTAATGTGATGCCAGCACCATCCCTAGAAATTCTAGTGATTCTGTGGAGCCCAGGCATCAGCAATTTTAAGACCTCCTCAGGTGATTCTAAAACGCTGCCATGTAGATGACCACTGGTCCAGAAGTTTTTGCCAAGATTCCTTCTATTGCTTGTTTTAAGGACCTATGGTATTAAAGCTGAAAATGCATCTTAGACATTTTGCAAAGGTGGAGCCCTCATCTTTACCTTTACAGCAGAGGTTTTTAACTTTGGATGAATCTATTAATTCCCCTCAATCATATACAAACTGTTGATTGAATATGAATATGTATATGTATTTGTATTTTTCAGGAGGGAGTGTCATCTGCCTTTATTAGGTTCTCAAAAGATTTAAGAATGCTATTTTAAAAGCAAATATTAGGTTTCTGACGTAATAAATTTAAGAAAATTAAAGAATGAATGGAAAATAAATTTGGTCTCATCAGCACCTTTGCTATAGTTTGGATTTGATCACACCCACTGCCACCTAGTGGCTATATATCCTTATTGCAGGTTTAGTTCAGATCACATTGCCCATCCTCTGAAAACTGTTGAGCAATAGATGTGCAGATTTCAGATCCAAGCATCAAAGTAAAAGCTTTCTCTGGGACTAGGATTAGTACCAGTAAGAGGCTATCTGGAAACACTCACTACAAGAGATGACTTCCCAAGCTGTACTTGTTAAGGAGACTGTCCACTCAGATATTTTGGATTCATACCCTTAACTGGGTAAGGATATTACGGTTTCCTAGTTCTTACTGTTGTTAACTATTTGCCTTGGCTTGAATCTTGTTTTTCTCTCTTACTAATCATGTGACCTTGGGAAAGTTACTTAACCTTTCCATTCCTCACACAAAATGGGGATAATATAAGTACTTCTAAGATTGCTGTGGAGAATAAATAAGAAAATATATGTAAAAGGCTCAGCATGACTCTTGGCACAGAACAAGATTCCAATAAATATTTAGGTTATATTACTGTTATTACTGATTTTTAAATTATTATTAACATCTCAGTGACCTTGTTCAAGTTACTAAATTTCTTTGAGCTGCATATATTGACCCGTAAGACAAGGAAAATAAGCCCTGCCATTTTCTTCACAGTTATAGCTATGATAAGTACAAAAAGTAAAAGGCATATTGTTATTTTATGGCAACTCATCATACATCCAGGGAATCTACAGAGCACAGGAAAAGGTCACTCAAAAATACAGATGTTAATTCTCACCCTCAGGAAGGAGCTCTTTGAGATCCCAATAGTTGAGCAGGCTCTACATTGGGGTACAGTAATTTCTTGTCACATATCTAGCATCCTACTCAGCCTAAAGTTTCCCACCACGTGGGCGAATGGATGGCCATACCCTGCTATGGATGCTGCAAGCTCCTTTTCCGGTAAGAGAATTATACCAACCACTCACTAGGTCACAAGTGCCTGAAATTGTCAGTCCTCATCCAGCCCAGACACTGACCGGCAGCAGTCTTGCCCATTCCAAACTCACCCCAGGGAGAGAGTCCCAAAAATCTTTTGCCAGCCTGCCTGTCCATGAGAGTCCCTCATCACACCATCATGGTCCACAACCTGCCCCACCAGAGCAGAAACATCCTGAAACCTCTCACCAGCCTCAGCAAAGAATCAAGGTGCCCAGCTGTTACTTACCTGGAGTCTGCTTGGCCGTACGCACAGGAGTGTAGTGGTTTTTGGAGGACGATCTGACCGGCGTGTTCTCTTTGGGAGAGGTATCGATAGCCGAGATAGTTTCTCTTTCACAGTGTGCTATGGGGATTGGTCCCTGTTGTCTTAAGATGTCAGCCAGAGCCCTAAACAAGGAGGAGATCACATAATGAGATTCACTGAGCAGGTGTGCACAACCATGAGGGGAGTTGGCTTACTTTCATATGCCCTTTGATTTACAGAGATGCAGGAAGAGACAGAGACAGCATTCAGCTCTCAATAGTCAGCTACATCTGGTGTTGGTCTCAGGGGGGACACAGGGTAAAGGTTACCATGCCTGGAGGTACAGACTAAAAGGCTGGGACTACGGTTTCTTTCTTTAATTTATTTCACATCAGTAAACTCTGAGCCCTTTCAAAATACTGGCTCCCCAAATATCCACCTATGCCAGGCAGGTATCTATAGCAGCTGGCCAGTGGAATGCCACTATGGTGAAGGGCTGAAACCATCGGCCTCAAATTCAGCAGCAGGTCACTAATATCAGGGGACCACTTCATCATCCAAAACTACACACTGAGTATCATGTACTAGATACTGGAGACCCAAATAAGTACAACACACAGCTCCTGCTATCAAGGAAGGGTGTGATTGAGCTGCAAAGACAGGACATAGAGATGAAAAGATAAAAATCAAAACACGTGGATGGTGCAGACATTGAAGACAACTGGAGTTTAGAGGAGGGAGCAATCACAAACACAGGGGAAAAATACACAGGAAGAAAGAGAGACAGGCAGAGACTCTGCCATAGCAGGAGAGACCCGCCCCCCTGCAAGAGGTCCAGTTACTCAGAGAAAGCAGCTTTTGTTAACTCAGCGCCTAGCTTCAACAACCAAACATGCATTGACTGACGATTCAGCATGCATCAGTCATTGAAGAGACACAGATCAATGGGACCCAATTCCTGCCATCTAGGGGTTCATAATTTAGGGGGAATCGCTCTCCTATTTGCTTTCAAACAGGATGCCCTCTGTGGGTGTGACATGTGAGATACCCACTGGCAGTGGGAAACAGATGAGTGTGGACAGCCACAAGAAACTACACCTGGATACTGTCACTTCAGATCCAGGTCCCCAGTCCTCAATGCACTCCCGTTTTGCACATGCCAGGCAAAGACTATTCCATCTTCTCGAGGGGTGTCTCTGATGGGTGGGGCCCTGCCCACCCCAAGGCTTCCCTCTTACCAGGAGTCCAGCTCCAACACTCTGCCCCCATGAAAAGTGACAACTGCAGCAGTTTAAAAATGCATCTGAGTAAATTGTGGGGGAAAGAATAGTTTCTTCACAAAATGGTCCTGGGACAACTGACTGGATCGCCACATGAAAAAGAAGGGAGTTGGATCCTTACCTCACACCATATAAAAAACTAACTCAAAATGGATTATATACCTAGATATTAGTCCCAAAACTGTAAATCACACTGAGATACCTTTTCATACACACTAGGATAGCTATAACCAAAAAGCCACATAATACCAAGTATTGGCAAGGAGGTAGAGAAATTGGAGCCTTCATACACTACTGGTGGAAATGGAAAACCCTGCAATCCCTTTGGTAAACAGTTTAGCAGCTCCTCAAAACTGCAATGTTCCTTAAACGCAGAATTAACATATGGCCCAGCAAATCTACTCCTAGGTATTCCCAAGAACAATGAAAAATATATGTTGCATTAAACTTGTGTACAAAGGTTCATAGCAGCAGTATTAATAACAGCCAAAGGGTAGATACAACCCAAAAGTCCATCAACTGCTGAAAGGAAAAACAAAATGTGGTCTATTCACACAATGGAATATTATTCAGTCATTTAAAAAAGGCATACTGATACCTGCTATCACATGGATGGACCTTGAAAACATCATGCTAAGTGAAAGAAGCACACCATAAAAGACCATGCTTCTGTAACATACCCAGTTAGGTAAATCCGTAAAGACAGAAAGCAGAACTGTGGTTACCAGGGGCTGTCTCTAGGTCATGTGAGAAAAGAAGAAAGCAGCTTGCGCTATGCGATGTATCTTCTGGGAGAGGGCTCCTGATGCCCAGTGGGCTGCACTGAGCTGGTCAGCACAGCCAAGAGAGAGGGGTGTACAGCAAAAGGTGTTTCTCAAACAAGGGCTGCCTGACAGGCTACCTAAGGATGGGAACCCTGCCACATGTTGTAAAGTGCATGGCAGCTATGGAAATGCTCCTGGTCCCACACCCATGTGTGACCATTCTCCAGGATCCTTCCTTTCCCAGTACCCTCTGGCAACTAGGAAGGAAGCCCTCATTCCCAGACCACGTGGCCTTAAGAGTGAGTCCCTCTGCCTACTCCCCCTCCCCCTCCCTCCATTGGTGACCCCCCTCCTTGCTCTGGTTCCTCTCCATCTTCCATCCCCTTCTCTCCAGGGTGCTCAATAAATATTATTCTAGTTCTGAAATGTGCGATTCTGGTCTCACCTAATTAACTTGAATATGCCGGAGGAAATGGGTTAAGGCCTGAGCTACTTTCTAACCGTAGGAAAGAAAATTGGTCACTGAGGAACAGCACAGCAGATTTTGCAAAAGAGTGGGCAGCAGCTTCCAGCATCTGAGAGAACAACAGGGAGAGTGAGACAGTAGCAAACAGAGAGGGAGAGAAAGGGAGGGCTGGGGGCAGAGGTCCAGAGAGAAAGAGAGGAGAGAAAACAGGTGGAGAGAGGAGAGAAATGGGAGATGGAGCCAAGGAGACAGAAGGAGAGTGAGAGGGGGTCTGAAACCCCAAGCAAGAGAGAGCAGGGAAGGTTCAGAGAAGAGAGTTAGTGAAAGTGACAGGCACCAGGAGACAGAGAGAGGAGAGGAGGCAGAGTCTGAGGGACAGGCAAGCAGGTAGGAAGAGCAAGAGGGAGAGTAAGCCACAGAGAACCAAAGGGAAATCCAGAGATAAAATGCGATTCAGAAGAGACAGGGAAAGGGGGTCAGAGAGAGACATTCGGAGGGGAAGAGTCAGACGGAGAGAGACACAGAGACGGCCAAGTGAGGGACTCGGGACACGACAGGCTGTCAGCAGGGCCCTGTCACCCCCCATGTGGACGACAGATGTGTCTGATTTAGGAATCTGAAGTGAAGAGTCACCTTAGTAGTATGCTCCTTCCAACCATCCCCCACCCACAGCGAGCCCTTTTTGCTGCAATATCTGATATATCAAACAAAAGAATTCTTTTGCCTGAATTATCTGGATTATTGCCTAGGTTTGATGCTCCCTTCTGTCTATTTCTTGGCTTTCTCGGGTGTGTGGTGAGCAGGGGAGAGTAAATTAATCAGGCAGCAAATCTGATCAGGGAAAACAGTCATTGTGATCAGGCCAGGAAACTTAAGCTTTCTTCAGTACTTGGTATTGTGTATTAATCACCTTAATAGCAAAAGTATCATCTTACATTTGGATAGCACTTAATAATTTCTCGATGCATTCACCTGCCCTGTCTCATGTGATTCCCATCCTATCCCTGTGACCTTTGCAGCTATTATTACCACAATTTTTAACAAGGAACTGAGGTTCAGGCTAATTCCAGTACTAACACATATTGGAACAGGGATTTAACTTCAAGGCTTCTGACTTGAGCCCGGGCATCCTTCTGTTCACTGGGACTGCCTCTTACATACATTTCACTTCCTACAAATCATCAGCTTTAATGAGTCTTCCTGGTCCCTCCAGCTGGGTCAGCTAATTTAGCAAATGCCAGTTAATATTTGGGCATGGAGAAACAATTAGTAAATGAGTGATTCAGTTCAATACCAATTATGTATTTGCTTAAAACCTTGGTTATTGTTGTCAGTGGTCCTGAGGGAATGAAAGTGTATCTGAATTTCCGTAAGTGCTTAGTTATCTCAACACCTGCAGGGACCAAGCCCAGTCAACATTTTAACGTGTTACCACCTGCATTCAGGATATGAACTAGTGCTTAAAATGGCAAGTGATTTCCCTTAACAACAGAAAAATAAACAAAACCTTGTTCATAACTTTGCCTCACAGTCTTGTCTGCTCGAGATATTAAAGACTATCATTTATTGAGTGATTACTATGTCCCAGACACTGGCTCTTACATGCATTGGATCATATATTTCTCAGAATGCTCTTACAAGGGATGTGCCATCGGTAGCCCTATTTCGTTGTTAAGAAAATGAAAACTTTTAGAGGTTATGTATGTTACCCAAGGTCACACAGCTAGTAAGTGCTGAATTCACATTCCAAACATAGGTAGGTTAAACTACAGGGGCTGACTATATACCACTGGATTATCCATCCATCTAGCCACCCATCTCTCCCTCCCTCCATTCATCCTTCCCTCCCTCTTTCCATCCCATATCCCAACCATCCAGTCACCTCCTATCTATCCAAAATTATATCCATCTCCCCCAATTCATCCCCTCATCCATCCATCCAACACTCTATCCATCAATCCATAAAACACTCCATCCATCATTGAAGACTTCATCCTTCCATCCAACTCTCCATCCATTCATCCATTCCTCCATTCATCCCTCCACCCAACACTCCATCCATCCATCCACTTAGTCACATTTGTCTTCTTCACCTACTATGTCCCTGTAATGGTCCCTGAACACAAGATTTTAGAGAGTGTTTAATCGTTGGGGCAAAGACCTACCCAGACCTAAGAACTCAGCTGTGGCTGAACTGCTCAGTGCTATTCACCTTAGTGTGTCATTCACATCAACAGCTCTACAACCTTTTACACTATTTTAGCAGCCATCTTTTTTGCCAAATGAAATCCTGACTAGAACACCAATATACTTCACCAGACCCCTGCTGTGCATAAGGCCAGTGGGAAGTGAGGGCCCTGTTCCTCCAAGCATTTCCCAGTAGTCTGGCAGGATCTACCCAGCTGTCCCTGGACTTCATGGAGTTTTCAAATTTTAAAATAAATATGGTGAAAGAGCACCAAAATGAAAACTTGGATTATTTTTTGTCCCAATCTTCATTCGCTGAACAGATGGTCAAACTTAGTTCCCCCCAAATTAAGTGGGGGAACCTAGAGCCCCTTAGTTCACCTGGTAATTCTTTTAAATCTCAATCAACATGCCCTCCATGAGGACCCCATGAATACTGCTGCTCACTGAAGTGGTGCAATGGAAACAAACCTTCGGCCTCTGCCACGTCTCTGGATTTCTGAGCTGTCTAAATGCTGTGGAAAGGAGAAAACAAGCTCAGCTATTATTCAGTAAGTTATTCTGTGCCAAATGCAAGGCAAACTGGATAGTTTCGAGCCCTAATCATGCCCTTTCTCTTTTCGGGATGGTAGGAAGAAAATGATGCTGTTGGATAAGTATGATAAAAGGCCAAATAGATGAACTATTCCGTGAATAAGCTATTCTGGTTAATGTTCTTATTTCTAAGGACTAATGAGAACACTCTTGTTTTTGAAGAACTTTCTAAAAGCATTCCTGCCTAATTAAGTATACTGAATATAATTAATTTTTTTATAAAATTCAAGGTTCTTCACAAGAGGGCCATCAGTCTAATCTTTAGTTCTCTTCACAGATGAAAACCTAAGTAATATGTAGACAGTCTAGGAAATGGAACTGTTCATATAAAAACTACAAGACAGATGGTGGAAATTGCTTGTTTTTGTTTCCTTTAGGTAAGTCTCTGATAGCTAATTCTTTTGTATTTCTCTTGAAAGCAGAATGTAGATACTTTATTCCAGTTAAATAAAGGATATGGGTTATTTGAGTCCCAGATAACTGAGCTTTTCCTCTTTCTTCCCTTCCTGCCTTCCTTCTTTCCTTTCTTTTCTTTTCTTTTTTTCTTTTTTTTTTTTGAGACAGGATCTCACACGGTCGCCCAGGCTGCAGTGCAGTGGTGAGATCACGGCTCGCTGCAGCCTCGGCTTCCTGGGCTCAAGCGATCCTCCCACCTCAGCCTCCCCAGTAGCTGATACTATAGGCAAGCACCACCACACCCAGCTAATTTTTTAATTTTTTGTAGAGACAGAGTTTCACCATGTTGCTCAGGCTGGTCTCGGACTCCGAAACTCAGGCAATCTGCCTCCCTCAGCCTCCCAAAGTGCTGGAATGATAGGTTTAAGCCACTACATCCGCCCCTGTGCTTTTACTTGATAATGACCTCTTAAGAACTGTTGGTGTCCTCTTTAACCTCATCTCACACTTACCTACTGGACAGTCGGAGTGCTTCCATTGTCTAAAATATGTAGCCAGGACAATTGAAATGAATGTATTTTTAACAAACATGGACCAAGGAGAACGGCTTAATTTAGTTTTCCCTATTACCGGTTCTCTCGGAGTCCACTTGAAAAACACAGCTGCTGGCTTTGTGTGTGCACAAGACTGCTCTCCTCATACAGAGAGGCTCAGAACGGCTGTGGAGATCTCATTTGTTGTGTTAACAATGTCTGTGCATCTGCATTGAGCTGTTCTGCAGGTCTGAGTTGTCCCCAGCACAATTGAAATTCATCATGGCCAATAAACGTCGCAGGACTCAGTGAGGGAAGGCACGGCCTGCCTGTTTTGTTTTTCAGGCAAGCCGAGCGAGTTTCTCCATCCCAGTGGGTGCCTGTCCTGGCGCTGTCACTAGGCCAGCCGGGAGCCAGGTAGAGAGTAGATGTGCATCCCCTGGGGGCCCAATTCAATCCTAACAGCATCATCTTCACATACTCCGTTCCTTACATTAATCATATGAAAATTCCCCCAGGCCTGAGAAATGTGGTAGCGTCAATATCAAACCCAGACTTTTCAGAAATACTTGGATTGTCTGAGAATTCGTTGAAAACGTGGATGTGTCAGGTGCACCTATTATTATTGGAAGCTGGGAAACCAAAAAATGCTACCAAGATTTGGTAGCAGGGCCATATGGTCAACCAGGGGACAGATGAGTTCATAACTGTACCTGTGTACAAGGTGCAAATGGGCTGCTGCTGCCATTACGATTCTTGTGATTGTTGGCGTTGTTGTTTTGTTTTGTTTTTTGAGATAGAGTCTCGCTCTGTTACCCAGACTGGAGTGCAGCGGTGTGATCTCAGTTCACTGCAACCTCCGCCTCCTTGGTTCAAGTGATTCTCCTGCCTCAGCTTCCCGAGTAGCTGGGATTAAAGGCCCCTGTCACCACGCCCAGCTACTTTTTGTATGTTTAGTAGAGATGGGGTTTCACCATGTTGGCCAGGCTGGTCTCGAACTCCTGACCTCAGGTGATCCACCCAACCTTGGCCTCCCACAGCGCTGAGACTACAGGTGTGAGCCACCGTGCCCGGCCGGTGTTATTTTCTTTATTTGCAATGGGCTCAGACCTAAACCTGGAAGTGAGGCAACACGTAGGCAGCACAGCCTAATGGCCACACACTGAGATTCTCAAGCCAGAAAGCCTAAGTTGGAATGCTGGCCACTTGGCGGTTGTTAGCAAGCTACTTAAGTGTCCCGTAGCTCTGTGACCTTGTTGAAAAAATAAGACCAAAATAATGAGGCAAAAAATAATGTCTGCCTCTTAGGGTTATCATAAGGATTAAATGATGTAATAGTTGTAAAGTGCTTACGAGGCTTACAAGGAGCCTGGCACCTATTAAGCACTTACATAAATATTTGACTAATAAATAAATCCAAATGTCTACAACCTCCTAATATCTACATCGGCTCAGCCTATAGGACCACAACAAAAGCATAGGCAGAAGAGGAGAGTCTTAGAGGACTGGTGCAGTTATGCCAAACTGGCAACACTCTTGGTGTGGTGGGGGAGCCACACAGCACAGCTGTGGCCGTGGGTCATCCTGGAAGGGACCATCCACGCCCCATATTTCCCACTCCGGCTTAAGGATGGAAATCCATATGACCACACACCCGTTTCTGCTGAACCCTGAACTTGGACTTTGACAGCCAAAGGCAAAGAGAGCCTGTTCCTTCCCGTCAGGTCACCATGGATTTGCTTCCACTAGCCTGCAAAGAAGTATCCAGATGAAGCCCCGCTGCAAATGAAGGTATTCACAGCTTGAGCAAAAGAAATCAGGAGTCAAATGGGGCACAGAAGGGCAAACAGATCAAACTGGCCAGGGCAACACGTTCTGTAAAAGATTCAGTTATTTATTCTTTCTCCCTCCCTCTCTTTTTCTTTCTTCCTTTTCTTTCCTTCTTTCCTCCCTCCTCCCTTCATTTTTCTCTTCCTTCTTTAAAACAATTAGAAACATTATTGTCATTTCCCTACTCAAGGATCTTCACACTAATGCAAATATCAGAAGGGCAGGGTACACAAAAAAGACCACTTTAATTTCTACTGACTTTAACTCATGTATTCAGCCTGTCATTCAGTTATATTTCTTAAGCACCTACTCTGTGCCAGGCACTACTCTGGGCACTAGAATACAGGTGTAAACAAAACAGGCAAACACTCCTGTCCTGTTGACATAGTGGTATGGGAGATGGATCCCTGCCACAAAGCAAAGCTGCTGTGTAGGGCTGCAGACCAAAGAACTTCCCAGAAGAAACCAGATCTTTAAGTTGCATCTGAATTACTGAGATCCACATGTTGCTCTTAGAAATCTCCTTTGGGGTTTTACCATAGAATTATAACCCCATTTCTGGGTGGACAGCCTCTGCCCCAGTGTGAAGTTGAACCCACGTCCCATGAGGACAGACTCTTAACTAGGAGTGCCTATTTATTAGGGAGAAGGGAAGACTGAATGTGGGCCTTGAATGCCATCTTCAAACAGATGTTTTGCCATCCTGCAAAAGAAAGGATACACTCCTTCTGAGTTACTCCAGGAAGTGGATCTCAGGCCAAAGAAGTAATTTTGGCTCCCCATGAGAATCAACTAGAATTGCATCCTAACAATAGACCAACTGCCTCCAGAGGTAGGGGCAGCCCTGCCCTAGACGCATGGATGGCCACTTGCTGTGCATGAGAGGAGGGGCAGGTGGTGCCAAAAGAGAGAGTCACTAAAATGCCTCATAAGTCCTCTTCTACCAAGAGATCCTATGAGTCGAAGATGCTAAAAGCAGCATCCTCACAAGGCCACTTGCAGACAACATTCTTATCTGAGTGGCGTATGCAAGGAAAATACATCTCCTCCCACATCCCAGAGCTGTTGAACCTGTAAGTATAGATGTGGACTGTGTCAGCATGTATCTTTCAGGTGTGCTGAGGGCAGAATGGGCCAAAGAAGAACACACTTCCACAACACTACAGCTCACATCCCACAGCAGAGGGGCCAAGGGACTCACCCAAGGTCATCAAGACAGAAAGTGACAGAGTTGGGATTACTCTGTCTTGTAGCTCAGCTCCCAGGAAATGCTCTAAGGCAGGGAAAGATGGATGACAACCTCCAAAGGTGAAAGAAGGCTTTGCTAGATGTCCCTTGAGAGCCACATAAGCAGACTAAGAGAAGCAAGTCAAAGTTCTTTTCTATAAGGAGCAGGGCTGCTGGCTAAGGGCCTCCTACCACTTCCTACAGTAGGTGTGATGCTGTCTCCTCAATCCAAACAGTGGTGTTGGGAATGGTGATTCACAAGCAAGAGTCCTTAGGCCACTGAGAGAGAACCACAGAGAGAGCCAAGGCAGGGCTCGAAGTCCGGACAAGTTTTCCAAAGTCTGCCTCCAGATCCATAACCTCTCAGGCCCAGCTGGTTATGACTGTGGCAAGAAGCAGAAAAGCGAGCACAAGGATGTGGCGAAGTTTATAACATGAATTCTCAAAGCCGAAAGAGAGAGAGTTGGATTCTAAAAACTCAAGGAAATAGAAAAAGAAAAGAAACAAGAAGAGGGAAAATTAGCAGGAACCCCCAGAGGGAATTGCAAAGGAGATTTGAAGCAGCTTCCAGTCAAGCATCACCAATTCAGTAGAAATAAGGGCAGGCTAATCCCTATCAACGAAACAGACATAAAAATTCCAAAACACTTTAAAGGAAATGCATTTTTACTGCTTCCCGGGCCAATGCAGGATTTCAAACTCAACTAAAAAAATAAAATAAAATTGATCTTCGAAGAGCTACTTCAATGAATAGATAAGAATGATTTGGAATTAACATGCCAACTGTCTACTAAGAGCCCGCCTGTAAACAATCTAACCTTCTCCATGGTGTATGTCCCCTGTGAAATCTCTGCAGTCTTGTTTGAGCTATTAATCTGTTCATCACAGATTTTTATCAGACAAAGAAAAAAAAAAAAAAACTTTGCCCAGGTCCAATTTGGATAAATTTTGAATTAGTGGCATCTAAATCGATGCGGCTTAATGAAGTTGTGGCAGGACAAGTTCAGGAAGGCAAGTCGGACAGAGAGGGGAGAAGGAACACAGCTCGACAGAACTGAACAGGAATCAAAACAAGGACAGATGGAGAAGACACAGCAGTGGACAGAACACCGAAAGTGACACGAAGAAACATTTTAATGATGTGACTTAAAAGCAAGGGAGAGGTGTAAGAGATCCTCGGCTCAAAAGCCCGATATATTCTTCTTCGCGAATGCTTGAGGCTGGGTAAGAAGCTGGCTGTTGATTATCTGAGCACTGAAACGCATTGATATTTCCCATTGCATAAATAGTCTCCCAAGACTATGGGACACCATTCCTGGGAAACTTCAGGCAAGTTTCTCAAGATGCAGCAAAAAGTCAGAAACAGCTAACTATGAGTCCAACAGGGAAGGTGGAATCCAGATTCTTCCCCAAGTTCTGGAGCAGCCTCAGCTTTTGAGCCAGCCACATGCCCTGTCGCTGCAGGGAGATGGATTAAGAGGAGTCTCACCTTCAGTCAAAGCCGTCCAACAGCAGTGACTAAGGTCAGAATTCCCTAGTGATTGTATCTGAGCCTGATCCTAGGACTGAGTGGGGAAAACTCCCCTGGCGACTCCCTTCTTTGCTCCTATGGTGTTTGGCCACCAACCTGCCTGACTCCTAGCAAAGATCCATATTCTCAGGACCTTAGAAAGGAGTGGATGGATGGGCTCTTGAAGGGACTCTCAGATGCCACTTCAAATTAACAGCCACCCCCTCCCTCCGCCAAGCCTTTCAGAATTCATATTCCTCCCACTGAAACAGCAAGGGCGAAGGAAGAGAGAAGTGGCTGTTTGGGTGGAAAACACGCTTCCCAGAAGAGGACATTTGGCTAAGGGAACAACGAATATGTCCAGAGGACAGATGTCCTGAGTAATGAGACTTTAATGCCGAAGCTAATGGGAACAGTACACGAGACCAAATGCCAAAAAAGCAAGGAATAATGAGAGTGTTTGCGAAGACTGCAGAAAGCAGCGACTCTTCTCCCAAACACTGGGGAATGGGGCCAAGGTTCTAGCCGCCCAGAGGTCTCACTGGGGCTCCTGCGTCCGTGGGTCTGGAGAGAGGGACAGGGGCTTTCGGCAAGGAGGGGTCCAAGTGTTCTCTTGCTCTTCTAACAAGGAGTAGGCATGAGTCAAGCAGGGACAAGAAGGATGAAAACAGGGAGCGGGAACGCTGGGTTCCTGCGGAAGACTAGTGAGATACATTTTCACACACCCTCAGGCAGAGGTGAGTTTCCTGCTCAGGTGCCCCTGGCAAGAGCTGCACACCAGGGAATGTGAGTTCAGCTGCTGCTCACCGCCCTGTGACAACCGGACCTTGAGGCGTGTGGCAGGTTGGGAGCTGGAGAGTAAAACACAGGCTATTAAGAGTGTCCCAGGATTCCTTCCTTTCCACGTGCCCCTCAGGACAGGGGACTTGAGAGAACCGGAAACAGAGAATCACAGGGAAAGCGTGAGTCATTACGAAGCACAGCCACCAGGGTACAAACAGGGAAGGAATAAAACCAGAACAGGGAACAGCAGAAGCAAGCTGGCTAAAGTGCTGTGTCTTGCATGCACGATGCTAGATGTTAGACATGGGGCAGGGTGGGAGAGTTGTGATAAATGGAGCTGTTTGTGAGCTCTACATCTCAGTAATTAAAACTAGAAATATCCCTAGGTCCATACCGCCTCCCAAATCGCCTCTTTTCTCTCCTGTGCCCCTCACCCAAGCTCCCGTCACTGCTCTCCACTGACTCATGCAGAATTGCCCAGGGGTTCTTTCAATATTGTCAAGTTTTTTTTTTTTCTCAATTAAAATCAGGGTGTTTTGTTTTGTTTAATATTTTCTTTGCATTGCCTTTGCTATCCTCAGCCAATATCATATATTCCTGAAAGAGAGCTCTTTCACTGCCCTGAGGATCTTGCTGCCTGCATGCAATCTAAATGGGGGCCGCCGTTCTGGTTCCACAGAGCCCTCATAGGTAGGTCACTTATCTTCCCAGTCTTTCACTATGATAACCAGTCCCAGGGCATGGGAAGGTAGGTCTTTGCTTTCTTAAGTAATCTGAGTATCACTGACTCCATTACATTCAGGAAGGTGAGACCCAACTGTTCTACTGGACTTGAGAGAGAGAAGGGCACCAGCAATGTACTAGCTGTGTGACCTTGGGCAAGTTACTAAGCCTCTCTGAATCGGTTTCCTCATCTACAACATGGGCCCCTACACTCAGACGGGATGATGGGAGGATGCAGCGAGATAATGCAGGTTAGGTGCAAGCTGGATGCTGGTACAGAGTAAGCCCTCGAGACCCGGCACTCTTATGAGTATCTCTCTACCATCCTCTCCACTTCCTTGAGTCTTCATCTCACCGAGATCTCCAGTTCTCTCCAACTCTGGCTTGTGGGCTTGCATGAGTGATGGGGTTGTGTAAGCTCCTGGGACACAGAGCTCCCACTGTCCTGACACGTGAGCAGAGTTAAGAGGGACTCCCCAGGCTCACAGCAAGACTGACTCCTCCAGAATGCCCAACAATGGCCTTTAGAGGGTCATCAGGACCAGAGGCTCTGCCCCGGCCTATGCATGGGGGCAGTACAAATGCCCAGCCCTTTACCAACCCCTAAATCCTGACTGAGATGAAGGAATGCCATTCTACCCAGGTAGCACAGCCATGGCTTCCCTGCCTGCAGACACTGAGTCTGGTAACCCTTGTCACCTGCCTTTACACTCAGCCTGCCCCACCCTCGCTCCATTTCGGTGATCAATTCATCCACTGAATGGACATTTGGGGGTGGAGCGAGTGGTGATAAATGCACATTAGGAATTGATCAGCAGTGCTCACTGGCAGCCTTATCTTCCTGGGCTTGCAAATATTTCTACATCATCTAAGGCAGTCTGGCCCAGCTGGTGACCCCGTCTGAATGCAGAAGTACAGAGGCGACAGCCCTGGGATAGAAAGAAGGGAAGGCACAGTGAACACTCTGGCTCTGACCCCGAGCCTCACTGCATACATCCCGTAAAACTGGGTCCTTTTACCCTCAGTATCAAACTAGGAAGCTAAATTAAGCTAACTGTCTACTATCTCATGCAGAAATATGGGACGTGCACTTTTTCACCCTTTCTGAGCAGTTCCATGTGAAATGCTTGCTGCAGACTCAACTCCTTTTTCTCCCTCTCTCTTAGGACCTCCACCACCTGCCTGACACACGGATAAAGCATAAAACTGATTTTCTTAAGGCCAATAATTGTCGTTCCTCATGAGGAGTGTCCTCTTCAAAATGATCATCGTGGATTGCCAGGCACTCCTGTGCAGAGCTGCCATTCACTCCTTTCTGAAATGCCTCTTCTGGGCTCCTGCCTTCAGAGACAGCTGACACGGCTCCTAGGAGAGCAAGTCTCATTACTGGAGGCACTCTTGATTTCTGATCACCTATCTCATTCATCAGACTCAGCCCCATGACTTACCATTGCTTACAAGAATCAAATCAACCCTAGGAAAATTAAAATATGTTACCCTTATATAAAGTCAAAATGACATGCCATGGGCTCTCAATGTACTTTCAAGAGAGGGACCGTGGAAACATTTTCTGCAGAAAAATCAGCATGCGGCCTCCCAAGGTGACTGCTTGGAAGGGTGACACATTAAGGTATGTACAACCAGGTTCTTTCAAAGGAAGTATCAAGCACATTACAGGGAAAACCCCCAAACTGCATGCCACAGAGGTTATTTTCACATAATGATTAAGCCCAGATTTCCAGCTTGATTAGCCTGCAGTATCTGGGCCCAGAGCTGAGAAAGGGCAAAACTGGCGTCTATGAATGAGCTTCCGTGGCTTGCAGAGCTATATTCTATGCAGGGGGCCAACCCAGAAGATAACCCTGAAATCACACACACATATACACACGCACACACACGTCCACACACACGCACGCGCACACACACACACACGGCCACTGGATGGCGGGAGGTCTCTGGCCTCTCACAGAGCTGAACTGCATTGATCCGGTAGGTCTCAGCATTCAGCATTTCCACTCATCTCTGGGAGAGAGAGAGAAAGCATTCACAGTCTGAATTTTTTTTTTTTTTTTTTTTTTGAGACGGAGTCTCGCTCTGTTGCCCAGGCTGGAGTGCAGTGGCGCGATCTCGGCTCACTGCAAGCTCCACCTCCCAGGTTCACGCCATTCTCCTGCCTCAGTCTCCCAAGTAGCTGGGACTACAGGCGCCGCCACCAAGCCCGGCTAATTTTTTGTATTTTTAGTAGAGACGAGGTTTCACCGTGTTAGCCGGGATGGTCTCGATCTCCTGACCTCGTGATCTGCCCGCCTCGGCCTCCCAAAGTGCTGGGATTACAGGCGTGAGCCACTGTGCCTGGCCCTGAATTTTTAATGACAGATTTCTGCCCACAGTTTCATTCGGTGACTTTTTGCCCCAGTCCACAACTCTTTGGTTGTGCTGTTATTTTCCTTCTTCAATAGTCCGCATTACTCAGACCTTATAAAAGGATTATGCTTAGATTAGGTTATTGCCCTTAAGAAAGGAACGTGAAAAAACTGCAAAAGGAGCGGGGAAGATCGACAGAAATCATTTTAGTGGAGACATTCAGTGGAAACAGTGAACCAGGAGGGGTACAGAAACGTAGGAAAGAAAGAGAAAGGAGAAGGCTGTAACTCACATCTCTAAGGATCCCAAAGTTATTTGGTGATGACTAACCAAGGAACGTGCAAAGAGTAAAGAAGCAGAATATATTTTCATTGAATGAGATGAGTCTGAGCGCTAGAACACAGGCGCCCTGGCTTAACCTCCAAGCTCACCCACCCACTAGCTGGGCTCCTTGGCACTGTGACCTAGCCTCTCTGAATTTCAGTTGCCTCACTTGTAAAACTAGGTAACGAGATTAAATGAATTGCCTGCAATGAAAACGTTATAATTCTGTAATAGATGACAAAAGAATAGAATGTACTACCCTGCTTTTTCAGAAGTTCTGGTTTCACTTCGAGAGATTAAAAAAAATAGAGTTAGCAATGTATCCTGAATTGTTTTAAAATTAAGCTTGCTCAAGGGTTGAGTTCAAGGGACTGAGACCCTCTGAGGATTCACTGGTAACCCTTGTACCCAGGCCTCTTATCTCTCTACAATATCTGCAAAGAAAGACACTAGAGGCCAGGCTCCGTGTCTCACACCTGTAATCCCAGCACTTTGGGAGGCAGAGGTGGGCAGAGCATGAGGTCAGGAGATCGAGACCATTCTGGCTAACATGGTGAAACGCTGTCTCTACTAAAAATACAAAAAATTAGCCAGGTGTGGTGGCGGGCGCCTGTAGTCCTAGCTACTTGGGAGGCTGAGGCAGGAGAATAGCTCAAACCAGGGAGGCGGAAGTTGCAGTGAGCAGACATTGTGCCACTGCACTCCAGCTTGGGCCACCAAGCAAGACTCCATCTCAAAAAAAAAAAAAAAAAGAAAGACGCCAAAGAGGTGAGGTCATAAACGTAACTCAGGAAGAAATAATGGGGTGGAGTTTCCCAAGGTAAAGAAAAGAGGGGAAAAATCACAACAGAAACTACAAAACGTACTTAGTCTAAATCCTCATATATTCCACCCAAGCACAACCCCTCCCACCACCACCAACCAATCTGAGACATCTTACATGCTTGTAAATTGAAACCATCATTTTGTGGTTCCAGAGGTGATATATCATCAAGGGCTATGAGCAAAATTGTAAGACAAAATTCACCATAATTTCAAAAATGGATGGTACAGGTGTTTGAATGGGGAGAGGGCAGCAGGGAAGGAGGGTGGTGACCTCCCATAGCCAGGAGCACGGTGGCAGTTCCAGCATGTGGTAGGAATTCTTGCAGACTATAGAAATTGAACTAGAAAGGGAAGACCTAAATACAATCTGCCAGCCCCTGGAAAATCAGGCGATGGAACTGGAAGCATGAAGCTTCTTTTGTTGTGGTTCCCTTTTATTCCGGATCCGTAGGACTGTCCGTCTGGAGCTAGTGAATTAGCCTCTTTCAATCAGATCACTTTCTCAGCTGTCTTAACCACTGTTTCCTGCACAATTGATTTGAATCCACTGCACGGTCAATCCGATCTCTCATTAAAACCAGTTGAATACAATGAATTAGGCTTTTTTCTCTAGCTGTGTCTTGGCAGCCTAGAACAGTGGGTAAACTTGGTACCTTAGCAGTCGATTCCCAGAAATGAATGTGCTCCCCACCTCGGGTAGGGTAAGAGGGGAGAAAGGGATGGGTGTGAAGGCCTTCTGAGCTTGGGGAGGGGCAGGAAGGGACATGAAGACAGTGAGCAATGTGACCAAGGAGAATTGCACAGTGTAGGGAATTTGAAAAGTATTTGCATGGTTGCCCTGCTAAAGCAAGAAGGAACCCTGCTAACCTCATATATCAAAGGCAACATGTGTCTTATAAGCTTATATGGTGTAGTATGAAACACATCTTGCCCAGGGAAGGTGAGCAGGGCTCATTTGTTAAGTGAATGTCTGCGTGTGTCTGCAAGAGTCAGGACAAACCAAGCCTGTGGCACATGAAGGCAGGGCAACGTCACTTTGTCCCTTCAGTGGGAATAATCAACCTCTCACTGGATTGCTTTCCTCCTTTCGCTATTTTTGCTTCTTTCTGCCTTCCCAGCATCCTTCCCCTAGCCCTTCCTCCATAAGACTTCTCCAGTTCTTCCACAATTTTCCTCTTTCCCTACAAGCATTTATTTTTTCTTTTTATTTTTTGAGACTGAGTCTCGCTCTGGCCCCCAGGTTGGAGTGCAGTGGTGCGATCTTGGCTCACTACAACCTCTGCTTCCCAGGTTCAAGGGATTCTCCTGCCTCAGCCTCCCGAGTAGCTGGGACTACAGGCGCATGCCACCACACCCGGCTAACTTTTTGTGTTTTTCGTAGAGACGGGATTTCACCGTGTTAGCCAGGATGGTCTCAATCTCCTGACCTAATGATCCACCCACTCTGGCCTCCCAAAGTGCTGGGATTACAGGCGTGAGCCACCGCACCCGGCGAAGCATTTTTTTTTTAACTCAAAGAAAAAAGAAATAAAGGCAAGGCTAAAACTTTCAGTCCAAGGCAAGATGCTTTTTTGTTTCTTTCCTTCTATATTTGAAGTAGAAAAATAAGTCGACTCTCTATTTAGATCAATTCATTATAGTGAGCTCACAGTGCTTCAAAAAACGCAGTGACTTGACAATTTGTTGCCCAGGAGCCTAGGAAGAGAACTCACTAAATCAGCCAGCGAAGGGGCCCTGCCACTGCAGTTATGTGGCCTGTGAGGAAATAACAGAGCTCTTTGAGTTTCTAATTAATTTCTGGAGGGAGAAAGAGTAGAACAAAGTATTCCCTTGACTTCTTCTAGAAATAAGCAAGAGAACCAACCCAAGATGAAGGGGTCACCTCCTAATACTTTTTCCTGTTGATATCCACCTGGATTTTTCTTCCCACCCACCTAGATATCCACCCCCCCCACCCTGCCCACATTCTTTGATCCCCTCTGCTCCTGTGCAGGCAGTGGAAGGACCCAGGGCAGCTCTGATTTCACCAACTGCGTCTCCAGCATCCTAATAGCTTCCTGACCCATCTGTTAATTAGCCATTAAAAAAAGCCACACAGTTCCTCCCTCAGAATGATTCTCATCTCCAAGACACTAATGAATCAACTCAGGGTGAGGAGGAAGGAACAGGTTTGGATGTGAGACAGCTAGCACAAAAATGAATGTCAAAAAGGACCCAGGCTCCCAGGCGGTTTCCTGGGTGCAGCCCATGCCCTTGGCGGCCCTCCCAGAACAAAAAGCCCCTCAGGGGAGCTGTGCGGAAGTCAGTCAGGAAATAGCAAAATCTGTGGATGGCTGCAGCTTGAGCCTTAGCCCGGGCAGTTTGGAAGAAGGGAAAAGTGAAGTGGAGATCCTGGTAGGAATTGGGCTTCCGGTTGGGAAAGGCAGGCACGGCTGCCCTGGGGCTCTCTGGCCACATCCAGCACCCAGCTCTGCCTTTCAATCCTGTGCCCATCTCTTCCTCCTCCACGGAGTCCAGCTAGCTGAGTCGGACTTGGTACTCATCTATTAGAATCACAAGAGAGCTGACGGTTTCCCCCACAGACACTGATTTCTCACTCAGAAACACGATAGCAAGGTCTAATCACTTCTGGAAATGATGAAATATCTTCCTCCCTGAAGGAGTAGAGAGATGAAAGGAAGTCCTACCCTAAGGAATGTGTGTGCATGGGCAGGCGGAGGGCTGTCCAGCCTGGGAGCACTAAGGCAGATGCAGATGGCCCATCCGTTCCCTTCACCCCTGCTCACACTCCCATAAATGTCCCTCTCCAATGAGGCTGTTCTCACTGAAACTCCCTCAGACTCAGCCCCTGTCTGCCCACCTATCATCTTCAGGGGGAAGCACACACTGAAACCGGTTTGTCTTTCTTGTTCAGAAAGGAAACATCTTTGCTGAGCTATTTCAAGGAATATGTAACTGCATGCACATCCGCTTCCTCTCTTGACCTCTCGAGAGTGTACATTCTTTCTCCTCCCCACTTTCCCTAAGGAAAACTCATTACGGTGTGAATATTTCTCTGTCTCTATCACTCCCTCCTTTTCCCTACCTTGATTGCCCAACAAGACAGTCTACACAAAAATACTCCCCAGAATGGCAAACGGTGGTCTCTGAGGTGTGAGCAAAGTGAGAAGAGTGGTGTAGTCACACTCACCCCCAGGAGTCTGAGATCAACTTGCACACTCACCCTGACGTGCCCCGGAAGCAAGAAGCTGAGTTGGGACATTGTGCTTCAGTTACCCAGAACTGAAAAATAAGTTTCCCTGACCTGCCCAAGGTCATTCATGGAGTGTCGTAGATGGATCCCCCATGCCCTGTCCCCCTACCACACACAGACAGGCATTGTCCCCTACCCAACAGGCACGGATATGATGGTTTCCAAAGCACTGATCAGGCAAGACTGCAGCTGCTGGAAGAGAGGCTGTGAACTGAATAAAATCAGGTGGTGAACTTGAGGGGGAAACATCCCATATTTGCATAAAGCTCTGAGGCCTGAAATTCATCTCCCTTCCCGTGGTTACTCTGCTTCCCCAACCCCAGAGAGAAGCTGCCCCAATGCCGTAATCACCTTCACCCTAGTTTGGCGTAAGGGGCATCAGGGTGGTGGGAAGGGGAGAAAACACCAAGAGGGACAGTGACCTCTCCAGGGTCACGTGCCAATGCCAGCATCCAAAGATGCCTGCTGCCAGCATTTGAGGACACCGCCCTCTGTATCATCCCAGGCGATGACGAATAAACTGTGTGAGGTGGAAGGGTCAGGGCAGCAGGCAGTTTTCCCTGAGTACAGAGAACAATGGCTCAGAAAGAAAGTAACTTAAAGAAAGATGTGTAGGAATCAACGAGCAAGCGGCTGTGGTCAGAGCAGAAGGTTTAATGAGAGGCCAAGGCCACAGGGGAAGGGGAAGAGGAGACAAGCCTCCAAGTCTTGAGGCAGAGGTGTAAGGATGATAAGGACCAGCACATCTGCTTCAGGACAGCACCTGCCCACGGGCAATTCCTTCTTTTCTTTCCACACTGAGCCGAGACAGAAAATTCTTTGCCAGACAAGATGCAAAAGAAACTGTCTCTTGCCTTTATTTTGCTCACCGTCCCACTTGTCTTCTGCATTTGAGAGCCAAGACTGACCACAGGCTGTTTCTCACACAAGAGGATACTTACTGCACTATCTGAGACATGAGGTGCAAGTGGAAGACAGGGTGGAGGCACCTCAGGGTGACAGAGCCTTATAAAAGGGTCTCCTTTTGGAATCACTCCAATTCCAGCACGCGAGTTTGAGGTACCCACCCTTTGTGGATTTGACTCAATAAAACCTTCCAGGGAGTATCATTTCTCTCAACACCCACAGTATCAAGCAGAAAAAAAAAATCAGCTCTTTTAACATGCCTAGAAATTTCTATCTGCCTTTCTCTCTCTTCAGCAAGGCAGGGGTGATTAATGTGCACAGCAGCGAGGAAGGCGGTTTTCAGGTGGTAAGAATAACAAGCAGGACGCAGAGAAGAGCTCAAGGTGAATGGGTCAGTGTGGGGGCCTGCAGGACTGACTGACAAGCAGTGGTCTGGGGGGTGCTCATGGTGACTAGGGCAGTGCCCACACCATGCAACAGAAATGGAGGCATCTCCCGGGGCAGGGTTTGTTCCCTGAGAGGACTCTTGCACCATGTCCAGCCATCCATCAACATGAGGGGACAGGAAGCCGAGCTAACTCTGCATCCTCTGGGTGTGTCATTCCTAGAGTTCTAAGGGGAGGCTGGGTTTCTGTCATCCCCTTGGCTTTGACTTCCCCAAGGGCTCACTGGGGGGCAAGATGGTGCGTCGGGGCAGCATTCAGCGTGCAACCAGGGACTGCCATAGTTTGAGCTCTTGGCGTAAGTTTTGGTAGGAGGCAGCTCCCACTGTCTTTCGAACGTAAGCAGTGAAAGATGCCCCACCAGGTTTAACACAGGCGAGTACTGTTAACTCAGAGTTCTGCCTACAGGGTTTCAAAGAACGAGTCCTCTAGTCTCAGCAGGAAAGATAAACATCCCACTCCGCAGGATGCAATGAGGAGACACCATCTGTGCTTGGTCAACATGGAATGGAGAAATCTTTATCCCTACTTCCGGCAGGAGGCATCCTTTCTATAAAACCCCAATTCCTAATGTACGAGAACATCTCAGTTGACCCTAAGCCACTTGGTACCGCTTTCAGTAAGGTTCCAACATTGGTCAGTTTCCTATATTGAAGATGACACTCTGATTTGACTCAAAAAACTAAATGCCATTAAGAACCTACACCAAAGTGCCCTCATGCCAGGAAAGCAGAACCCTGGATCCTCATCCACGATTACAGAATTTGTAACATTCTTACACTTGGAACTTCATGCACTCAACCAATTCTTACTCTGCCTTGTAAATCCCCCTACCACCAAAGCATGCATTCCCGGTTCTGAAGAAATGGAGGAGGGGGCACAAGAAGACCCTGATTTATTGCATGCAAAAGGAGCGATGGTGGAAATGACTAGAGGGCCTGGGGAGGTGTGATGATGCCGAGAGTGAAGAGGACAGGGGAAGCAAGCTGAGAGGGTGAGGCCGCGGGGAGACCGGGGCGCGCGGCACGCGGCGCTCTCACCTGTGGATGTTCATCTCCCGTGGAGGGCGGTGGGCCTTGTCGTAGGAGACCTTGGCGAAGACGCCGGCCACGATGACGAAGGCGATCACCCCGCAGGTGATGTAGACGGTGAAGTTGGTCTTGTCCTTCTCCGGGTCGTACTTGTTCTCGGGCCCCGGCGACACCACCTTGGTGCTGGGCGTCTGTACCCACACCGGGCTCTGGTAGTTGGTGCACTGGCGCTGGTCCAGCTTCTCGTGGCGCTTCTTGCAGCAGAAGCGGTAGTAGCAGGTACCGCAGCAGTACAGGTAGCCGCTCTCGCTGTTGTTACACTCGAACTCCTTGTCGTACTGGCCGCTCACGTCGTAGTAGCCCCAGCACGTCTCGTAGGTGACGGCCGCGCTGGCCGCCGCCGCCACAGCCGCCGCGGGCTGCCCCCGCCGGCTTCCCGCCTCCGGGATTCCGGGCGCCCGGGCGGTGCCGTTCAGCTCGCGGCCGCCCCGTGCCAGGGCGCCCCCGGCCCTCCGGCCCCCGACGGCAGCGCCGCCTGCACTCAGGGTCCGGTTGGCGGCGCGGCCGCGGGCTCCGTGGACGCTGGGCAGCAGGTCCAGGGACTCCAGCGAGAGCAGCAGCAGCAGCAGGAGGCGCCGCAGCGCCATGGCGGGGCCGGGCGGGAGGGCGCGGGGAGGCTTCCGCGGCAGGCCGCTCCCCCGGCGGGCCGGGCTCGGAGGACCCGCCGCGCGGGCCGGGCTGGAGGCGCTGAGCGGTCAGCGGCTCCGGGGCGATGGCGCCATCGAGGCGCGGGCGGCAGTGGCGGCGGCGGCGCGCGGTGCGCACGGACCGGCCCGGCGCGGGCTGCTCGGGCTCTCAGGCTGCGCGCCGGCTCCGCGCTCCCCCTGCGGGCTCGGCGCGCCTCCTGGGCAGCCCCATCCCCCGCCGGCGGTGACTGCGGCCCCGCGCGCGGCTCGGCTCAGGCAGGACCCGAAGCGCGGCTCCGGGCGGCGGCGGCGGCGGCGGCGGCGTGGTCCCGTCCGGGCGGGTCCTGCGGGACAAGACGGGGAGCCGGTCACGGGGTGGGGCGACTGGCGCTCCGGGAGCAGGAGGAGAACCGCGGGCAGGCGGGCGGGGAGGGTGCGCGCAGCCCTCGAGGAGAGAGACTCGGAGCCGGGAGGGGCGTAGAGCCCGCTCCCAAGACGGGGTCCCGCGGCCCTGCGCGCCTGGAACCGAGAGCGCACGGGCCGCCCCTCCAGGCGCAGCTCGGCCGCCCGGGTCCCCCAGCCGCCCGGCCCCGCAGCGCGCTCCCGCCGCAGGCTGGCTCCCTGGGACGGAGCCGGTTGAGGCTGGGGTCCGGCGGCGAGCCGGGAGAGCGCGCGGCGGCTGGACCTCACTCACTCACCATGCCCGGCTGCGACTGCAGAGGCGGCGGCGGCGGCGGCGGCGGCGGCGGCGGGGCGAGGCGGGAACGCAGCTGCCGGAGCGAGCGAGCGGAGAGCCGCCGGCTCGCCGCCTGCACTAGTGCCGGAACGTGTGCGAGAGTGAGCGAGGGAGACACACGCACTCACACACCCGCACACACGGGAGCGCCGCGAGGGGAGGGGGGACAGGGGAGGGGAGGGCAGCCGCTCTCCGCCACCCACGTTTGCACGCCCGGGCGCTCAGGGTGCGGGGCGGGGGGGACTCCTTTTCGCTTCTTCCGGATCGCAGCAGTTGAAGCTCCGCGTCACGAAAGCTCCGGACAGCAGTTATTCGACACGGCGAACCCGGCGGGCGAAGAGGGGGCCGGGAGCAGGGCGGAACGTCCGCTCTGCAGCCGGCCCGCGGCAGGGACTGACCTCCCCTGCCATTGCCTTCTCTAGCCTTCGCGACCAGTCCCCACCCTACCGGAGCCCGGGGCAGCGCGCTGCCTGAGCGGGAGTTGGGGTTTCTGCAAGCCTTTGCCTCTCCCTAGTGGTGATACTCGCAGCCAGGAGAAGAGGTCAAACCCATTGCTACAGGTTCCCAAACTGAGTCCAGGGGTCAAGTGGCTTGTCTGAGGCTGTTGGGCGACCCGTGAGCTGAGCCTACACTCTCTTCCCCTTGGTCACTCTTTCCCCAACCCCGTACCCACTACGCATAAAGGCGCTAGACAGCCCCAGGACTGGATGGCAACTCTTTGCTATACTTTTTTTTTTCCCCGCGGAGCCTCGAGGCCATTAGAAAGCTATCTGAACCTCTGAGACTCAGCTTTGTAACCCCTGTGTTGAAATCTCTGTGCTGCAGCTCCTATGGGAGGTGAGGAGGATGGGGGTGCAGGGCGGGGGTGCTTTCCGGGGTAGTTGCGTGTCTGGGTCTGTGGAAAGGAGGCCTGAGTCTAACTTTCACAGCTACGAGGCCATCCCAAAAGAGAATCATAGTACCATCCTTGGCGTGTGTCCTTGGAGGAGGTAGGGGGAACTGAGAACAAAAAGCGATGGCCAAGGCCAAGATTCTGCCTGCGTGACCAGCGTGCTTTGGTTGAAGGCAGGGAACTGAAGGCAGGGAACAGGCTGTCAGAGCGAGGGCGGTAGAGAATTTTCCCTGAGACTTTCTGTTCAGTCCCACTCATGTGTGACCTAAACAAGGGATCCCTATCCAGGAACAGAAGAGTTCCTCTTTTGGGAACCGTGGAATGGATATATTAGAGCTCGAACTCAGACTCCAAGACACAAGAGGGAGATCCTGATATTGACTAGGGGGTGGGGTGGGGGGCGGTGCACAGACTATCCCCGCAGCTCCCCACTTGCTACTGTCTCCATTCCCTCCCTCTTCCTCTGCACTTCCTCCCGTTCCCTTAACTTCTCAGTTGCCACCTTCTTCTTAAAGATTCTGTCCAACAAACATTTGTTTAGTGCCTACTCCCTGCCAGCAGAATGAATAAGAGAGTCCCTTTCCTCAAGGAGGGGGACCTTGTAGACCATTAGGGAGACAGATAAACAAATGATTTCCACATGGCAAGGTTACGTCTCATGATAAAGGCGGGCAGGGTGCTCTGAGAGCAGAAGACAGGCACCCAGCCTAGGCCTGCAAGGGGACAGATGGGGGTCAAATGTAGCTTTCTCAATGAGGTAGAGCAGAATCTTGAAGAATGGATTACGAGTTAATACAGCAAGCAAGAGGGGAAGGAGGCTCCCAGCAGAGGGAACATCCTTAGCAGAACCAGAAAGACAGGAAGTGGTTAAGGTGTGTGAGCAGGGATGCAAGCAGTTTAGCGTGAACCCTGAGGGAGTCTTCCAAATAAGGCTAGCAGGAGGGTATTGAATCCTCCCTTGCAAAGAACTTGAATTTATTCTACAATTGCTGGGGAACTGTTGGTGGGTTTTAATCAGGAGAAGACACTGTCAGTTTTACATGTTTGCTGGATCTCTGAGTCAAATGGAGTAGGGAACACTGGACTGGACGCAGGAAAAGCAATTTGGAAGCTGTCCTGATAATACAGGTAAAAAATGATGAAGGGATGCAGTAGATTACTGGGAGTTGATGCCCACAGTGGAAATAAGCATGGCTGAAAAAGCAGGTTCAGGACAGAGTTAGCAATAGTCGTGTTGTGGTTCCTTTGAGAGAACTAAGTGGAGCTGTCCTGCACAAGAATTGCAAGCTCAGAAGAGAAGATAAGACAGGCATATACATTTGGGAATCATAAGAACATATTTGAAGACAACAGCCTTATATATTTACCTTTACACTCTGTGCAATTTCTAAGCTATTCCCTTCTTTGTCTCTTCCATGAGCCTTCACCATCCCTTCATTATTCCAGAATTTGCTTTTCCATGTCTGAGAGCCCCTTAATGATGGATAGGAGAAATGTGTCCTCCTCACATCAGACTCTAATGATTTGTTCAGCGGCATTAAGTAGGGGAAACTGATTTGGTTTCTCAGACCACCACCACCTATAAATGTATCCTGAACCCCTGTGCTCATAAGTGGTGGCATCAACACTCATGGAAATAATAGCATCTCAGGGTTGTGTAAGATCTTAGGGGTTATATATCCCAACTCTTGCTGCAGTACACTGTATTTCTTATTGACATTTCCAGCCCTCCTGGTTTGCCCTTTGTAGTAGAAAAGGTTGCTTGGTTACCACCATACATTTCTCTTTTCTCCTTCTAGTTTGAGCGCCTGAATTGTTGACAGTATTAAAGTGCTCTTTCTTTGTGGATTTGACTCAATAAAAAGTACCAGAGAAGAATCATCTCTTCCAACACCTCCACCAACTTCAGACAGTCCTGAGGTTCAGGGGAGAGTGACCCAGTCCCTGGTTGTAGAAGGCAAATGAAGGCAAATGCTGATTGGGTTGAGCTAGACATAATAAATCTTTTTCCCCTTCACAGGGATTAAGAAGGGACATATGATCCAGTTCTAGCCAATACTAAGTGAGAGAAGTTTGCAGGGGGTTTCTGGGGAAATTTTCTTGCTCTTAAAAATAGTGATAATTCCTTCTTCTTCTTCTTCTTCTTCTTCTTCTTCTTCTTCTTCTTCTTCTTCTTCTTCCTCTTCTTCTTCTTTTCTCTTCTTCTTTTCTTCTTCTTTCTTCTTCTTTCTTCTTCTTTCTTCTCCTCCTTCTCCTTCTCCTCCTTCTCCTTCTCTTCTTCTCCTTCTTCTCCTTCTCCTTCTCCTTCCTTCTTTCTTCTTTCTTCTTCTTTTTTTGGTGTTATTTCTCTGGATGTTGTTACCTTGGGGTTGGGGCACCAGCTAAGAGTTGAAGTTGATCTTCTTTTCTTTTTTTTCTTGAGACAAGGTCTTACTCTGTTGCTCAGGCTGGAATGCAGTGGCGTGATCTCAGCTCACTGCAACCTCCGTCTCCCAGGTTCAGGCGATTCTCTTGCCTCAGCCTCCCTAGTAGCTGGGATTACAGACACCAGCCACCGAGCCTGGCTAAGTTTTGCATTTTTAGTAGAGACTGGGTTTCACCATATTGGCTAGGCTGGTCTTGAACTCCTGATCTCAGGTGATCCACCCGCCTTGGCCTCCCAAAGTGTTGGGATTACAGGCTTGAGCCACCGCATCCGGCCTCAATTTTATAGTTGTTAGCACTGCTTACCAAATATCTCTGCCTCCCAGGCATGTAGTAGAATTGCAATTCCTAGCCCACTTGTGAGTAGGAGGGGAAAGTGACTAGTATCAGTCAATGAGTTGTGAGCAGAAATGATGTGTGTTATTTTTGAAACAGAGCATCTAATTGCTGCTGCAAGACACTCTAGAATTTTCATTTTCTTCTGGCATGGTGATCAGCGATGTTCTATATGGGAGTGGTTTTTGTCAGTGTGAGTACTTAGGTGACTATAGTGAGGAATGCCTGATAGCTAATAAAAATAGTGTCCCACGATGGGCATGTAGCATGAGTAAATATAGATCAATAGATAGATAGATAGTACATAGAGATATAAATATAAAAAAAATAAATATTTCTATCTATAAATATCTATCTATATCTCTATCTATTAATATCTATCCATCTCTCTATGTATCTGCTTTTTAAAGCCACTGGAATTGAGGCCTATTATTGCAGCGTATCCTAGCCCACCCTGACTGATACACTGAGGGTGCCAGCTGAAAAGATGGACAGAACATCATTGGGCCACTCAAAGAGGTATGCTCAGGGCCTTCCCATCTCTGGTCTTCCAGTAACGTGAGATAATTAAGTTTCCTTTTATTGAAGCCTGTCTGAATCCAAAGTTTCTCTTTCATGTAGCCAATGGCATCCTAATAAATACATCATGCATTGTCTGTCTCGGTTCTGAATTTCTCTAGGGCTTCTACCTAGCTATGCAATTTTGAACTAATCCTATAACTTCCATGGGGTTCAGTTCACTCCTCTATAAATGAGCAGCTAAGTGAAGGGAGTACCTCTAAGAAGTTACCTCTATTGCCACTTCACAGTGTGTCTTTACCATGAACCTCAAGTATGAACTTGGGCCATGGCCTGGCATGACCTGCTCGCCTGCTGTCCTTCTAAGCTCATCTCCTGCCACTCTCCGCATACTCCCTCCCCTCAGCTATGCTGGTGTCCTTGTGTTCCTCAAGGCCTTGGTATTTGCTGTGCTCTCTGTCTGGAGATCTTATCCCCAAATGTATGTAGAGTTATTTCTCTCACTTCTGTAGATTTCTACTTAAGAATCACTGATGAAAATAGCACAACCATCATACCACTACCCACCATTTCCTCTTCCATCGTGTTCTACCTTCACCTTATCATGATGAATTTTCCAGCATGGCATTTATCTCTAACTCATACACATTCATTCAGGCATTTAAAAATTCTATTCTGTTCTTCTACTAGAATGCTCAGTCTTGCTTGAATTTTGTGTCTGTTGTGTTGATTGCTGTATTCTGAATGCCTGGAACAGTGCTTTGGTGGACGTGGAAGGACTTGTCTCCAACTGTCAGCTCCTTTAGGGTCTGTCTCAGCTGCAGAAAGTTGCCTCCCCTGGAACCATAGTCTTCCTTCCCCAGGGGGCCCACATCCAGTGACTAATCAAATTCAAGGTATCAAGGTCCAGCCATTTCAGTCTAACACAATAATAAGATGGGCACTATTTCCTCTGAAGTTCTAGAGCACCCTAGGGTCAAGGCTTTGCTGGACCTGTATCGCATCTGTCCAATCTTGCTTCCTTCCCCATTTCCATTGGTGATGACCCTTAAAGAATAGTTTGCATGCTACATTTCGTCTCAGTATCTGCTGGGAGAGATCTGAGCCTGCACCATAGGCATTCAGTATATATATGTTGAATGAATAAGTGAATGAATGAATGAGTCCATGAGCCCCAGGTTCCCACCATGGCATCCCTATACATGATTATATGGCTTTTGGTTTATCATATCTAGTCACAGTTAGAAACTATCTCCTAAGGCCACTGAATCCAATATTAAATAATTCTAATAGATAGAAAATTAGAGTACATTAGCTTTTGTTAATGTTGCTGATAGGCAAATCAATTTAGTGGCTCATACTGAGCTTATAGTTGACTAGAGTATTTTTCATATTAGGATGACTTTTTGCATTCATGTGAAACACTTCATACATATTTTAGTTTATTTTACAAATTCAAGCCCATTAGTCCAGCCTTTTAAGCATTTTGGGAATGTGTCATCCAAGATGCTATTTCTATCAATATGGTAGACATGTATTCTACCCTGCTTCCCAACAGTCTTTCCCCTTCCTTCCAGCCACAGTCCCTGATCGTTGGTCAGAGATTTACCATCCATTCTCATTCCATGGGGTCTTCATGGGGTTTCATATGACCCAGATTTGAGCCAAACAACCATCTTAATTGTTTAACCTGGACATTCAGAGCAAACCAGTGGCAGAAACCCATCCAGTCAGATGAGCCCCAGGACTTGTGTGGACAGGACTGAGAAAGATGATAACTCTCTCCCCTGGGAAGAGGCAAGAATGGCACTGTGCCAGCTGTCTTACCCTATGAATGGTGGGCCCAGTGTTATTGGGAACCCCACAAAAAGCCCAAGAAAGGATCCAGGATGACACTAGGCTAAGGCAAGAGGAGAGAAACCCAGTCCTGTTAGCATCAGGGGAACCTTGAATCTAGCTTCATCTGAAGTCTGCCTATATCTCTACTTCTCTGTGATGTGAGCCAATACATCCATACTTTAATTAAGCTCCTATTCACCAGAGTTTCCATCTGTAGCCAAAAGTGTCCTAACTGAAACAATCAACCTCACGGTTAATAAAGTGCAAGAGTTTAAGCTAGAAGAAGTAGTTCCCCCCAACCCCCCGCATGACCCCACATGTCCCTTGCTCCTGTTCATAGCAGGTGAGGGCTGGAGCTGAGGATGGAAGGAGCAGCACAGGTCAACACGTGAGAGATGTGACAAGTGGCCATTCCTAGCTGATGTCATCAAGGTGCCTCTAAACATAGGATTTAGGCCAAGCACCTCTAGATCTCCAAAAGCAGTTGGGAGAAGATGCAGATATAGGTGAGTCCATTCTTGGCATGAAAACCCACATCAGGATGTGACAAAGTCGGAGAAATGACCAGCTGTTAAGATTATTCCAAAGGTACAATCAAGCATACCAGACACAGGGTCCAAAGAGCACATCAGTCTTAACCATAGTTTTGAAAATTATCAGAAACATAGTATCATTTCCAATGGGAAGAATACTATAGACAGAAAAGATTTGGAAATCTAGGCAATTATCAATAGAACCAGCACAGTGCATGGTTGTACTCTGGGCAGTTGTACTCTGCCACCAAGCACGGTCAGAGCAAGCCCCCAGTTGTGGTGGAGACATGGAGTGTTGGCAGTGTGATGACAGAGAGCTGAGATCTGGGACCTAGACAGAAGCCTTGTCCAAAAGATTAAGTCAATGTTGCAGAGGGGAGTGGAGAGCTTCAACTTGGACATTGGTTCCCTTGTGTGATTGACAGCAAAGGAGACTTGAAGAGTAACATGGGGCCAGAAGCCATAGTCAATTATATACCAAAGATTGAGAGCAGGACACCTCAAGCCACTGCCAGACTTTCTATCTCAGACAGATCCTGTAGATGTACTCAGTTGTATGGCATGGGGAAAACAGCTTTAGGAAGGGTGGGAGCACAGGTGAGGTCAGGGGAACAAACAGCATCCTTGTGGTGGATTAATCATGGTCTCCTCCCAACAAGAGGTGAAGGCTGTTTGTCTTCTCTTTGAGTCTAGGCTGGGCCTTGTGACTTGCTTGACTAATAGAATGTAGCAGAAGTGATGCTGTGCCAGATCCAGGTCTACCCCTTCTAGGAGTGGGCCTCTGCCCCTAGAGGCCTGGTGACTTCTGCTTTTGCATTCCTGGGTTCTAGCTACCCTATAAGGAGCTTGGGTTACCTAGAAAGACGAAGGTTGGCAGGCCTCATGAGAAGAGATCTTGGAAAAGGAGACATCATCTTGAGCATCTTGTTCCCAACCAAACTCCTGAGTAAAAGCAGCATGAGATTTAGGCCAGTGTGAGCAGAAGAACCATTCAGCTAAGCCCCAGCCAAATCACAGAATCATGAGAAGTAATAGATCATTGTCATTTTAGATGTTTTAAGCAATCAATGTGTTATAATGATTTGTTACAATACAATAGATAGCTGAAACAAACCACATATCATAGCATAGACTCTAGACAGAAATGTACCATATTGTATTGATGGCAACTTCTGACCACAAAGATGTCTGAGGCTATTTTTGGTTAACTATATTAACCAAGAACTGTAATATAGTTTTGGTTAACTATATTAGCTTCATAGCATTATCCAAACAAAGTACCACAAACTGAAAGCCTTAAACAACCGAACTTATTGTCTTACAGTTCTGGATACTGGTAGTCCAAAATTAGGGTGCTGGCACAGTTGGTTCCTTCTGAAGGCTGTGAGGGAGAATCTGTTCCAGGCGTCTCTTCTTGGCTTCTAGATGGCTGGCTTCATGTCCAAATGGCATTCTCCCTGTGTGTCTGTCTCCAAATTCCCTTCTTTTTATAAGAACATAGTCTTATTGGATTAGGGCCACCCTAATGGCTGCATTTTACCTCGATTACCTCGATGAATACCCTATCTTTAAATAAAATCACATTCTGGGGTGCTAGGGGTTAGGACTTCAACATATTAATTTTTTGTAGAGGGACACAATTCAACCCATAATGTCTGCTAAGTGGAGTGGTTGTGTGATCTCTATAAAATATTATGCAAACTTACATGCCAATCAAGAGGAAAGGAGGAGGGGTCACATTTGTCACTGTCTCTCACTGAGAAGAAGTTAGAGAATTCCAACTTAGGTTATCCCGGAGATGATCATTCTATTCCATGCCCTTTTCAAGACTCAACACACTTTGCTCTTGTGAGCTGAGAGAGATTCCAAATAGGAAGCCTAGGAAAGGGAATGTCTCTCCCTGGCATTCTCTACCTAGTGATGGAGTTACAGGAAGTTTGCATCATGCATAATTAGAACTCTGGAATTGTGGCATTTCAGAATTGGATGGGTGCAGAAAAATTCACATCCTCTGGACTCTTTTTCTGTAACTAGTCAGCCATACACGTGAAGGCAAGGATGACCTCAAATTATCTCTAGAACTAGCCTGGCCTAGAATTAACTCATCTCTTCATCAATGTATTCATTCCTTTTTATTTATTTTGTCAATCAGTTAGTCAGGCCCCCACTATGTGCTAGTCATTATGTAGATGCTAAAATGCAAACATAAACAAATTATGCTTTCTGATTTGCAATATGGAATACTATTTAGGGCCTCATGGAACTGTCTCCCTCTACCACACCCCAGAGATTGGGAGTAAAAAGCATCTCTCTTCAGAGAGAAATGTTTTTTCCCTCCTTGCTGAATGTCCAGCTGCTCCCTGGGATATGGATTCTTTCCATTAGGTCATGAACTACACTACCAGGAGGACAGGTTTGCAGATTCAATCCACTTCGGGAGACATTCTGGAAACTCAATTGAAGGTTCTAGTATGTGGGCCACGTGTTAACTCAATGTCTTAGCAACTTGTTGAAAAATATCACTCCTTAAAAGGGGCTGTTTTCCTATTGTGGTCACATAGGACTATCAAATGTGGTTTTCTTCACATCTGATGCAGCAGCATTAATAGCAATGATTGTTGAGTATCTGTGCACTTTTATACTTTTAACTTCAGAATTTATGATCCTACTGCTTGGAACTGATCTGGTTATCAACTGACTATCTTAAGAGTAAGATTGTATTACATCATCAAATGATTGAAAGTTTTGTGGGGTTTTCTTTTCCCTTCCTGACATATATAAAGCAGTTCTGCATCCCCAAACATGTGTTGAGTCACAAACAACTAATTTTAGTTGTGTGTTTCCTGGACAAGCTTGGACTGAATCACTTTCAACTGACACATTTAGCTGGGTCTACAGAATGTGATTTCTCTGCATAATATTGCAGTCATTCCTTGTGACTAGAACAATGTTAAATACTACAGCTCTCCCCTCCTGTGCCCATGCCAGACATCACTAATCAATTGTGGAACCCTTTCCCACTGAGACCAGTCGGAGCCCCAGAAAGCCCCTCAACACCCAAAGCTCCAAATAACCAGCAGGCCTTAACTATGGTTGAAATTAGCATAAGGAATAAATCCTATTTGCCTAACAGCCCTGTGAGAGGTGACAGTCAGAACAGTTCAAGCATAGTTCTATTACTTTATGTAGACATGGTTTTAGAATTCTGTTCCAATTATGCAGGTTTATTGCCCCAAACTGAAACATTTGTGAAATGAAGGTGAGACTACAAGGGGCACGAATATCACCGGTTATTACATGCTTTTTACCGAAAGACATCACTTCTTTACAACTAGAATAAATGCACACTGGGGTTAGCTTTTCCTGAGAAAGGTACTAATGAAGAGTGTGCAGATGAATGCCAAAGATAATCATGCAGCCACTCCCAGATATTCACGTGCAGATTATATACATCACCAATACATTTTCTCTTTGGTTGGAATTTATTGAAATTTTATTTAAAACCACCATGAATTAACCTATAAAAATACATTTCCCTATTAAAATAGGAGGCCTGTTGTGAGTGCATTACACATAGATGTGACATTTTCTTGGCTTATAGTTTATATTAACTAGTGTTCTATGTTAATATAAACTGTTTCTCATACCTCTGTTTCCTACCTTTCGATGATGGCTCTTGTGTCTAGTATCATTTAGATCACCTTGAATGCTCTTTCTGACTTTTACGAAGTTAAGCCCACCATAGACAGTAGTATCTTTGGGAGAATAGGTTGTATATGATTTTTTTTAATTTTTTTTTTTGTCCTTTAAAGGAAAAAGAAAATGAGTTGACTAATTAGATCTATCCCACTTATCTAATCCAATTGACTGGGCACAAATTGGTCATTAATACAGACAAATGCATGAACAGAAATTCTTGATTCTGTGTCAGGTAGACACGATCTAGATGGACCACCTGTTGGTTGAGTGCCAAGCTAAGTGCCAACCACTGGAACAGAAAAATGTCATCATTAAAATAGCCAAGGTAACGCTGCTGAAAAAGGCCAATTTTCTTATTGTTAAGCACCATCAAATTTCAAAATTACTAATTTGATCTTGGCATTACTGCAGTGGACAGACATCCAACCTGATATCCTGTACCCTGATCAAGACATTACATAACCACATGGGCAGACACAGCCAGTACTGAGGTGAGGCGTGTGAGAGACAGGTACCAATTAAAGGAGGGAGTATTGGCCCAAAGATGCTTGAAAATGGAATTTCTAGAGAACTTGAGAACCTTTTTTTTTACCTTTGCTTGAAGTTCTAGTTTTCCAATTTATTTTGCAAATCCTGCCTCAGCATCTGATAGTGCCTGCTCATTTCACACTGCTGTCCATTACACCCCAGCCCCCTGACCCAAGTCCACCTCCTAGAAGTTCAGTCTTAAGGACAGAAAAGGAATTCCCTGCAAACCCTCTATTCAGGAGGAATCCCCTACTGGCAAGTGCACACCAGGGGCTAAAGGGCAAGGTCATGGTGGCATTGGTGTGGCGGAGGCAGCTATGGGGTTGTGGACAGTCACAGGTCGCAGAGAGAAACTGGGACTGGGATAATCCTGAGCTTACATTAGAGTTGTACTCAGGCCATTTAGAATGGACGCAAACTCAGTGAAGCTCACACGTGGAGAATGAAGCAGAGAACTCATTTGCAGCCAGGCAGTCAGCCCAGACAGGTTACACAGGAGAAGGAGGTCAAGACAGGGCATTGAATTAAACCCGGCAGACTGGAAGCCTCAGGGCAGGAAAGGTGATGCCTCAATGTCCATCCAGCAGTTGGGAATAAGGATGCTCATGAGAACTGACAGGCAGGGCAAGGCATTATCTCTGGGTCCAGTCACAGTGACAGGAACCCTGGCCAAGAAATGGCTCACAAGCTCTCGGCATGAGCTGGTCTTTATTGTAAAGCATGGGTTCTCCAGGGCTTGCAGATACAAATAGCTACAGATGCCACTAATGTGTGGGACACATCCCACCAGGCCAAGTGTGAGAAGAGTCTGTGCCCACTTGGCATCTGTTTGCCTGTTTGGTAGGCCACGCTCTATTCCTCCACCTCTGCTTCTATCCCAAGCCCCTCGTTAGGCCCCCCACCCACCCCTGAACAGATTTCTTAAATCAGCACAGCGTGTTGGCTGCACAGGTGCCATGATTCAGATGGCTCATTGACCGTTATTTATATTCCCTTCACTACACACTTCCTCCCATCACTTTGGTTTGATATCTTCTTAGATTGTTGTTTTTTTTTTTCATCTACATTTTCCCATTTTTTTTTCATATTTCCCCCCAGGACATGTTTTAACACATTTAATTTCGGGATAAGCCATCCCTTCTGAGAGACCATATATTTCAGGAGAAGAAACAAAATTTGGAAAAGAACCAAAGGAACTTGGTTTTAATTCTCATCTTCTCAGTGCTTAATATTCCATCTTAGAATTTTTTTTTTTTTTTTTTTGGAGACAGGTTCTCACTCTGTTACTCCAGCTTGAGTGCAGTGACACAATCCTAGTTCACTGTAAGTAATCCTCCCAACTCAGCCTCCTGAGTAGCTAGGACTACAGGCATGTGTCACCCTGCCCAGCTAATTTTTTTGTATTTTTTGTAGAGACGGGCTTTCACCATGTTGCCCAGGCTGGTCTCGAACTCGTGGGCTCAAGTGAGCCACCCACCTTGGCCTGGCAAAGTGCTGGGATTACAGGGGTAAGCCACCGCACCCAGCCCATTTCAGAATTTCTTTATTTCTTGCCCTATTGCCGTTATAGAGATTGAATAGCATAGAACAGTGGTTCTTAGCCTGGGGCTGATGGTAAACCTCTTGAAATTATGAGCAAAATTGTGTGTCTCTCCGGGTGTACCTGCCATTTTCAGGAGACATTTCATCAGACAATCAAGTGAATTCAGATCCCAAAAGAAAATATGTAAACATTCATATCAGACAAAAACCTTAAGAATTAAATCTGGAAGACCTTTATTTCAGTCTTGAAGCTTAAAAAGTAGTCTTAAAGCTACTTTTTTTCTTTTTTTACCAGCTCAGGGATTAGTCCATGATATTCTGTACTGCAGTTTCCTTTCTTGTAAAATAGGGAATGTAACACTAGCCTTTCATACAACACTAGGTTGTGAAGATCTGATGACATCATGAATGTGAAAGCATTTTGGAAACCCACAAGTTTAATAAAAGGTGTTGTCATTCTTATTTTGCCAAATCTCTCATTTACATAAAAACAGAAGGGCTGGATCAAAAGTCAAACCAAACCCGTTCTAGCAGCAAGGGATGTGCTGTTATAGGAGCACAGTGCATGTCCTCTGTAATATTAAAATATGACCAAATATCTCATTAGCGTTGCATGCAAATACAAAGGGAACAGGGGCATAAAGGGCATGGTGGCAGTTATGCAATTTATTATCTCAATTATCTAGATATTTGGATAAATGCAGTTATAAATTCTTGCTTTATCATTTCCGTCTGGATATTACTCTCCCTTTTGGTGCATAAAAGTTAAGGAAGGTACAGCTCTCGTATGAACAGCTCTCTGGTGGAGAACAACTGTTCTAGGAGGTTTCAGCAATTAGCTCTCTGTGGCATTGACTTTGTTACTAGCTCCAGCGACAGCCAGCTCCAAGTAAAGGAAGGAATGGTTCAATATTTTTCCTCCAACAGAGAAGGGCTTCGACTTAAGTGGAGCTCCGGATGATTTTGGCAACTAAGTCCAGTGTGATTCAAGCTAGCAAATTAAACAACAAGACAAATCAAAAGAGGCTGGAGTAAAGAATCCAGAAGAGCAAGGTTACACTTTACTACCAAGAGAGTAACACCTTTTAATTGGTTAACACCACAAATAAAGAGGTGGTGGCCTTTCTAGCTGGCTTCTGATTTGCTCCCGCATTAAATGGGTTTAAGAAAACAAAATCCTTTCCTTGCTTACTTTAGAAGCTGTGATTTTAACTAGGAAACAAAGGGGCACACAGGAAAAAGTCAGAGACAAAACGGGAAACAGAAGGGAACTTCTAAGTGGGTCAGAACTGAATGTTTTAGAAAATCCCCTTAAAAGCAGATATAATTAAGTGAAAATAACTTTATGAATTCAACATTAAGAGGAAAACTTCAGTCTTATGGGAGGTCAAGAAAAGAAAAGCCACATTGTGTAGCATGCACATGGGGGGTTGTGGATTTCGGAGGATCATTTAATTTCAAATACTATGTCCCTCAACTTCACGGATCCTTCCCCCATAGTGGCTTTTTTCCTTCTTCGGCTCAGTCATCCCACTCTGTCAACAAGGCTGGAACAAATAAATTGGATAGCCAAAACTATTGCTTTCACTTCTAAAAGAGACTACCCGGCATTATAGGCATTTAGAACAGCATCAAATTTTAAAAGTGCAGCTGTGATCGTTATACATTTTTACAATGTCAGCATGGTGATCGAGGTGGTTTCTTGGCTCTGTGAGGGCAACTGTAAGGGTTTCCTTTTCTGTCTGGACCCAGTTTCATGTAGTAGTTCACATTTATGGTGGCAAGCAATGCTACTGATACACCGTTTGTTTGTTTTTTGTTTGTTTGTTTGTTTTTCTTGAGACGGAGTCTCGCTCTGT
The DNA here is from genome assembly GCF_000001405.40 of Homo sapiens. Classification (NCBI taxonomy): domain Eukaryota; kingdom Metazoa; phylum Chordata; class Mammalia; order Primates; family Hominidae; genus Homo; species Homo sapiens. Next base: position 11,226,476 of record NC_000017.11, on the reverse strand, counting down.
CGCCCAAGCTGGAGTGCCGTGGTGGAATTTCGGCTCACTGCAAGCTCTGCCTCCCGGGTTCACGCCATTCTCCTGCCTCAGCCTTCCAAGTAGCTGGGACTACAGGCGCCCACCACCACACCCGGCTAATTTTTTTTTTTTTTTTTTTTTTTTGTATTTTTAGTAGAGACGGGGTTTCACCGTGTTAGCCAGGATGGTCTCGATCTCCTGACCTCGTGATCCACCTGTCTCGGCCTCCCAAAGTGCTGGATTACAGGCGTGAGCCACCACGCCCGGCCGATACACCGTTATTAACTAGAGTCCACACTTCAGCCTGATGTCCTTAGTTTTGCCTAGTGTCCTTTTTCTGTTCCAAGACCCCCTCCAGGATCCCACGTTACATTTCATCATCATTTCCCCCCTTAGGCATCTCCAGACTGTGACAGTTTCAGACTTTTCTCGTTTTTGACGACCTTGACATTGTTGAAGGGTGCTCGTCAGATATTTCATAGAATGCCCTTCCATTTGCGTTTGTTTGATTTTTTTCTCATGGTTAGGCAGGAGTTATGGGTTTGGGGGTGGAACCACCACTGAGGTGAAATGCCACTCATATCAAGGATGCATGCTATTAACATGATTTATGCATAATACTGTTAGCCTGGATCACCCTGGGGAGGTCGTGTTTGTCAGATTTCTCCACTGCAAAGTTTCCTTTTGCTTCCTGTCTTCATGCCATCCTCTTTGTAGGGAGTCACCTTAAGGGGGTATAGCTACATCAAGTATTTAGAATTCTGTATAGGATATTTGTTTCTTCTTCCTTATTAATTTATACCTTCAATCATTTATTTATACCAGCATAGACTTATGGGTATTTATACTTCAGGTGTAATTCAATACTATATTGACTAAGCATGGTGGCTCACATCTGTAATCCCAGCACTTCAGGAGGCTGAGACGGGAAGATTGCTTGAGCCCAGGAGTTCAAGATCAGCCTAGACAACATAGTGAGACCCCATCTCTACATAAAAATTTAAAAAACTAGCCCGGTGTGGTGGCATGCATCTGTAGTCCCAGCTACTCAGGAGGCTGAGGCAGGAGGATGGCTTGAGACCAGGAGATGAGATTACAGTCAGCTATGATCGTGACACTGCACTCCAGCCTGGGCAACAGAGTGAGACTCTGTCTCTAAAACTAAAACTAAAATGCCACATTATTCATTGTCTTGCTCAAATCGTTCCCTCTTTGCCCATCGGGAGCTCTGTTAGTTGTCCCTTGTGTCCATTTGATTTCCCAGTTGGGAATTTTTGTTGTTTTGATTTATTTTTGAGCACTTCCTTACTTTTCAGCACTATAAGACCTTCTAGATTCTTCTTGTATGTTTCCTGCCCCAGCCCTGGACTCAGCCATTTCTCCAAGGACCCCACGTTCTTTTTATTGGAGAATAGTATTACTTCTCTTTTTTTTAAATTTTCCATTTATACCACTTCCCTCCAATCTCTCTATTGCCACCCTAACCTTAGGAACCCAATTATTTCACTCTGATTCTCTAGTATTCCTTTTAGTGTCTTAAAAGTCTGCTGCTAAGATTGAAGCTCTTCATCACATTTAGAGCCCTTTCTTTAATATCTCTCGCTTTTCTTTCATATGTCTACTGAAAGACACATTGTTCCTATAGTGTCCACAGTAAGTTGAAAAGAAGGGAACACAGAGGATACTAAGAGAAGAAGTGAGTTCAAGCTATCTCTTGTGTGGCGTATTATTTTTAATTAATGTTGCCGCCATTTTCTCACTTTCCCAGCCAAATCAATGCAACAAGAATTGTGTTGTCATCTGCAGCAGCAAATAGAGAGAAAAGGTAGCTTAAAGGGAGGGGGTGACTGCTCCCCACTCCCAATCTGGGTGCACTTTGGAGCAATTCACACTTCACATGCAGATCGTCAGAGTGTGGCAAGTCTATGAGTTGGAACCTGATTGCCACAGGAACATTTTTCCTCCATGGCTGGCAGAGATTCCTACTTTCCGCCATGCTCAGAGCCATGGAAGAAGATTCTTCTTGATGAGTTCCCTGCAGTTGCCCACAGGAGCACCTTAAGGGAAGCACTGGGGTAATAATATTGAGCAGAGCACCCAGTCCCAATATTTTGCTGTTCATTTCCAGAAAGAACAGGCATCCTGGCCGAGGGGCAGAGTCCACTCCGTTCTGTTTTTTGTAGTTTATTTGTTTGTTTGTGTTCGAGATGGAGTCTCGCTGCTCTGTCGCCCAGGCTGGAGTGCAGCGGCTCGATCTCTGCTCACTGCAAGCTCCGCCTCCCGGGTTCACGCCATTCTCCTGCATCAGCCTCCCAAGTAGCTGGGACTACAGGCACCAGCCAGCACGCCCAACTAATTTTTTGTATTTTTAGTAGAGACGGGGTTTCAGCGTATTAGCCAGGATAGTCTCGGTCTCCTGACCTCGTGATCTGCCCGCCTCAGCCTCCCAAAGTGCTGGGATTACAGGCGTGAGCCACCGCGCCTGGCCCACTCCCTTTGTTTTTACTTCTGCTCACTTGTTCCTTCCTCACCACCCACTTCTTGAATTTTTTTTACTTTCTCTGCTACCCCTTAAACAGTCAAATGGTTTCCTTTACAACAGTCCTAGAGAGCCAAATCCCTGCCAGTGTCCACGGTTGACACTAGAGATACAAAGAGGGACAAGATATGGCTCAGGGTCCAGTGCAGAGACAACATCAGGCTAGGCATTATTGGAGTATACAGAACAATGTTGATATCTTATGTATGTAGACTCTGGCTTTTATTCATTTTTATTTTGCAAAAATTTATCTTTTGTTTTTAGGCAAGTATACTTATTTTTTTTCTTTTGATCTTACAGATAATAATTCAAGGCATTCTTTTTTAAAAAATTGAAACACTAGGTATAAAGCCAAAGGTCTCTTGAATGGTCACATCCTTCCCCCACCCACCCCAAACTCATCTATAGCTCCTCCTTCCCAAATACTAAGGCAAGCACTGCTTTGAGCTTTTTGTCTTTCTTCCCAGATTAAAAAAAAAAAAAATTAAAAAACAGGTGCGCAGGACTGGGCTAATCTCAGCACTTTGGGAGGCCAATGCGGGCAGATCCCCTGAGGTCAGGAGTTCGAGACCAGCCTGGCCAACATGATGAAACCCTGTCTCTACTAAAAATACAAAACTTAGCCACGCATGGTGGTGGCGCCTGTAATCCCAGCTACTCGGGAGGCTGAGGCAGGAGAATCACTTGAACCCGGGAGGTGGAAGTTGCAGTGAGCAGAGATCGTGCCATTGCACTTCAGCCTGGGCAACAAGAGCTAAACTCCATCTCGAAAAAAAAAAAATAGATGCACAAATTCAGGATTGTCTAATTCAAAATAATACGGCTAACAATTACTGCCTTGTCTTTTCCCTCTCCTTCCACTCTCTTTCCCCTGTCACTTAGCCCTCATTGGTGATAAAATTCCACTCAATGCTTGGAATCTGGATGAGCCAACAGGGTTCTTGTCAGAACTGAATAATCAGAGCTGGGGAGAGAGGCTTGGACTGGGGGAGGCATGCAGATGCCCTCTTTAATTAAACCAGGCTAGACCAGGTCAAGGGGGCCTGCCCAGGAAAATGAGCAGGGAAGCAAAAATTACCAGGCAAAGCCATAAGGGAGAAGAGTGCAGAATTGAAGAAAGGAAGCCAAGCTGGGGTGGAGACGTGGACAAGGAGGATGGTGGTTCTCAGGCCCACATAAGACCAGAAAAACAGGGCCAAATAGGGAAAGCCAGAATTGAGCAGACCATGGTCATAGGCAAAAGATGGCATTTTGCCCAAAGGGGCCGTGTGCTTTGACCAGGACTTCCTGCCTTGGATGTGCTTTTGCACTTTTTTTTTTCTTTCTTTGAGACAAGTTCTTGCTCTGTCACCCAGGCTGGAGTGCAGTGGTACAATCAGCTCGCTGCAGCCTCGACCTCCTGGGCTTAAGACCCTGATCCTCCCATCTCAGCCTCCCGAGTAGCAGGACTGCAGTGGCGTGCCACCATGCCCAGCTATTTTTTTTATTTTTTGTACAGATGGGTTCTTGCTATGTTTCCCAGACTGGCCTCCAGCGGTCCTCTAGCCTCAGTCTCCCAAAGTGCTGGGATTACAGGCACAAGCCACTGCACTGGGTTGCACTTTTCATTAACAGTACCCAGGTCAAAAATGCACATTGCCAGCAGAACAGAAACCCCCTCCTTGTGTCCCTAAAACATGTGTAGTTCTCCTTGGCAATGTGGTTCTCCTCAAGGCTTTCTGTCCTGGTCTGGAAGAGCCCCAAAGGGCCCAGCAGGATGGAGAAGGGGTGTGTTTGTGTGTGTGTTGGCAGGAGGAAGCTCTGCTTTTCCAGGGAATAGGGACAATATTTTAAAAAAACATTGATGTGCTTTTTTCTTTTGTCCTTCTGTGTACATGACCTTCTCCCTAATAGACTCAAGGCATTAATATAGCTGGGGAACAGAGGGGACTGGTTTGATAAGGCAGGAATGCAAAAGGACTGTTTGGAAGGGGAGCAAAGAGAATGCTTCTGACCTCAAAATCGTGTGTGGTGTAAAGTAAACAACAGGGTGGAGAGCCAGGCCTTGTCCGGAAAGGAGTGATGTTTTACATTGTTTGGCTCCCGCTTAACACAGCCAAGGTAAGGCCAGCCGGCAAGCTCAAGGAGCTTTAAGTAAAGAAGGACTGAGTAGACAGGAACGACATTAGGAGGTCTTTCTGACCTCAGTTATTGTGGTGTGGTTGATGGCAGAGAGGAAAGTGGAAACAGAAGATGGGGAGAGAGACTAGAGACCATTAGACCTGCAGCCCTATTTCCCTTTCTAACATGTTAATATCTATCCATCTGCACACATACAATATGTACGTGTGTAATTATAACATACCAACGTGCAACATGAGGCATCCCTGCAGAGTTAGGAGGGAGAGGTCTTTGGTTGGGCAGTGTGTAGCTCACCCCCCTGAGCGGCCTTCGCATCCTGCATTGCATGGACACCATGCAAGTGCCTCAAGACCCACTGAGAGGAGGATGAGTTGAACACACAGTAGAGGTTGAGAGGTGAACAGCCTGGGCCAGGGGGCAGATGGAGGATGTAGACAAGACACAGTGGGAAGCATGGCACCAGCAAGAGGGAAGAGGAGGCCAAGCGGTGATAGACCCTTGCCCAGCCACAAAAGCAGAGACCACAGAGTTTCAGCCACAGGCATCAGCATCAACCAACCAGTGACAGGGCCATCCCTACTAAGCTGCAGTGTCCCTCATGCACACTGGAGAGGTAGCTTGAGATTGAAGCCCCACATCCTCACCCTAGAAGGTCTTGTAAGCCTCCATTTTCCAGGACACCTTTGGAGAGGGACAAGGGACAAGGGAACAAGGGGAGCATTTAAAAGACCAAGCAGTGATCTCTAAAAGTCTGCTCAAAATCTAAAGAAACCATGAATGGGGTGGACTACATTTTAAATTTTCTTGGATGAAGATATAATTCTGGCGCTTCCTTAGCAACCCTTAAGGTAGCTCAGGAGGGCGGACAGAGTCATTCTAGACAGCAAAGACAATACATTTGCTCGGCAGAGCCTGAGATGTAATATAAAGAGATTTGTGATCTCACCACACTGGCACTGAGATTGTCTTATGTAGCTTAAGAATACTCTGAGCCTGCCATGGAAGAGTGTCTTTTTCCCTTGAAATGAATGTAAGAGAAAGAGAATAAGAGGGAGAGGAAAAGAGGGAGAAGGGAGGGAAGGGAAGGAAGGAATGGTAGAGAGGGCAGGGCAGGAGGGAGGGAGCTCTGGTCTGAAGTGAGAGGGGAACAGATGCCCAAACCCCAGGAGTAGCTGTCTAATTTGACCTCCCGGGGTCATCTATAGAGTGCAGTATTTGCAGGAGTCTGTGATGTATTCCACCTTAATTTGTGGTGGCCCTGTCCTCACGTTCTGCAGGTGAGATGTCAGGCCCAGGGAAGTCAGCCTCACAGCAAGTGAGTGCAGGAGCAAGCCTACTTCCCTGTCAGTGCAGCGGTAGGCACTGCAGGGCCTCCCAGCACACAGGGCCAGGGAACAGCTGTGGGCTTCTGGGGTCAAACAGGAGTGCCTTCAGGTGCTCGGACCCTTCCCTTTATTACAAAAAGGGAAACGGTGACCAATGACCTTTTTTGTGTTTTCAGCCACCTATTACTGCAGCCTTGTGGGATACACTGGGCGTCATTCACTTCTCCCTTCAGCCATCCTCTTTTTGGAACAGGAAGCTGCTGATATCTCTGGCTCTGAGTGCCCTTCTCCTTGTGCCTTCCCCAGGACAGACATTTTGGACAGTTCAGCCTCACAGACCCTTGCCATACCAAGGCCCTGTGGTCTGGGCACCCCAGCTCTGCAGGGCAGCTCTGCCAGCAGCAGGGCCCTCAAAGTCTTCCCTTGGCATTGTAGGAGCAGGAAAGAGAGAGCATGTCCCACTTCTTAACAAGGCTCCCGCAGAGCTGCTCCTGATAATGGAGAGGAAACAAGCTTGAGATGGCTCACCAGGGGAAGCTGCTACTCTCCCAGCCTTCTTCTCAGGATTTGCCAGGTAGGCAGGATGCTTCTGCCTGAGCTAACTTGATAATCACAGGGCACGATGATGCAGAGAACTCCACTTGGAGAAACAACCCCCTTGAGAGCCTTCCCAGATCCCAGGCACGGAGAAGAAGGGACATTGAAGGTGCAGCTTCTTCCCAAGGCAAAAGCCATCTCAGACCAGTCTAGAAGCAAAATGGACACTCCTGGGCTTGGACTACAGCTCTCAGTTCTGGAGAACAGCAGGTAAGCTCAGGCATACCTCAGGCTGGCACAGCAGGCAAGCTCAGGCCGACCTCAGGCTGGGGGCTGTAGAGAGCATGAATGGTCCAAGACCATGATGATTCCATATAATATTCTCTCTTTAATCAAGACCCTTCTTTCAGTGTGTAATCAAATGCCATTTAATGTTCATGTCTCTGTAAGGCCTTTCATATCAATTAAAAATACTTTGTGTCCGATTTTTGGATCTCAAAATGTGGTCCCTGTCAGTATCCCTAGCTGCTGAAGCTGGATAGGTCACCTGGGTGTCTCCATACTTGCCACATCATATCATACATAAATAACTTTAATGGAAAATTTTGAGTGCCACAGAAAAGGAGGTTGGAAGTGACATATGAATTCAAAGGAAGGAAGGATGTCATTGGCTTGGGGAATGTCTTCTAAGTGGCAAAATGACTAGAAAAGTTATGTTGTACCAGCTTACATCACGCTGCCTAAATGCACAAAGAGGAATTCATTCACTCCAGGAGAGTAGGAGTATCCTTGAAATAAATCAAGGGGTTTTCCTCTGGATCCTTCACCTTATCAATCACTTAACTTTCCTGGTGCAAGTTTCCAGTTCCTTTGTCTGTAAAATGGGTAGAAAATTGTAGACCTGGCATTCTCTGTTCCTATTGACACTGTTCCAACAGGATATGGTAAAGGCGTACATTTCAACTGCCACGCTTGAGTAGTACATATGTCACATTTCTTGCTTTTTTTCCCTAAATTAAAAAACCTGATCAGACAGGAGGTGGAGCTCAGGCGCTAATGTGAGTGATGCGGAGCAGCTGTAAATACAGATGAAGCTTCACTCACTCGCCTGCTGCTCATCTCCTGCTGTGCGGCCCGGTTCCTAACAGGCCTCGGACCAGTACTGGTCCACGACCCTAGGATTGGGGACTCCCAGTCTAGGTGATATGCTACCATTTACATAGAAATGGGAACATGTGTATCCTCATCACTTTAAGCCAGTAAATGCTTAAAATATCACGGTAAGAATATAGAAAAGATGAATGGCATTGGTTTGCCTCTGAAAGGGGAATTTTCTTTTCCTTGGGTACAAGGTGGTAGAGAGGTTTTTTTTTTCTTTCTATGTATAATATGTCATGACTTACAGATGTTAAGCCACACACACTAATTTATATTCAAAAATAAATTACTTCAAATATATTTAAAGAAAAGAGGCACTAAAAAAATACCGTTTCCTGAATAGGAATCACCACCAGAGTTTTCCGAGGCCTCTTGCTCTTCGCTTTCTCGGCAAGGCTTTCTGAGTGACTGGCACTGCAGCCACACTGTCTCTACAGGAATAGGAGGAGTTTGAGCATTTGTGGGCAGCAGGGTATGAGGATGAGCTGGTGAAGGCGGCATCAGAGAAAGATACATTGGCCAGAGTGAAAAATTATTTTCACCTAAAGTGATACAATCAGGACACCTGGTGTCCAGTGATACTGGCTTTGCTCACCAGTCCTGTCCCCAAAATCATGTTGGCAAGGAAATAAAACAGAGATGTTTAAGTGTCCCTGCCTTGTTTTTCCCTCCTGTTTCATCTTGAATGCTGAAATGACTCCTACCTGACTTTATCTCCTTAAGTACATTCATGAGACACCTCCTGTTCCTTTCTCCTTTACCAATGGAGTGTCTAAGTAACCAGGAGGAATAGAAGAGGAGCACTTCTAAACTTACAGGAATGCTTTGTCTTTCCTGCAATCCTAGCCCAGCTCCAGCATTAACTCTGTAGCTTCTCTCTGGCTGGATGCAGGAGGTGCTGCAAGCCCAGAGACAAAATTTAGGTCCTTACCATGATATCCAGATATGGATAGCTACATTCCTAAGGTGAGCAAGAGCAATTCCAGGCCAACAGTTTACTGTTGCATATGCTCTCCATTTTCTCTCTTAGGTGTCTTCCTTTTATGCAAGACTCTGAAGCTACTTGTGCAGGAAAAGTGTGTCTCTAGTAACTTCTTCCTGAACTGTCTTCATAGAGCCTGCTATGTTTTCTGCTCTGAAGTGCAAATGAAATTCCTGAGGGTTGCACCCACTTCCAGTGTTCCTGAAAACACTAGCTGGGTAGACTCCTCCCTGAATCCCCCTCATATGTATAAATCTGTGATTCTGTTTCATTAGACTGTTTTATTCTTTCAGCAGCTATGCAGTTACTGTGGCAAAAACAGGAAGCTGCAATATTCACAGACGTATTCACAAAAGATGCAATAACATCTGGCCCTGGAGGTCAGGGGTTTCATATCCCATGGAAAATAATATGCGCATGGGTGACAGGATTAAATACACATATCATATCAGAGTTTCAGCTCATTTGTCTAATATATTTGAAAATCACTCAATTTATTGCAAACTAAGATTTACGAAGCTCAGTTTTCAGGTTGACAAATTACATTTGTCTGCACATATTTCACTATTTTGCATAATTAATTCCTCCCCATAGTACGCAAGCATTTTCTTCTACAACAAAACCACTCTATCTCTCATTCCCTTCCTGTTAGCAGCATGTAAATGGTATTGATTCAGAAGATGTATATTCTTTTCCAAAGTATCTCCTGGAACACGACTGAGATTTTCATCCCAATCATTATCAGCTGTTTATTACCCTGCTTCCAAAAACCTCATTCATAAAAGAAAATTAGAAAAGGAAAAGTTGAGTCATAGGAAACAAGTACAATGCTGATGAAATGGATTCTCCTAATTCAGATTAACTAAACGTATCAGCTAGTGCTGCAAAAAACAGAGAAGAAAGAAAGTAATTAAAACCGGGCTTAACAAGAGAAAAAATATACTGACTCATTTGCCTGAAAGATCCATAGGTAGTCTTGGCTTTAGTTTTGTTTATTTTATCAAGCAATTCAATAATGTCATCAAATACTAAGGGGTTTGTTTGTTTGTCTCCCAAGCATGCTTTTTTCAGTGTTGTCTGCCACTATGGTTGGCTGTACTCTTTATTCTAAGATGGCTTCCAGAAGCTTCGACAATAATTATACAACTCACAGTTCCAGCAAGAAAGAGACACCATCTTTGTCATCAGCAAATGTCCTAAGTGTTACTTTAATTGGATAGGCAGTCACATGCCCAAAATCGGGTCAATCACGGTGGCCAGGCAGATTGCAGTGATTTGTCATATGCTCTATCTCTAGGACTAAGATGGAATCAGCTTTCCTGGAGGAACATGCATCCCTAACCACGATTGGGAGCTCTCAGGAAGAGAGAACTGTCTGAGAAATGGGAGGATGGACAAGAAAGCTACCAAAAACATTGACTACAGTTGAGGAAGGTGAACTGGAGAAAAATCTGAATTATAGAAGACTTTCAACCTACACTTCTTTTAAAATATCCTATACTGCAGATTCTTTTTTCACATACTTGCAGTAATTCAAATTAGGCCAATGAAGTGCTGACAGGTGCTCCCTTGAATGAAAAGATTTGATTGATTGGCAATTAGCCTCTCAATTATATGTACACACACTGATCTTTTTTTTTAAGTAGGTACTTTAAAAGAGTTTGCTCTTTGAAGGCAAGTATATCGTAAAGCACATTTTGTAAAGTGCAGTTCATGTTTATGTGTTTGAAATCTTGAAATCACTGGGGTAGAAATGGGGAATGAATGGCAATGAAAGCCCTGAATTGAGCAGGAAATGGGGCAGGAAAGAGATGCACTGCTACAGCCCTTCCTTCTTCTTGGGAAAATTGAGCGGCGCAGGGAGCACAGAAGGGCTGGCTAAAAGAGTCTGTAATGGAGAATGGGCAAGTACAACAGGTCTGGATTTCCACCAGGTAAATATCTGAGATTTTCTTCACATGGCTCCATCTTTAGCAGAGGAAACATAATCTCAGGATGCATTTATATTGTTCACATGGCAAAGATTTCTCTGACTGGAAATAGCAAGAAAGAGATGGCGCTTATCAGGCATGACTGAGTCTACCTGCTACAGTGGAATTTGGATAACTTTACAATTACTGCCTAAGCAGAAATTGCAAGGATGCATTTGCTTCTCCCTATCCTATCCTGTGGCAGACATAACTAATCAATCATAACTAATCAATCAATCCCTTTCTGCTAAACCTAGAAATGACTCCACAATCTGTCTTGATAAAGTGCTCCAGGGAGCCACTACCAATTGATGAGACTTGAAAACAGAGATAAAACTTTCTGGGACAGAACACATTTTACACTTTCCCACTTTCCTTTCCTGTGATGTTTCTCCTGAGGACACAGTACATTTGGTGGTTCATTCATTCTCCAGGCTGTACTAAGACTTTTCTATGAATTCTCTTCTTCCTGAAGTAATCCTGTCTCCTCATGGCTCTCAGGGTGCCTCCTATGGGATCATTTTCTTCCAAGATTATTGTGTTAACTGTGATTGCCAGTGGTTGATTAATTTAACCTCCTTTTTGGTATCTGCCATTCATTCCTGTCTTCAGGGTTCTTGTCTCTGCTCTCCATTATGAACCAGGCTATGGATACACAATATTTCTTTTTTTTAGCCCCTCTACATCTTAAATAAATACACCCAGCTTTCCAGATTATGTAAGATTTACTTTGTTTAATGTGTGCCCATTACGGCTTAGCATTATTTCTTAGAATAAAGTCAATGTTCCCCACCTGATTCAAAATTTACTAGGGTGGAGTTCTTACTTAAAATGCTATTTGGGGGCCTCAGTCTGAAGCCAATAAATCAGAATTTCTAATCTGATTTTTAGCTGATACCCAAGGTAATTCATAAACCCCTTAAAGTTTGAAAATAACTGCTACAGGAAACAGACAGAGGATTGGGGGAAAATCGTGGTGAGCCTACCCAGACAGAAGGAGTCTTAAATGTCTTCAATAATGGTATCTCCTGAGCTGTATTGATTTTTAGGTGGAGCAATGTCTGATCCTTCTTAAGCCATCACTGACTCATATTTTGTGATCATTCTCTTCTGAAAGTCAGACCAGAACATACCTAGATTAAGAGGCAGGCCAATGGAATGTGTGTAGAGGCACCAGCCCAATAAGGCCACTAAAATATCACTGAAAATAAAACATGGTAGAGACTATTGTATTTACCAGAATGTCCTTAGGAAGAGACATGTAAGTGAGTTGGAGGGAATAATCTGATGGGTTGCTTGGGGGGCAAACGTCCACAAAATTTGTCCACATAATAATAACAACAATGTCAATCATTCTGATGATACTGTAAGGGCCAAGAGAAAATTTCCCCTTTGCCCTCTGAAGATTCACTGAAATGTCAACTCACAAAACGCAGATTAATAGGAGAAAAGGCATACAAAATGTATTAAAGTGTACATGAGAGACTTCAGAATGAAGACCCAAGCATATAGGGGAAATTGTCAGTGGTTATGCTTAGGTTCAACTTGTAGGGACAGCCATGCAGAAATATGACTGGACAAAATGAATAAGATCTAATGCTGATAGACTGAGTGGAGAAACCCAGCAGGGCCTGTCTGTCTAGATTCTACTTGGCATTCTTCCTTCTGGGTGTGGGGCAGGACCCTCTTTGGAATAGGGTCTTGTGACCTACAGTCAAACAAAATAGGCCGGGTTATTTTTTTATGGCCATGTTTTACACAGAAAGGCAGAGGGAAAGCTAAAGTAATATTTTTAGGTTTTATGGCTGGCTTTGGGGAAGAGGGATTCTAGTTTCCATTGCTAGCCTTAGAATAGGGAGAGAATGGGACTGAGACAGGAGAACAGGAGAAGGTCAGAGAAAAACTTTTACTTTTGAGGACTTCATTTTGGGGAATTGCTTTCTGAGTCCCACAATAACAATAATAGTATTAATCTACGGCCTTCTGAGGAGACTAGGTCTGGTAAATGGTAAGGCTTTGGTTTTGCTGCATGGAATGCTCAAGGCTCAGATTCAGAGCTGAATGTTCTGGATGAGAAAATAGGCTAGGCCCATGCGTGTGGCCTTCCCTCATGCTGTACCAACTGTACAATAAGCAGTGCTTATGAACAAATAGATCAGCAAATACTCCAATTATATCACAGTTTTAGGAGGCACCAAGTTTTTAACCTTCCCAGGAAACCTGGCTACTTCAATCTGACCTGTCAGAACTGCCCACTTCCTTCATTTTATATTTTCATTCTTGGAAATTTGTCTACTGGGACCCCACCCCTTCTTCTCAAACTCAGCCCCATAGACCTTAGAGACCACAGGATTCATGCATTAAAAATAGAAACAGAAGCCAATTAAACCTCTAATATGTTAAATAAGAGTTATTTGCATCTCTGAAGAAACTTCTGACAAGCATGACAAGCGATTACAGCTAATGCAATTCTTGCTTCACATAGAAAGTCATCTCAGGCTATTCCTTGGTACTTTGTCTCTCTCCTGCCCAGGGCCTTTGAACCTGGGCATACAACCCAAAGTGGGCACTTGCCCGATCTCTCTCCTTCTAAAGATGTATTTCATCTCCTCTTCCTATTCAGGCAAAAGATTGGATAATAGTTTGGTGCTCCCCTCCCCTCAACAGGAGGACCTGAATTATAAAATACAAACTCTTCACATTTGCAGAAAGATTGGGGGCTTGCCTGTAAAACTTTCATACTGGGCATAAAATCCTGTGTCATTTTCTCCCTCTCTGATGCTGCTCTTTATGCTGCTCAAGGCCAGCATTGGGCAACATCGGGAGAACTTAACACTCTCCCTCGGGAATATTCATTTAAGTGCCTTTCTGCATGAGGTAATGATTTTCATGGGACATTAGCATGTGACATACTCTTCACTTGCCCAATACTCCTAAACTGTCTAAAATACAGGAATAGCCCTTCTAACACAGTGTTCTATTTAGGAATTTAATAGGTCTCTGGTTCAAGATGGCAGCCTGAGCACAGAATTTGACTTCCATTTTCTCCCAAGTTTATATTAAAATTACACACACACAAACACACACCCTGTAACAGAGCAAAGGGAAAAAAATAGATACTATTACTAACTATTGAATTTGGAGGACTGCATGAAGGACACAGTGTAGACTTTATTTGATTGCCAGAGAAAAAGTAGAAAAATCACAGTTCAAGGTACTAGAGTTAAGCATCCGTCCTGTCAAAGGAGACAAGAGACTATCCAAGTTAGAGTCCCCAAATGCAAGAATGGACCGAGAGATCATCTTCAAGATATTTATTGAGGAATTGCATTTGAAAGGCCGTATCAGTGGGCCCTTGTCCCTTAAACAGAGTTTCTGAGAGCTACAAGTTTTATCCTTGGGCTGCAGCTTTAGAACTACTTTATAGAGAGAGTGATTGATCTGTTGCTACAAAAAATAAAAAACAAAAACAACCAAACAAACAAAAACAGATGATCTATTATTGTTGCTTTGTAGCAAACCACTCTAAAGTGAAACAGTTGAAAATGATTTCCTATCTCTCACCTTTCCGTGGCTTGACTGGTTCAGACTTTTTGTTCTCTCTCTCATGTGGGTTCAGGTACATGGGGCTGGGGCTGGTGGAGCCATCTGAATCTCTCTTCATTCATACCTCTGGTGCCTATGGTGCAAGCCGTCCAAGTGGCTAGGATATCCAAAGTCTACTCAGATGTCCATCTCTTCATACAGCCTTTCCATGTGGCTGCTTGGGCTTCCTTGCAGTATGGTGCTCTCAGGGTAGTTGGACTTTTTACATAATGACTGACTTTTCCCAGAGCAAGTGTTCCAAGAGACAGGAAGTGAGAGCTGGCCCAGGATCAGAACTGATAATGTCTCTTCAGCTGTACTCTCTGGATCAAACCAGTCATATAGCCCCCATAGACTCAAAGAAAGGGGGATCAAACTCCACCTTCTAATGGGAGAAGTAAACGAGTGATGTACATAGTCTTTAATCTACCCTATGTGAACTCCTGGTGATGGTTTTGGGGAATGCAAGAGAAACAGAGAGAACCAAAGCACCAGGTGCTCCACTCACAGGGGGCTTTGCATTGGCAATTATGCGGCTCCCTAGCCTGTTTCTTTGTTTCTGGACTCCAGGCATTACAAGGGAGCCTGCCTGTCACCCTGTTTGATGACTGAGAGCTCATATTTAGACTTTCTATTTAAGGAAGAGGCCTATTGTAAAAGAGACACACAACTGCTGAGGAAATGCACATCTATAATCTGCACATATCAAAGTAACTCTTCATTAAAAACCAAAAAGAAACCAATAGCAGCATGAAGCAGGGGAATAAAAGAATCTTTGGGGAGAAGATGAGAACTGTTTAAAATTATTCTGATTTCTGCCTATAGGCTTCAGAAGATACTGTTACCACAAATTAAGAGCAGTCTCTTTTGAAAATATATTAATCAGATTTTTAAAAATCATTTTTGAATTTAAGCTTTTCCTGCAATAATAAAGATTTCACTTTATACATTAAATAATAATATGGACAGAGATGAAGATCAAGTTGATGATCTGGAAGATAAGGTCAAGGAAATCTCTCAGAACTTGGGGCAAAAAGATAAGTGAAATGTAATAGAGAAAAGTTAAAAGTGGCAAATCTAGGAGGCCTAACAGCAACTAATAGATTTTCTAGGAGAGAACAGAGGCATAAAAAGGTAAAAATATTATAGAAATGTAGAAATTGAAGATAAAATAAAATCCCCTGAGTGGATAATAGACATACCTCTTAAAATTGAATGTCTAGTGAGTATGGAGAATGATGAATGGGAAAATCGCTCATGTATAGACCCATCCTGCTGAAGTTTCCTAACTTAAAGGATAAAGTGAATGTTCTTAAAGCTTCTGGAGAGAAAAAGAGAGGTCACTCACAGGGAAGATAAGCATACTGACATCCACTTCTGGTCAGCAATACTGGGTTTTAGGCAGAGGAACAATATATTCAAACTTCCAAGGAAAACTATTTTGAATATAGAATTCTATACCTAGCCAAGCTATCAAAAAAATACAGGGGCCAAAAATAAATGAAAGAAAGAGGAAATAAAATGAAAGAAGGAAAGAAAGAGAGAGAGAAAGAAAGAGAGAAAGAGAGAAAGAAAGAGAAAGAAAGAAAGAGAGAGAAAGAAAAGAAAAGGCAAGCAAAGATGTAGCAAGTATATCACCTGTATTTCCTATATATTGAAGGAACCACTTACCAAACTCCTCCCACAGAATGAAGAACAACTGCAGGAGGAAGGCTGGCATGAAACACACAGACTTGAGGCATTGAATGTAATTCAGAAGTAGAGGAAGCAAGCAAAACATCAAAAGAGAAAATCTTGGACTGGAGTGCTTGAAAACTAAAAAAAAAAATCATACACGTGATTACTTAAATTTGTAAAAGTTTACGACGACAAAAAGAAGATTGAAATATAAGTAGCAAAAAAGAAAAAACCATATTTGTGTCATGTACAACAAAGAACTAATGTTCTTCTCATATAAAATGTTTTGATAAGACAATTTGAAAAACAGAAATAGAAAAATGGGCAAATATCCTGAATGTGCAAGTCACAAAGGCAAGGAAGAAATTAATGCAGATGAACGGTGACATTCCCTTACACTTCCCATAGGCTGGTCCTCCCTGTAAATTCAGCCTGGGCAGAAAGGTTCAACCTTCCAGGGCTCATGTGGGCGTATGGATCAGCCAAACTGCCTTGGCTTTGCAAAGGAGGCCATGGGGGCAGTGGAGGGACCATGTGTAGGGAGAGGGGACATTTTTCAACAGCTGCAACATGTGTGAAACTTGGAAAGAGAAAGCTTCCCAAAGGGAATTTGGGAGAATTTTTAGGAAGTTTGATTCTGCTTAAGTGTGTGTGGTGTGTTTAATAATTGTCACATTTATTCCTTACCTCCCAGTGACATTATTATAATGACCTCCTGGAATTCAGTTAGCTTGGCAATCAGAGCTTGGCGGGTTCTCAACATCCATCAGCTTTGTTCTTCCTATAAGTGTTTTTAAGCACACTCTGTTGAATCTTTTTCCCGTCCCCTTGGCCACAACTTGAGCGAATTGCACAAATTTCTGGTTGCTTTTCTTTATGAAAAGTCCAATCTGGTGTAAGGCTTTAATCAAACATCCTATTTTAAATTCTTTGTCTCCACCATCATCAGCTTTGGGGCCCTATAACTGTCTAGTGGAAAGGAGACCTGTGCTTTCTTTCACTCCTTCCCTGCAGTGTGGGATGGGACCATGGTCTCATTCCGGATTCTCCTCCTCACCATGTTTCCAAGTTTGTTCCTCTATGAGGGCAGAGACGAGGGAGAGGGTCCTAGGAGATGTCCTTATCTAATCATCAGATTTCTGTAGCATCCTAGTCTCGTGGGGTCCATCTCATTCTGAGAGGTGAAGCCAGCTGGACTTCCTGGGTCGAGTGGGGACTTGAAGAGCTTTTCTGTAGCTAGCTAGAGGTTTGTAAAATGCACCAATCAGTGCTCTGTAAAAACGCACCAATCAGCACTCTGTAGCTAGCTAGAGGTTTGTAAAATTCACCAATCAGTGTTCTGTAAAAACGCATCAATCAGCGCTCTGTAGCTAGCTAGAGGTTTGTAAAATTCACCAATCAGTGTTCTGTAAAAACACATCAATCGGGGCTCTGTAGCTAGCTAGAGGTTTGTAAAATGGACCAATCAGCACACTGTAAAATGGACCAATCAGCACTCTGTAAAATGGACCAATCAGCAGGACATGGGCAGGGACAAATAAGGGAATAAAAGCTGGCCACCCCAGCCAGCAGCGGTAACACGTTTGGGTCCTCTTGCATGGTGTGGAAGCTTTGTTCTTTCGTTCTTCACAATAAATCTTGCTGCCACACACTCTTTGGGTCTGTGCCACCTTTAAGAGCTGTAATGCTCACCCCAAAGGTCCGCTGCCCCATTCTTGAAGTCAGTGAGACCACGAACCCACCAGAAGGAACCAACTCCAGACACAATTTTATCTGTTTCTATTTGGTCTCCAGAAATGTGGTGGCACCTGTGGAGATGTGAGCAAGGCCTTCCTGGGATAATGTGCAAGTTCACTACAGCCTCTTTTGTCACTAACATCCTGTTTGTTTCCCTTTGGACCTGTCGGTGGTCCATACCGTCAACCCTTCCTGAAGGGTATGGCTGTGCATGCCTGGCTCAGTCCCGAGCATATCCTCAGCATCTGCCTACTCTTCTAACTTAGATGATCCTCTACAGGATCGATAGGGTTTGGCTGTGTCCTCACTCAAATCTCATCTTGAGTTGTAGCTTCCATAATTCCCACATGTCCTGGGAGGGATCTGGTGGGAGGTAATTGAATCATGGGGGCGGGTCTTTTCCAAGCTGTTCTCATGATTGTGAATGAGTCTCACAAGATCTGCTGGTTTTATAAATGGGAGTTCCCCTGCACACACTCTCTTGCCTGCCATCATGTAAGATGTGACTTTGCTCCTCATTCACCTTCCGCTATGATTGTGAGGCCTCCCCAGCCATGTGGAACTGTGAGTCAACTAAACCTATTTCCTTTATAAATTACCCAGTCTCAGGTATGTCTTTATTAGTAGCATTAGAACAGATGAATACAGGGATGACTGGGGATGATTAGGTTCCTCCTCGAACTTTCAGAAAGCCTTGGAGACCCGGAATGCAGGTCTTTCATCCTCTGTTGGGCACTCTCTCCCAACCTGATGAGGGCTTCTCCTGCAAGTTTTGTCCCCTCAGACCTCACCAAAGGAAAAGCTATCTGTCACTGTGCCCTTATCATTCCCAAGGACATGGTCAGATCCTCCCAAGAAGCATCACTTGGTGCCTTGCTCTGAGGGCAGTTCGGAGTGGCCTGCACCTGAGCATCCAGCCCCAGGCTAGTCTCCCCCTCTAGTAGGCAGGAACTCTCTCCTAGTGATGCTCTTGGAATCCCCTTCTCAGCCTCTCACTTGTTTTGTTTGTTTGTTTGTTTGAAGGGTTGGGGAATAAGGTCTCTGTCCCTCTGAAAAAGAGGAGTAAAACTCGCCACAAACACTATACTTGAAAACTCTGGGCCGGGGGCGGTGGCTCACGCCTGTAATCCCAGCACTTTGGGAGGCTGAAGCAGGTGGATCACGAGGTCAGGAGATCACGACCATCCTGGCTAACATGGTAAAACCCCGTCTCTACTAAAAATACAAAAAATTATCTGGGCCTAGTGGTGGGCGCCTGTAGTCCCAGCTACTAGGGAGGCTGAGGCAGGAGAAAGGCGTGAACCCAGGAGGCGGAGCTTGCAGTGAGCCGAGATTGCGCCACTATACTCCAGCCTGGGAGACAGAGCGAGACTCCGTCTCAAAAGAAAAAAAAAACCTCTGAAGATTTTCCCACCCGTCACTTCTTTGCTACACTGCATGCTCATGGACTTCAGTAGAGGAGGGAGCTTTCCAGCTTCCATCTTTGCCTGACAAATCTCCAAACCAAAGGACCTAACTCAGCTCCCAGGCTGTGCCTCACTTCCTAATCCCACCTTGTAGCCCCCAAGCTGAATTTGTGGGGGCTTTCTAAGGCAGGCTGTGGTGCTGTCAACGAGAAAAGCCATATCCACATCCAAAATGTCAGAATACTTTCTTCACTATGGCCATTGATATATCAAAAATGGTTATTCCAGTTTTCTGCCTCTCTTTACATTTGAAAAGACAAGAGTATTTATTAACATATAACTTGATGTAAAAACATAAATAGAAATCATAACAAAAGTCTAACCTTTAAAGGATTCAAATTTAAAATCTCCGAGAAAGCCAGTGATTATTTTATTGATATGGTTTCTCTACCAACTCTCAAAATCTGCAGGTGTTAAATTAGCTGCACAAGAATTTCTCTCTGCTTCCGAGTCTGCAGTAGAAACATGCTAATGAGAATTAGAGGAAATTAATGAGAGAGGGTCTAGGAGGCCAGGAGAGAAGTTCAGCACAGCTTCCTGTGTGGTAAATTTTCAGAAAACCTGCTTTAATTTACCATGACCGAAGAGCTTCTAAGTTAAAAGAAAAAAAAAGAAAGAAAAAAAGAAAAACAAAAAAATATGCAAATCTACACCCTTAATCATTTCATTCTTCTAACACGGGTCTAAAAATGCTAAAGGTAACATCAATGTCAAAGAAGCTATTGCCAGAAAAACAAACAGACAAAACCCAGAAGCCAAAACAAAACAAACCCACAAAAAAGAGCAACAGTAAAGTACCCCCACACTTGAGTCCCCAAGACTAAGCAACAGTAAGAGTGATACTGATGCTGACGGTGATCCAATTATTATATACACTCTGACTTCAGCATGAAAGATGGTCCTAATTGTAGGTCTTTAGCAAGCAAAAGTCTCATTCTGCAGATAAATGAACCGAGGCACAGAGCAAAAAAGATGGAGCCAAGACAATTCCTAAGGTTTGTTACAACGTTGGGGCTTGAATGCAAGTCTAGACGCCAAATCTGCTAAGCCATATTAATGGTGACACACACATTGCCAAGCATGTTCATGTTAACACTGATTCTGGGTCCAGCGATGTTAATGACCAAGAGGTTCATGAATATGTTAATGCTGATCGTATTAGAGTAGGTAGATAGGCAGATATGAGCAGGTCAGGGTAGGACCCCAAAGAATGTTAGGTGACTGTCGGGCTGCTGGAAACAGAGAGGTGAAAATTTCCTAACAACCAGGAAACAGCTTGAGTTTGTGGGGAACAATGTACCTATAAGAACTTAAAAATTGAGTAGAGGTGTCTAGGCATGCTGGTAAGGGGCAAAATGGCAGAGTCTGGGCAGCATATGATCTTCATCTGGGGGCGCTAGAACTGATAAGGGAAAATTGCCATAAGAGAGCATGCACATAGCTCCAACCACCAAAGGGCACGTGCAGCCCCTCCCAGATACTGACAAGTCACTGCACATGTGGTGATTAGCCAACAGCCTGCCCAAGGCGAAGGATGAGGGAAAGAGACTGGGAAAGAAAACAGGAAATAGTAAATCTGTAAGAGCGCTGAACCAAAGATTAGGGGGCGCACTCAGTCTTTTGAGTAGCCTGCTTGGTCCCTTCAAGTGTACTTTTCTGTGCTTCAATAAGCTCTCGTTTCTGCCTTAAATCTACTTTTGTCTCTTGGTCAAATAATTTCTTCCAAAAAGACAAGGGCAAAGGACCAAGGACCCCAACCGGACGCACTGCCAGTAACAATCTGAAGTCCAACACTGAAGCCTTTACTAGTATTCCACTAAATTCGGTCTGGTGAATATTTATTGAACACCTGCTATGCTAGACACTGTTTCTGACCTCCAAGAATTCATGGTTGAGCAAGGAAAACAAATGACCAATATGCAAACAAATAAATATAAGCCAACGTGACAAACACGGAACAAAGTGTTATGCCAACAGAGATGAAGGAGGAATTAAGCCTAGCTTAGGCATAGGAGGTGGGGGAAGCGTTCAGGAAAGAGTAGAGAAAAGTGGCTGGGCTTTTTTTTTTTTTTTTTTTTTTTTAGAGGTGAGTGCCAATTTGAACTAGCTCTTCAAAGAAAAAATAATGAGAAGAGTAGGGAAGCATGAACAAAACTAGAGTCCTGAAAGTGCACAGCGAGTCTGGGGAATGGTGGGTGCACGTGAGTTACAGAGAGGCTGGAAACATCATCTGGAGCTTAGCTGGGTTTATATAACCTTCTGTGCCATGAGAAAGATTTTGTTCTTCCTCCTGAACTGATGGAGGGAATAGAGGATTTTTAGAATGGGTGACATTGGATACAATTTCTATTTTATAAAATGATGCTGCTGGTATTTCAGAAAGTGGATGGAAGGATAGTGAGCCTGAAGGCAGAAAGATTGACTAAACAGCAATAGGAGAAAGAAACAAATATAACAATGAAATAATAGGAGAGAGAAACAAATGCTTGACCAAAGCCAAGCTGGCGGGGACAGAGGACAGCCAGGTTATGAGTGAGATGTCATGGGTAGAATTGACAGGTATTTGTGCTGATTGCATGTGAGAGCTGAGCAGCTTGTACTTTTGGCCAGAGCATTGCTGCTGGCTATCCACAGTGATGATGGAGCTAGGCTGAAGCTCCTCATTCCTCTCCACATTCCAGTCTTTGATTTCTAGGCTGGTTCTTGACAGCATAACTCATTTCTCCTTCTGCTTTCCTATAGGCCCTGGACTATTGTATCATGGATCCTCATTCTTCAGGTCTTGTTAAAGGTTGAACTGGGTCCCCACCAAAATTCTTAGGTTGAACCCTAATCCCCAGTACCTCAGAATGTTATTTTATTTGAAAAACATAGCCTTTACAGAGATAGCCGAGCTAAAATGAGATCATTAGAGTGGACCCTAATCCTATATAAAAAGGAGAAATTGGGAAATAGATACCCATACAGGAAAAACTCATGTGAAAATGAAGGCAGGGGTCAGCATGATGCCTCTTCAAGCCAAAGAATGCCAGAGTTTGCTAGAAACCACAGAAGCTGAGTAAGAGGCATGGGACATATTCTCCCTCATAGCCTCAGAAGAAATCAACCCTGCCAACACTGTGATCTTGGATTTTTTTTTTTTGAGATGGAGTCTCCCTTTTGTCCCCCAGGCTAGAGTGCAGTGGTGCGATCTCAGTTCACTGCAACCTCCGCCTCTTAGGTTCAAGTGATTCTCCTGCCTCAGCCTCCCAAGTAGCTGGGAGGGATTACAGGTGCGAGCCACCACACCTGGCTAATTTTTGTATTTTTAGTAGAGACGGGGTTTCACCATGCTGGCCAGGCTTCAAGAAGCTCTCATTTCTGCTTTAAATCTACTTTGTCTCTTGGCCAAATTATTTCTTCCAAGAAGACAAAGACCAAGGACCAAGCACCCCAACCAGACGCACTGCCAGTAACAATCTGAAGTCCAACACTGAAGCTTTTACTAGTATTCCACTAAATTCAGTCTGGTGAATATTTATTGAACACACACTGTGCTAGACAGTGTTGCTGACCTCTAAGATTTCATGATTTAGCAAGGAAAACATGGTTTAGCAAGGCTTGTCTCGAACTCCTTACCTCAGGTGATCCACCCGCCTTGGCCTCCCAAAGTACTGGGATTATAGGCATAAGCCACCATGCCCAGCCTTGATCTTGGATTTCTGGCCTGCAGAACTGGGAGATGACACATTTGTGTTGTTTAAGCAGGCCAGTGGGTGGCACTTTGTTTCTACAGCCCTACTAAAGTAATACAGGTCTCAGCTCAAACAACTTTTGTGACCACACAATCTAAAGTAGTGCCTCCCCACCACATCACCTTGTTTTATTGTCTTCATAGTCGTTAACCTTACCTTATCATGTTAATGTGTTTATTTAGTTGTTTTGTCTGCCCTTCTCTGTCTCCTACCCAGCCACACACTGTCATGCTACACTTAGAATGTGTGCTCCAGGACTCTGAGGAATTTTCCATGATTTTTGCTATATCCACAGATTTTAGAACAACCTGGCAATAGTGGGCAATCAGTACCTATTTTATTGAATGAATGAAAACATAAGTGATTATCATTCTTGACACTAGGACGAACTCTAGCGTGAATTCCAACTAAAGTGTTATTGTTTGTCCTCATCAGCTAGGGTTGAGTTTGAGAGGCTTATCCTCTAGTGTGGAATCACCTGAAGGCTCCTTCCCTCAATGTCTGGGCTGGGATGACTTGAAGAGTAATGCGTGTCCACCAGAACACCTGGATAAGTCTCTCCATGTGGCCCAGCTGCCACACTGCAGAGCAGCTGCTGCTTAGTTGGACTTAGGTGCTGGTTTGGGACTCCAAGTAGGTGGGCTCCAGAGAACAAGGTGGAAGTAACATTACTTTTCATGACCCAGCTTTGGAAGTCATATGTTACTTCTACCATACTGTGTTGATCGAAGCAGCCATAACCCCATCGGCATTCAAGGAGTGACAGACACAGACCTACTTCTTGATGGTATAGTGGCAAGATCGTACTGCAGGGAGGATCTGGGATGAGAGATATTTTGTTGCAGCTATCTTTAGAAAATAGAGTTTCCATGGGTTCTTATTCAAAACCTGAGTTTTGGGTCTCTCTTCAAAAGATTCTGATTCCTGGGTCTCAGTTCAAACTTAGAGGACCTTTTGGGGGTCCTGAGAATACAATCTTTATAACAAGCACTTTAGGCATTTCTGATACTGAGATGCACAACCCCATTGTCTGAGAACTCCACTCTGGGGCCAGTTTAATGTCTCCTGGCAGCTGCCATTCTGCAATTTAAGTGCACAAGCCAGTTTTCTACTGCACTCTCCCCATGATGAGAAAACACTGAGATATAATAAGCCAAAATGATAGGGCTCCTAAATCTATAAAAACAAGCTATTAATATAACAATATATAGAGATAAAATGACTATATTTACATATAAAATTTTTAAATAGTATTGGAGAAATATTACAGAATAAAAAATCCTAGCCGAATTTTACGCTTCTATGAATGCAATAGTTCTCCATTTCTGCCTAATGACACTGCTAGTATTCACCTAGTCCTAAATTATGAATTCACTGTAACTCCTTTCCCAAAGTCAGACTTTCTCAGGCTATACTTGTGCTATCCGTAATCACTAGGTATGCTTTAAAAATGCCTCCAGTTGGCCGGGTGCGGTGGCTCATGCCTGTAATCCCAGCACTTTGGGAGGCCGAGGCGGGCGGATCACAAGGACAGGAGATCGAGACCATCCTGGCTAACACGATGAAACTCCGTCTCTGGTAAAAATACAAAAAATTAGCTGGGCGTGGTGGCAGGTGCCTGTAGTCCCAGCCACTCGGGAGGCTGAGGCAGGAGAATGGCATGAACCCGGGAGGCGGAGCTTGCGGTGAGCCGAGATCACGCCACTGCACTCCAGCCTGGGCGACAGAGCAAGACTCTGTCTCAAAAAAAAAAAAAAAAAAAAAAAAAATTCCTCCAGTTGGCATTTTTAAGAGATAGCCATCCCGCCTCTCCCCTTAGCTTTTGGGTAACACTGGTTTTTCTTGCTCATTGTTCTCTGATCCGTATTCACCCTCTTCCTTTCAGATAATGTCAAGACACCACAAACTGATATGATCTTATCATTACAGTTCCTAGGATTATCTTATTCTGTATTCGGGTTTTCTTTCAACATTTTTACAAACCAATCTCAAATCACTTGCAGGCCTTTGTGAGAAATTACAATAGCTTTCATCACTTAAACAAAAATTAAAGCCTGTCACTTCCCTGAAAAGATTTGAACCTAATTTATTTCCAGAAATTGTCCTTGAACTTATTCCTTCTACCTCTCATTCTCAATCCTGTAAACATAACCTAAATATAGCAAAGAAGTCCTTAAGTGAAGGCTTAGAGCGGTTTTCTTGCAGTTTGCTAGGGGCAGAGCATTCTGGGCTGTGCACAAGCAACTAAAGAAATTGCTTGTTCATTTTGGAAGGCCAAGGCAGGTGGGTCATTTGAGGTCAAGAGTTCAAGACCAGCGTGGCAAACACGGTGAAACCCCATTTCTACTAAAAATACAAAAAAATTAGTCAAGTGTTGTGGCGCGCACCTGTAATCCCAGCTACTCATGAGGCTGAGGCAGGAGAATTGCTTGAACCTGGAGGCGGAGGTTGCAGTGAGCCGAGGCCATTGCACTCCAGCATGAGGGACAGAGCAAGACTCCGTCTCAAAAGAAAAAAAAAAAGATAAGACCAGAGATCAGTACACCCCATAGGGGTCAGGCAAGGCAGAAGCTGAGCTAATGGCTGTTAGGAGAATGATAGTAAAACGAGGTAGCCAGGAACATCACAGGTGGCTCTTCCATGAATCAGAAGATTTTTAAGCCCAAGGCCTCGCCATTCTTAAGGAAGTACCTGGGAATCTCCTTGGATGATACAGAGTGACAATTATGCTGATACTAGTGGTGCCCACAGCCAGGGATGCTCAGAGTGGTGTGGGTGATGATGCTGGGGACCCTGTCTCTGGAGGGCAACCGCGACCTGGTGCTCAATTGAGCTGCCCTGGGCTCCTGGACACCAGCTGGCCAGACTCGCAGGGCAGGTGCTTCCTCTTTCTTTCCGTGGGCTCCCCAAAGTAAAGGTCATAGCAAAAGAAAGGAGGTATGAGCTCACAAGGGAGGGATCCCCCTGGGTTCCAGAGATTGGAGCATCAAGAGAGAGCATTCCTGAATCATCGCAGGATGCTGCCCTTTATGAAGTTAATTAGGACTTCGGTTGTTTATGATAATGATTGTAATCATGACTACTTTCGAAATTACTTATGGCTCTGCGAGGAATACTTTCTGCAAATCTGTGTTGTTTTCCTTTTTTATTGTTGCAGCCTTTCTCATCTTTCCTCCCCCTCCTTTTCTAACAAAGTCTCACCCACCTGCTATCCACCGTCTCTTCTTCCATTTCCTCCTTTTCTTCACCCTTTCTCATTTAGAATACTTGAGTCATAGAAAGAGTTGGAAGCCAACTCAAGACCACCTCATCCGACCTCTCCCTTTTACACCTGCATAAACTGCATCTGGAAAGAGGAAGTGACAAGTTATAGTCACACAGTCGGCTTGTGACAGATCTGAGACAAATACCCAGGACTCCTGGGGCCATCTGATATTCTATTTGTTGCTTCCAACAGCTGCATCTTCCACATTTTTTTTTCATTGCCTGGATTTCTCCATCCTCTTTCTGACTCCAAGAAAGATGAATAGGCTCCCTAGAGCTCCCCAAACGAGAAAAGCTAAGTGTTTGTGGTGTGAAGAGCTTGCAAGTGGCAAGAACTGCAGTCCAGAAACTGCCATCTGAAGCCCTTGTGGACTCCGTGCCCAAACTTGTCCCAACAGAGACCCATACCTCCCTTTCCCTCTAGCATGGAGAAGCGGAGGGGTCATTCTGACTTGCAAAGTGAAAATTGGTTGTTTGGTGTTGGCTCACGCCAGGAGCCACTGAATCCCAACTCTAAGTTACTGACATTATTGCAAATATCAACTTTTCTGCTGCAAATGAAGCTGCAAATGAAACACTGGTTTCCAGCTGGGTGCCTCCAACTGTGTGTGAATTGTTTGCAGGCATGCACACTGCAATGTTGGCCCTTTCCTAATCATTTATTTTTCTTGTCTTTGCATAGGTCATGGTTGATGCCTGGGAGCCTCCTGGAACTCACCCCTACAGACCAAAGTCACAGAAATCTCAGCTTCTGCTGTTTCTTCCCTGTGTGGGGCGTCTATTGTGATGATAGAATCCTAAAATGCTTGAACTGAAAGGAACCCCGGGGATCACCACTCGCCCTATTTCTTCGTGTTATAGATGATGAAACTGACGCCCAGATAAATTAGAGTCCAGCAAAAGTTAGTGACAAAATTACGAAGCAACCTAGCTTAGAATGCAGGCAGAAGATGGGAAGGAGGAGGTGGTATTTTTTGAACTCCTACTGTGTGCCAGGCTTAAAACTTGCAATCCCATTTAATTTTCAACTGAGGGCTTTTCAAAGCAAGGGCAGTGATGGTACAGGAAAGGGGTCCCGATCCAGACATCAAAAGAGGGTTCTTGGATCTCATGCAAGAAAGAATTCAGGATGAGTCCATAGAGTAAAGTGAAAGCAAGTTTATTAGGAAAGTGAAAGAATAAAAGAATGGGACTACTCCATAGACAGAGCAGCCCCAAGGGCTGCTGGTTGCTCATTTTTATGTTTTTTTTTTTTTGATGGTATGCTAAACAAGAGGTGGACTATTCATGCCTCCCCTTTTTAGACCATATAGGGTAACTTCCTGACCTTACCATGGCATTTGTAAACTGTCATCGTGCTGGTGGAAGTGTAGCAGTGAGGAGTGAGGACGGCCAGAGGTCACTCTTGTCACCATCTTGGTTTTGGTGGGTTTTAGCCGGCTTCTTTACTGCAACCTGTTTTATCAGCAAGGTCTTTATGACCTGTATGTGGTGCTGACCTCCTATCTCATCCTGTGACTTAGAATGCCTTAACCCTCTGGGAATGCAGCCCAGTAGGTCTCAGCCTCATTTTACCCAACTCCTATTCAAGATGGAGTTGCTCTGGTTCACACACCTCTGACAGTGAGTCTCTACGTGGTTGAAGGACTTGGCCAATGTCACAAAGTGCCCAGTGGAGGAGCCAGTAGGGAGGAGGCTGTGTGGCCTCCCTCTGAAGCCCCAGTTTGTTCTTTATTCTACAGCCTGGTGAAATCTTGAAAGTGGACTCTATCTGCTCTGAAAGCACTCAGAAATGGAAGAGAAAGTAAGGTCTTCCCTCAGTGACATGGCCTGCACCCTCTCACCTTGCCCAGCAACTGCTTCTGTTCTCTTGCTCTGAATTGTCCTTTGCAACCTACTAAGGCATGTTGCCTGCAAGGATCATTTAGAATGTTGGACAAGGCTCCTCGAGATCCCTAGCAGCTAGGCCCATAATCTCAGCACTGTGATTCAACTCAGGTTTAGCATATACATGCCTATTTTTGTTTCTTCACTAGAAAGCTGTGTTGCTAAAGGAGGTGGGAAATTCACTTGGGTTTACCAAATAGGAAATCAGTCTAGAACCATCTTTGTGGGCTGGGTCCCACCCCAGAGCCCTTTCCAAACACATGAGGATTGCAATAGTGGTATTTTCATTTCTGCCTCCACTTCTGTGGCAAATGGGATTTCAAGGTCACAAAAACAATCTCATTTTTTACGCTCCTTGACTCTTTGTATTCATGGTTCAGTATTAATTTTGTTTATTCTAGTTGGTATTACTCTTCAGCTTTCTATGTGTCTACATGTGTCTGGTACTTGTACAATTTGTTATAATCAACCCAGTAATGTGTATAAACATCATTTTGATAATATCTGTCTTCCCCCATCAAAATATAAGCAAAATTGATGCCAAAGGTTTTCACCATGATACTCCAAGCCTCTAATACAGTGCCTGGTATATGGCAGATGCTCAGTAAATATGAATGAATGAATGAATGAATGAATGAATGAATGAAAGAAATAACAATCCTTTTTAAAAATCTGCCAAAATGGAAAGACTAAGAAATTTTAAATTTTGCAATTGTTTAAGAATGATGAATAAAATGTTTAGAATAAAGCTCTCTTGTAATCACCTGATGGGCTCATCTTTCCTGCTGCTCAGAAAAGCTGATGCACAGAGAAAAGCAGATTTTTGCAACAGAGAAAGAGCTTAATAAATGCAGAGCCAGCTAAGTGAAAGGACAGGAGTTAATTATTACTCAAATCGGCCTCCCAAAAACTTCAGAAGCTAGGGTTTTTAAAGGATAGCTTGGCAGGCAGGGAGCTAGGGAATGGGGAATGCTGATTGGTTGGGTCAGGGATGCAAAACCACAGGGTGTCAAAACATGTCCTCTGGCACTGAGTCAGTCCTGGGTGGGGTCACAAGAAAGATAAGCCAGTTTACCAGTCTGGATGGTGCCACCTAGTCCATCAGAATGCAGAGTCTGAAAACTACTTTGAATACCAATCTTAGGTTTTACAATAGTGATGCTAGCTATAGGAGCAATTGGGGAGATTAGGAATCTTGTGACCTCTGGATGCATGACTCTTGAGGCATAATTTTTAATCTCGTGGCTAATGTGTTAGTTTTATAAAAATGGTCTGATCCCCAAGCAAGTAGGAGGTTTGTTTTGGGAAGGGGCTATTATCATCTTTGTTTCAAAGTTAAACTATAAACTAAATTCCTGCCATAGTTAGCTTAGCCTGTACCTGGGAATGAAGGAGGGGGTAGCTTGTAGGTTAGAAGCAAGATGGAGTTGGTTACATCAGATTTCTTTCACTGTCATAATTTTTCTACATTAGATTTATCTCACTGTCATAATTTTTGCAAAGATGGTTTTACTGTCATTTAGCTTTGCTCTTATTTGGTCTTTAACGCCACACTCGTATTTTTAAAAGTTCTATCCTGGGCATCTCAGTTTAGTGGGGGTAGCACTCAGTTCCAGACTCAGCACTGCTATTCCGTGTCCCCTATAACAAGCTGCTTTGCATCTGGGGTCCTCAGTTTCCCCAAATTGTAAATTAAGGGTGTTGGAGTCAATGAGCTCTTTATTCCCTCTAGTCTCATATTAATTGGATGTTATGGGAAACTATGAGCCACATCACATCGAGAAAATATCTGTATGATACAACTTTTTCATGAACAATACACTTTTGTTTCCTGGTTGTACTGCTAGGTGCATATAAAAATGAAGAAGGACTCAGGGCCTCACTTATGTCTGAGCCTCTTGAAATTGACTTGTAATTGAATGTGTTCCTTCTTTAATCCTCATTCTTTGCCATGGGTGGCAGGAAACACTCATGCCACAAATAAATCATATTTGCCATGTACAGCTGCTTCTCCTTACCCCTCCATGAGAGACTCTAGGTTTTTCTAGGGAGCCCCGTGAAGTTGGCGTGTTGTAACTAGCTGCCCTGTGACCCCCATGCCTTATCTGTATGGGCAGAGAAAGGCTCGAGTGAGAGAGAATGGGAGTTGTACAAAAGTAAAACAATGTTCTTCAAAGTATCTTCCAGGAAATGTCTGATCAATACGATGTTCCATCAACAGTTTATCACTGTCAATGAAGTCTGAGAAATGTTCCCTAATCAAGCCAGCCACTTCCTAGACATACACAATCCACTCAACATATTTGAGTGTCTGAATATTGACACAATAAACAAACCTCTTCAACTGTATTTCATCCTGTTTCCTAAGTATATTTGACCACAACAGCCTATTTTTCCTCATCACCCTTATTCATAGCCCACAGAATTCCTCCCTGTTACATATTCATGGCAAGCACAGAGATGCTGTACTGTACAAGGCGGGGGCCAATGCTAGCCCAGGGCAAATGTGCAAAGAAAATAAAATGTGCTTAAAATGCCTCCCATGTCACTTTCGGTGCCCTTCTCATCTCTTAGAGTACAGAGCCCTCCTCCTTATTGCTTTCTTTCAGCATCAAACCATTGGATTCTGCTCCACACTGATTCATTTCATTGGAATGAAAGTTGGATTAGGAGCTATACATGTTAATTTATGCTGATACATTTACATACATTAACATAATGCTGATCAGTTAACCTAACACTGATAAGTGAACAACATAGATCTAAGCAGGGGATTTTTCATCACCCCAGTGAACAGATACTGTCTCAAGGGGAATTTCACTACCAATTTGTGAAAAATACTGCTGAAGAATAGAAAGGTAATATCAATCCAGAGACAAATAAGAACTTATATCTGAAAAGGATATATTTCAGAATCAAGAATGAATCATTAGGACATGATTTAGCATTGTCAGTAGAGTAGAAATCATTATTTCCCTGACACATAATAAAAAATCTTTAAGGCAAGAGTAGGCTAAATGAAAAGACAACCGGGTAAGATGAAAAAAGAGATGGAAGAATATGGCAATGAAGCTGATATTTTAACAGCAATTGTAGAGACAAATAGAACTGAACCTGCAGACAATATCATATGGGTGACAGAGATGATAACAAATTGGAAAAGCTCTCCAAGAATATACAGGAAATGGGGAAAATTCCAATTAGAGAAATGATAGATAGTGAAAACAGAGAACGTAAAATTAGTGACCAGATAATTATTGTTCTAAAAGTAGGAAACAGAACTATTTAACTACAGAAATAATCAATGATATATTAGAAGAAGAGCTTCTTGAGATGAAGAGACTTCTGTCTGTGTAGTGAAAGATTCACTGCACAGTAAAAATGTATATGCCTTGTATATGCCTTATTTTAAAGAGCCTAGAAAAAATAATTAGTAAAAATAACATATAGGTGTACTTCCTCAATAAAACCACTGTTAACATTTTGGTGTATTGTTTTAGACTTTGCTCTTTTCATATTTTGTACAGCTATGCTATTATTTAGAAAGAACTTTTGAAAATTCTATTATGTAAAAAGAGATAAAATAAAGGGTTTTATTTATGCTTGAGCCATTAAAAAAGAATTGGTGTTTTCTTAGGAAACAGACAAAGAAACACAATCTGGAGACTGACATTTCATTGCTGCCTACAAATGATTCAATCCCACAGCTGGGCAAGTCACTACCTTATGTTTTTGTTTTCTTTTATAAACAATTTTTTCATTACATGGTGGTGATGGTGGCAGTGGGCATTAGGGTGGAAGACTGTTGAAAGACAAAGGGGCCTCAGGGCTGGAGACATTGGGCAACTCTTCTTCCTCATTTTAGATATTTCTTTCCAAGGGTAAACCTTGAAGTTTGGGGTTTTGTTTTTACAAAGTCCTGACCCACATCCATTGCTGAATTTTGTTTATAAAAGAAAACAAAAGCACAAGGTCGTGACTTGCCCAGTTGTGAGATTTAATTATTTGTAGGAAGCACTGGAATGCCAGTATCCAGATTGTGTTTCTTCGGTTGTCTTCAGGAAAATTACTGACAACTGTATGTGTAAAGTGATTCAGAAATCGACTTGTCTTAAGGTAGGAGGCAGGACAGAATAAAGCAAGACTCCTTTCTATTCTGTTGGCTTACCTCCATGGTGCCATTGGATCTACTTCTAGCCATTCATTCCAGGGTTTTATCACCATAATTAACATTGCTGTGTGGAAATAATAAGCCTGTAGGAAACCAGGGGAGAGAACTAAGGTACTAATGAGCACATCAATTACAATAATGATAAATTTGCTGTCATTCCAACCATTGATCTTCACATCACTCAGCTGTTGATTGCAAGTGAGCAGAAGGAAGGAAAAATCTCCTATAATCCCACCACCCATTTAATTACCATTAACTCTTAGGTGTATGTCTTTTGAGGCTTTATGCTGTGCATATTTTATACATAAATTTGATCATATGCTAGAGTTTAAATTGTAGACTTATTATTTTAAATTCCACTATTTTTTCTGATTTGAAAAGGAATAGATATTCACTGTAGACAATTTTGGAAAATAATTTTAAAACCATCCAAATTTCCATCACTTAGATATAACATTCCTAGCATTTGGAGTACATCTTGTAGTATTAAATATCTTTATTGTCTTTCCTGATTGTAGCAGTTTTAGAAACATATTATAAGAATTCAAACAATACAGAAATATAAAAAGCAGAAAGTGAAACCACTTGCTATCACACCCTCCCCAAAATGACCACTGATAAGAATTTTCATATTCATCCAGAATTTTTCTTAAGCATAGACATATGCATGTGTGTGTGTTTTTTAAAAAATGGATTATATACGGTTTTAAATATACAATAGTCTCTTCTCCCATCTTCTTTTTGCATTGAACAACTTGATATGGCAGTAGTATTAATTTTAAACTTTCCCATTCATTTTTAGATTTCTTGCAATTTTTCTATTACAAACACATGTGCAGAGAATATCATCTAATTGTGTCTTTCCACACTTGCATAAGCATCTCTGGAAGAACCACAGGTCAAAAGGCTTACAATTTTCTTTTTTTTCTTTCTTTTCTTTTTTTTCTCTTTTGAGATGGAGTCTCGCTCTGTCTCCCAGGCTAGAGTGCAGTGGCACGATTTCAGCTCACTGCAATCTCCACCTCCCGGCTTCAAGCGATTCTCCTGCCTCAGCCCCCCAAATAGCTGGAATTATAGGTGCCCACCGCCGTGTCCGGCTAATTTTTGTATTTTTTTAGTAGAGACAGGGTTTCACCATCTTGGCCAGGCTAGTCTCGAACTCTTGACCTCGTGATCCACCCGCCTTGGCCTCTCAAAGGGCTGGGATTACAGGCTTGAACCACTGTACCCGGCCTCAATTTTATAGTTATTAGCATTGCTTGCCAAATATCTCTGCTTCCCAGGCATATAGTAGAATTGCTGTGCCCTGCCAAGGCTTACAATTTTCAAATGTTGATGTACATTTTAAATCTTAAAGTTGATTGTCTTCTAAAGGGGATATTCTGGTCCTACTCTCACCAACAATGTATGAAATTCCCTATTAAGACAATATTGGAGATTTTCTTTTTTTTTTAAGTTTAAAAATCTCCATTTGAACTCACTGCCCCATTCATTATTATTGATCACTCTGTTATTCATGAAACCCTTTTTTCTTGACTTTTGTGATATAATTCTCTCCTGACTTTCTCTTCTATTTTGGATCACTTATTACATTTTTGTTTGTTTTTACACCTTTATAGGTACAATCGATAAACAAATAACCATATATATTCAATGTAGTGTAAAATTCACTCAGTTTAGAAACATATACATCCATGATACTGTCACCACAATCGAGGTAATAAACATATTCCTCACCTCTAAGTTTCCTTGTGCCCTTTTGATTCTGTATGTGTGTGTGGGTGTGTGGTAAGACTACAACATGAGATCTACTCTCTTAACAAAATTTTTTTTTTTTTTTGAGGCGGAGTCTCGCTCTGTCGCCCAGGCTGGAGTGCAGTGGCGCGATCTCGGCTCACTGCAAGCTCCGCCCCCCGGTTCACGCCATTCTCCTGCCTCAGCCTCCCGAGTAGCTGGGACTACAGGCACCTGCCAGCGCGCCCGGCTAATTTTTTTTTTTTTTTTTTTTGTATTTTTAGTAGAGACGGGGTTTCACCATGGTAGCCAGGATGGTCTCGATCTCCTGACCTTGTGATGCGCCCACCTAGGCCCCCCAAAGTGCTGGGATTACAGGCGTGAGTCACAGTGCCCAGCCTAATTTTTGTATTTTTAGTAGAGACCAGGTTTCACCATGTCGGTCAGGTTGGTCTCAAACTCCTGACCTTGTGATCCGCCCACCTCGGCCTCCCAAAGTGCTGGGATTACAGGCGTGAGCCACCGCGCCCGGCCCTCTTAACAAATTTTTAACTGCACTTTACTGCATTAGTAAGTGTAGGCATGGTGTTGTACAGCAGATCTCTAGAGCTTATTCGTCTTGTATCACTGAACCTTTATACCCGTTTAATAGCAACTCTCCATTTCCCCGTCTCTAGCTCTTGGCAGCCACCATTCTACTCTCTGCTTCTATGTATTTGACTGATTTAGATTCTACACGTAAGTGGTATCATGTAGTATTTGTCCTTTTGTGCCTGGCTTATTTCACTTAGCATAACTTCCTCCAGTTTTATCTAGGTTGTCACATACGACAGGATTTCCTTTTTTTTGAGATGGAGTCTCGCTCTGTTGCCAGGCTGGAGTGCAGTGGTGCGATCTCGGCTTACTGCAACCTCTGCCTCCTGGGTTCAAGCGATTCTCCTGCTTCAACCTCCCAAGTAACTGGGACTACAGGTGCGCACCACCATGCCCAGCTAATTGTTGTATTTTTAGTAGAGATGGGGTTTCACCATGTCGACCAGGATGGTCTCGATCTCTTGACCTCGTGATCTGCCCGCCTCGGCCTCCCAAAGTGCTGGAATTACAGGCGTGAGCCACTGCACCCAGCAAGAATTTCCAATTTTTTAAGGTGGAATCATATTCCATTGAATGTTTTTACCATGCTGTCTTTATCCATTCATCTGTCAATGGAAATCTGGGTTGTTTCCATGTCTGTTGTGAATAATGCTGCAGTGACCATGAGGGTGCAGACAGCTCTTCCAGATCCTTATTTCAATTTTTAAAATAAATACCCAGAGGCAAGGCATGGTGGCTCGCACCTGTAATCCCAGGACTTTGGGAGGCTGAGGCAGGTGGACCATTTGAGGTCAAGAGTTCAAGACCAGCCTGGCCAACATGGTGAAACCCCGTCTCTACTAAAAATACGAAAAAATTAGCCAGCTGTGGTGGTGGAAGACTGTAATCCCAGCTACTTGAGAGGCTGAGGCAGGAGAATGACTTGAACCTGGGAGGCAGAGGTTGCAGTGAGCTGAGATGGCGCCATTGAACTCCAGCCTCGGCACAAGAGCGAAACTCCATCTCAAAAAACAAAATAAAATAAAATAAAATAAAATAAAAATCCAGAAGTAGGATTGCTGGATTAAAAATCTGAAAACTGTAGCATCTCATTATTATTTAATTTGCATTTATTTCATGACTAAGAAGGCTATGCATATTTTTATGTTTATTGCCATTTTCACTGTAAATTCTGTAAATTGCTGTTGATACCCTTCCCCCATTTTCTTTTGGATTGTTTGTTACTTGTAGGAACACTTTACACATCATAGATATCAACTTCGATATAAGTTTTAAATAAACAAAATGTCCACTTAAGTTTTTTGACAATGAAAATATCAACATATTGCTTTAGGAAGAATTTTTTTTTCTGATAGCAAAAAACAGATATTTTTGATTTCATAGTTCTCTTGGTGCAGTGTGCCAAATGTGTAAATAACATAACTGTTGCTAACAAATGGTATAACAAAACAATACTAGATACCATTTTAATTGATAAACAAACCACAAATATTGTGAGCTAGACAATATGGCACAAGAAAACATATTTTCTGGAAAAATACATTTCCCAAGAATTAACATACTTTCTTGGAGGAAGTTCTGCCGAGCCATATTTTCCCCATCACTATAGGATCCACCTGAACATAGCTAAAAAACTGAATTCCTAATTTAGGAGACATACCAAGTAAAAGAGATACTTTCTTTCTTTTTTCTTTTCTTTTTTTTTTTTTTTTTTACAGAGTCTCACTGTGTTGCCCAGGCTGGATTGCAGTGACATGATCTCAGCTCACTGCAAACTTCACCTCCCAGGTTCAAGCGATTCTCCCACCTCAGCCTCCTGAGTAGCTGGGATTACAGGTGCCACCACCACACCACACCCGGCTAATTTTTGTATTTTTGGTAGAGACGGGGTTTCACCATGTTGGCCACTCTGGTCTCGAACTCCTAACCTCAGGTGATTCGCCCACCTCAGCCTCCCAAAGTCCTGGGATAACAGGACTGGCCATTTCAAGCTTCTTTTATATGATAACGAGGCTTGTAATGGCAAGAGGAGGGAGAGACCCCACCCTGCCTTGCCCTCAGTGTTAAAGCAAGGATGTGAGCTCAATTTTCCATTAGGTGCAGACTTCAAGTTTCTAAAGATACTGGAAAAGGAAGAAACGTATTTCTACCTATTTTCAAAAAGACAGGCTCACCCATGGCATCACAGGGTACTCTGTTTAGATTGTTTTCGGCTGGGCGTTGTGGCTTACGCCTGTAGTCCCAGCACTTTGGGAGGCCAAGACGGGCGGATCACGAGGTCAGGAGATCGAGACCGTCCTGGCTAACACGGGGAAACCCCGTCTCTACTAAAAATACAAAAAAATTAGCTGGGCGTGGTGGCGGGCGCCTGTAGTCCCAGCTTACTCTGGAGGCTGAGGCAGAAGAATGGCGTGAACCCGGGAGGCGGAGCTTGCAGTGAGTCGAGATCGCGCCACTGCACTCCAGCCTGGACCACAGAGCAAGACTCGTCTCAAAAAAAAAAAAAAAAAAAAAAAAAGATTGTTTTCAACCTTACATCAGCAGCCTGGAGGCAAACAAAAATTCCCTCCAGTGCTCCCAACAGGTTTGCCTGCCAGACTTCGAGCACTGCGAGTTTTTTTTTTTTATCTTTTACTTTGCTATCTTAATAGGCATGTTAATCAGGAAGTTAGAGAAATTTATAAGTGGCTGCTATACAGAAGCCATTTAAAGATACAGAGAGAATGAAGTTTGCATATGTATCTGTGCGTTGACTTTTAATTACAATATAATACATATTCAGCAAAGTACACAAGTAAACCAATTAACTTTCACAAACTTCATATAAGCATGTAACCGGCACTCAGCTCAAGAAACCATTATCTGCACACCGAAGTCTACCTTGTACCCCACTCTCCTGACCTCTCATACCATAGATTCGTTTTGCCTATTTTTGATCTTTATGTAAGTAAGATTATATATTATATATATATTTTTTATGGTCCGACTTCTTTAATTCAGTGTTAAGTTTGTGAGCTTCACCTATATTATTTATGAAGTTGTAGTTTGTTGTTGTTGTTGTTGTTTTTGAGATGGAGTCTCACTCTGTCGCCCAGGCTGGAGTGCAGTGGCGCAATCTCGGCTCACTGCAAGCTCCGCCTCCCGGATTCACGCCATTCTCCTGCCTCAGCCTCCCGAGTAGCTGGGACTACAAGCACCGCCACCGCGCCCGGCTAATTTTTTGTATTTTTAGTAGAGACGGGGTTTCACCGTGTTAGTAGGATGGTCTCTATCTCCTGACCTCGTGATCCACCCGCCTCAGCCTCCCAAAGTGCTGAGATTACAGGCATGAGCCACCAGGCCCGGCCAGTTTGTTCATTCTTATTGCAGTGTGGTATTCCATTGTGTGAATGTACCACAATTTACTTATCCATTATACTATTGTCGGTCATTTGTTTTTTCCAGTTGTGAACTGCTATGAATAGTGCTGCCGTGAACATTCCACTACATGTCTTTTGATGAGCAAATGTATAGCTAGCACTGGAATTACTAGGTCATAGGATATGCACATATTTACGTTTAGTAGGTATAGCCAAGGAATTTTCCAAAGTGATTGTATCATTTTACATTCTCACCAGCAGTATATGAGAGTTCCAGTTGCTCCACATTCTGTGTACTTTGCCTTTTTCTATGTTAGCAATTCTGGTGGGTATGGGGTAGTATCTCAATGTGACTTTGATTTGCACTTCCATCATAATTAATAAAATTGAGAAACTTAAAAAAAATTGGGCATTGGATATCCTTTTTATGAACTATTGTTTCAAATATTTTGCCCTAGAAGGCATAATTGAGGCCAAAGTTTTTCTACCTAGTTCTTGGTCCTTTACAGAGTTTATGTTGGTTCCTTAAACCAACCTCACAATAATCAAGCCATATGGAAGGAGGTTAAGATACCCATTTTACAGACAAGGAAAGTAAAGAGCAGCAAATGTAGATGAGTTTTCCAGGCCTTTATATCTGCTGAGTGAACCCGGGTTTTGTGGCCTTCATTCAGTTGACTCTTTCGTTCTACCATATTGCTAGCCATGGTCACTAATATTATTATGGGACACCAACTATAATTGCCAGGGTCTGTGTTGGATCCAGGGGATTTAATCGTAAACAAGATTGTGCCTCAAGGCAACTTTGCAAATGATTACTATTAGTATGGATTAACTAAATTCATGATTATAGCATGTGATAAATTGGACACAATATCTCATGTATTAATTTGTCATACCTAGAGAGAGAGTCATCTCAGAAAAATTAGGAGATGGCTTAACACCAATATATTGGGGCTGTGTCATCTCTGGCCCTGCTGTTTCAGTTCAAATTTCAGCTGCATCACAAAATAGCATGTGACTTGGGCTAGTAGCCTGACCTTTCTGTGCTTTCATTTTCTTTTTTGTAAAATGAGAATAATTATAGTTTTTAATTTATGGATGTCAGAATGATTCAATGAATTAATACATGAAAATGCTTAATAGAGTCTCTGACATATGCTAAGCACTCTATGGTATATATGTCAATAAATGTTAACTATAAAAATTTTATTATTGTGACCTGGGCTGTACCAGCCAAGAGACTGACCACATGGTTCTGGGATGAAAATTTGACTATCTGGATCACTCATTAATCTTTTTTCTAGTTCCTTATCCTCTTCTTTTTATTACTTCTTCCCAAATGCTTTAGGAAGCATTTTTTTTTTCTGGTAGCAAAAAATAGATATTTTTGATTTGGTAGTTTTCCTGGTGCAGTGTGCCAAGTGTGTAAATAATATAATGGTTGCTAACAAATGGCGTAACAAAACAATACCATATAACATTTTAAATGATAAATAAACTTGGCAAGAATTGTGAAGTGGACAGTGTGGCATAAGAAAACATATTTTTTGGAAAAATGTATTTCCAAGAATGAATGTACTTTCTTGGAGGAAGCTCTGCAGAGCCAAATTTTGGAAATACCCTCTACTTTTCATTACTTCTTTCCACCACTTCTACGTCTCTTCTCTTCAGGGCAACTTTTAATTTTGCCCCTCATCCCCTTATAAACCAGAGGGTAGCACATTTTAATGAGACATTCCTGGGGATGTGATACTTTATCTTAGCTTTTCCTATATTACCTTTGGCTTCATGGAGATGACTTAAAGTGGTAAATGGACAATACGTTGCAATATTAAATCACTTTGTGAAAACCTTATAACCTTTTTATTTCTACTCCAAATCTCTTGAGGATACCAAAGAAAACATCTCGAAGTAGTGTTAGCCTGTCTTAATGCATCTCCAAAATTTACTAATTTCATTTTCTTTTTTAACAACAACACAGCAGGTCTAACCTCAAAGTCTGCACCAGGAAGCAAATATTTAATGACATGATATCTGATAACATTGATATCTAATAACATTGTCTTGTATATGTGTAATTATCTTCTTTTTATATGTAACACTGGTTTTCACTTAAAGTAGTAAAATATTCATTCCTTCGTTTAAGCCAAATTTGTGAGCTGATTTAAGTAAAACTACTAAACATATTACAATATGACCAAAAATTATGTGGGTGTGACAACATTGCTTTAACTGGAAGAAATGTGTCTTTAGCAGTGACACATCAGTCTCCATGACCAATCTTTGGAGAATCTCTTCCCCTGCAAAAGAAGTTCTATCCCTTAGGAGATATAAGAACTTGGGTTTAAAAATTAAATAGACTTGGTTTCGAGTTGTCCTCCACTTGTTTGCTATTTAATCCTGAACAAATTATTAACCTCTTCAACTTCTACTTTATTATCTGT
Organism: Homo sapiens; assembly: GCF_000001405.40. Taxonomy (NCBI): domain Eukaryota; kingdom Metazoa; phylum Chordata; class Mammalia; order Primates; family Hominidae; genus Homo; species Homo sapiens. The sequence goes on along the minus strand of NC_000017.11, from coordinate 11,186,180 downwards.
TAATTGAGGATAATTTCTCCTCTCTCATTAAATTAGGTAACACATGTAAAGCATGTAATTGAATGTCTGACTCACAGAAGTATTCAATAAATGCAGTCATTTCATTATAATTTCATACCATATGGGTAACTATCTTTCCTGCCTATTGTTACCTATTCTTCAAATTCTAATCTCAGTATCCAAAGTTACCAGTCTAATCTCAGTAACCAAAGATCTTTGGGTTCTAGCACAGCCAAGAGCAAGTAAACACAACACTCAGTTGATTTGGAGTACACTACTGTTAGGTAGCAGCTCTCTCAGCGCAGTGGCACAATTGCAGCTCACTGCAGCCTCAAATGCCTGGGCTCAAGCAATCCTCCTGCATTAGCCTTAGCCTCCTGGTAGCTGGGATTACAAAGTCAGTGCATTTTCACTGACTAGTTGATTAATTGACCAAGAGATGTAGAGCTGTGGTTGAAATTTCCAGTGGAAGCACTTAGCACATGTTTATTTATTCCAGAAAAGTATTTAAAGTTGTAGAAAGAGAAACCAAGCATGAAACTCTGTCTAGCTAGAGTTTTGTTTTGTTTCATTTTTTTTCCTTCTTCTTTTTCTTTTTTTGAGACAGAGTTTTGCTCTTGTTGCGTAGGCTGGAGTGCAATGGCATGATCTTGGCTCACTGTCCTTCTTCTTCTTTACTTACAACAGAGGGGTTTTGAGGTGGTGTTGAAACTTAACTCCATAGCATGAAAATAAGAGGTCTGGTCTACTTTATTCTGCCCTTTTCATACTTCCCACTTGAACTCCATATAGAAGTTCCTCTTCTGTATGGAGTTATAGCCTACCATTGCACCTCTATTCTAGTGATCCTCACTCTGTTGCTGAGTATGAAGGAAAGTTGGCACCCTTTTCCCACTGTTCAAGTTTCCATAGAAGAGGAAATTCTCACTTTGTTACACAGTGGCAAAAGTCATAGAAGGAACTTGTATAGGTTTTCTCCATGCTCCCAGTCTTCATCACAGAGAGGGAGGAATGACTGATTGATGTGTTTAGAAGAAAAGTGAGCATGCTTACCTCAGCCCCTTCCTTATTTTCCATTAAGAGCCTGTTTGCCTGCCAGAAGCACACATTCTCTGCCCCTTCCTGCTTTAAGCTTATGGCAGTCCCCCATGGGGGAGACCTCTGGTTGACAATCTGTGGCTGTGACTGGAAATTCTTGTGTCTAATTAGACAAGGGAAATATTACAGAGATCATTGCAAACACACATAGAAGCATCTCCCTCCAGCTTAGGCAACTAAACTTTAAGGAGAGTTTTCAAAGCAGAAACAGCAACAGAGCTAAATGTTTGACTTTTGGATTTTTAAAGCTAGCATCCAGGATATAAGACCAATATAGTTGGAAGAAGATGCAAAACAGTTTTCACACTCTCAGACTAGATAAAGATACCATGGGCTGGATGTGGAACCAAAGAGATGACAGCTGAGCTACTAATAAAGGACTGTCCACCCTATGCCAATGTGAGCTGCATCTGTCCCCAGTACCAGAGTGGCATATGAAAGTTGCATTATCTGAAGGTATTCCATTCCCATGCAAGTGAAAACTGAACATTCCGTATGCCAAGAAACTAAAAGAATGTTCATCTCTTCACCCTCCAGTGAGTAAATTTCACTGATAGCTGCCAGGACATTATTGATTAGGAGTGATGTGCACCTGCACTTTGACACTCTGTGCAGCCCTCCTCCACCTTGCCATGTGAAGAATCCTCCTAGAATGACCCAGAACACTTAGAAGCTCTTTGAGATAGAGATGATGGTGGTTTAGATAAATAAAATGATGGTGATGGTTTAGAAGCAAAATGCTGTATTCATAGTTGAAGTGGGGCTGAATTGGACTAACTCAAGATTCATCTCTACTTATCCTAGGAATAAAGCATCCAGCACACCTTGTTATATTCCTTTGCAGTTCTGGCATCAACTAATACAATCGTGCGTTTAGAAAGTCATTGTTAAAATATATCTTTGTTGGACTTAACAGAGTTTATTTAAAATTTATCCTCTCTGCCTATCTGGTCAGTGGGCTATGCCTCAGAACTGATCATTTCTGACACTCAGTTTCTAAGTCAATTCTGACCAAGGCTAGAAGCAACAGATGTCTCTGTATCTTTGGTTTCAGGTGGTGAGGTTTCCATATTAGAAAATGTAACTGTTTTTTGCATTATTATTATGCTTAAAGTTCTAGGGTACATGTGCACAACGCGCAGGTTTGTTACAGATGTATACATGTGCCATGTTGGTGTGCTGCACCCATTAACTCGTCATTTACATTAGGTATATCTCCTAGTGCTATCCCTCCCCACTCCTCCCCCCCCCAACTCAAATGTCCATCAATGATGGACTGGATTAAGAAAATGTGACACATATACACTATGGAATACTATGTGGCCATAAAAAAGGATGAGTTCATGTCCTTTGTAGGAACATGGATGAAGCTGGAAACCATCATTCTGAGCAAACTATTGCAATGACAGGAAAGTAACTTTTTTTTTTAAAGAAACCATACTTTAGGAAATCATCCTGTAACACAGCAGATGTATTGACAGGTAGTGGTGTGTACTTTCAACTCTCACATTAGGGAATATTTGGAGAGGTCAAAAGTTATGAACATGTCGGTCCGGGCATGGTGGCTCATGCCTGTAATCCCAGCACTTTGGGAGGCTGAGGCAGGCGGATCACGAGGTCAGGAGATCGAGACCATCCTGGCTAACACGGTGAAATCCCATCTCTACTAAAAATACAAAAAATCACCCGGGAGTGGTGGCGGGTGCCTCTAGTCCCAGCTACTCATGAGGCTGAGACAGGAGAATGGCCTGAACTGGGGAGGCAGAGCTTGCATTGAGCCGAGATCGCGCCACTGCACTCCAGCCTGGGCGACGGGGCAAGACTCCGTCTCAAAAATAAATAAATAAATAAATAATAATAAAAAAAGAAAGTCATGAACATGTCAACATAGCCCAATAGGTAAGCTACTAAAAACTCCAACTTTGAAATTTGACAGATATAAGCTATGCCATTTGCTGCCTATAAGGCTTTGAATAAGATATTAACTTCTCTACCCCTCAGTTCTTCATTTGTGCAATGGGGATAATAAAGTTCCTATGACCTAGAATTATTCTGAAATTCAATGAGATAATGTTTGTTAAAGGCTTAGAAAAGTCTCTGGCACAGAAAAAGTAATCAATATATGTTAGTTACTATTTGGGATGAGTAAGCCACATTATAACTTTCTAAGCCCAAACCATCATCACTGATTCCATTGAAGCTGTGAGGGTTTATTTGCTAGAAAGCGAGGAGAACCGTCAACAATTGAATCATGTGGCTTCTTTTCAAAGGCTAGGAAAAAAAGCAGGGTGTGATGAGCAGCAGCTGGAGACTGCCCTATGAATCAGAAACTCAAAGGGCAAATCCAGACTCCTCCCTTGAGGAGCACAGCCAGTTTGGGACATGCCTGAGAAGCTCCGGCCAGGAGCAGCAATCATTGACTTAAAACCACTGCCATCTTAGAAAACCTACCAGGCGAGGTGACATAGTCCAGTGAGCACCCTGGCACTTGACTGAGAAGAGATCAGTGACCTGTGGCCAAGAGGGAGCTGCTGGCAGACAGCAGACTGCAGGAATAGCTTGAGTCATTTCAGGCTCATTAACACCATCTGCTGCGGCCATCTAGGCTTGATCAGCTGGAGAGGACTCCTAGGTTATTGACACCATGGGGACCTTTCAGGAAGTTATTTTCCTGCTGTTCAGTGATCACTGCTCTGTGGAAAGGACCTCCATGAAGTGATACCCATTATCTTCCTTGGTTAGGAGTGGGCAGTCATTTATATCTGATAATTTGGGGCATAACACAAGGATTCCTCACCCCCGCCCCCACCAAACCCTCAATTTTCCCCCATTTCTTACTATCCAGCCAACATATCTGTTCCTATCTGACCTATATTTCCAACAATTCTATCACTACTTTGAGGGAAGGGATAAAAATAGGGGCATAGTTCTCAGAGGTCACAGTTAAATAAACCTCCATGCTATTTCCTTACCTAAAAGTAGTATACCTCTTATCTTCTTTATGCACACGTTCTCTCTCTCCAGATTTTTCTCATTTATTCAATCAAAAAAAAAATATTGCCTAGGTGCCTGCTATGGTTTCAATGTTTGTCCCCTCTGAAACTCATCTTAAAACTTAAGCCCCAATGTAGCAGTATTCAGAGGGCTTTAAGAGGTGATTGGATCATGAGGCCTCTGCATGAATGAATGAATGAAATCATTAATGGTTTAGTGGAAGAATGCGGTATCATAGAGTGGGTCAGTTTTCATGAAAATAGGTCTGTTTTAATAATCATTTGGGCTCTCAGTGTGCCTCTCTCACCCTGTGATGCCTCCCATCACAGGGTGATGCCTAAAAGAAGGGTGATGCCTTCTCTTAGCAAGACAGCACTAATTAAAAGCCAAGCAGATGAAGTCCCTTGGCTTTGGACTTCCCAGCCTCCAGAACTGAGGAATAAATTTTGTTTTAAAAAAGAAATTACCCGGCTGGGCATGGTGGCCCACGCCTGTAATCCCAGCACTTTGGGAGGCCGAGAGGGGTGGATCACGAGGTCAGCAGATGGAGACCATCCTGGCTAACACGGTGAAACCCAGTCTCTACTAAAAATACAAAAAAATTAGCTGGGTGTGGTGGCGGGCGCCTGTAGTCCCAGCTACTCAGGAGGCTGAGGCAGGAGAATGATGTGAACCCGGGAGATGGAGCTTGCAGTGAGCGGAGATCACGCCACTGCACTCCAGCCTGGGTCTGGGTGACAGAGCGAGACTCCGTCTCAAAAAAAAAAAAAAAATACCCAGTCCCAGGTATTCTATTATAGCAACAGAAAACAGACTAAGGCAGTGCCTATATGCTAGGCTCTGTGTTAGGTGCTGAGGATACAGCTGTGAACAAGAGAGACAAGGGCTCTGCATTCACAGAGAGTATATTCTAGTACAAAAAGACGGAGGCATGTAAATGTATAAATAAGATCAGTTCATAGAGTGAGAGAGGCAGTGTGAGACACTGGGTCTACACGCCAAAACTACCTGGGTTCAATTTTTGGCAACTTCATTTGCAAGTTGTATGGCCTTGGATAAGTTACTTAGCCATTACAGAATAGTTCCTGATTTGTACAGCGCCTCTGATTTATAATAGCGCCTCTCTCATACAAAGCATTTGAGCTGCAACTTAAATGCTGGTATTAAAGTAGCCATATGAATAACTTGAAGAAGAATGCTTTAATCATAGGGAACAGCAAGTACAAATGTCCTATGAGGGAAACAGGCTTCAAGGATTCTAGTTACTAAAAGAAGGCCTTTGTGTCTGCGTACACCGAAAAGGCACAAAAGTGATAAGGGATGGGATTGGATGAGTAGGCAGATAACTATAAGCCACATTGAGGACTTTGGACTTTATTCTTATTGATTCGATTTTAACCTCTGCCTGCAGTGATTTCTTCTCACTTGGCCTCTCACCTTTTACCTTCTAAAATCCTAGTCATATTTCAAACTCAGTTTTAATATCATTTTCTCTATAAAGTCTTAATTTTTCTACCTATCAGAAAAATTAGTTTCTGTCTTCTTGATGCTCCAATGATCATATTCGTTGCATAATTGCTTGTTTACTTTATTCATTGTGAGTGTGAGGTCAGGGATTAAACCCCATTCATTTTATTTATTTTATTGTTATGATTTTTTTTTTTTTTGAGACAGAGTCTTGCTCTGTTGCCCAGGCTGGAGTGCAGTGGCATGATCTCGGCTCACTGCAACCTCTGCCTCCCAGGTTCAAGCAATTCTCCTGCCTCAACCTCCCTAGTAGCTGGGACTACAGGTGCATGCCACCACATCCAGCTAATTTTTTTATTTTTAGTAGAGATGAGGTTTCACTATGTTGGCCAGGCCTGTCTCGAACTCCTGACTTTAGGTGATCCACCTGCCTTGGCCTCCCACAGTGCTGGGATTACAGGCGTGGGCCACTGCGCCCAGTCCCCATTCATTTTAGAATCACCTGGCAAAGTGTATGGTGCAAGAGCACAACAAATATTCTTTGAATGATTGATGTATGAATGCATGAGTGAATAGAGGATCTCAATTTGGGTCCTTTAGTCAGATTTGCTTATTGGAAATCTAGACCCAAAAGGAATCACATATAGCCCAAGTAGATTTCATATGGAGCACAAAGAGACCAAAAGTACCAGGGAAAATGGGAGGACATAAAAGGGAAGAGGATTGGAATGGAACTCCATATACTTGGGTGGAAGCCACATTTTTTTTTTCCTTTACTGCTAACCCTAGCTATTATTATGCGAGGTTGGGAAAATTAATCAAAAAGAATTACTCAATAAAATTCACAACTTTCCACTTATCCAGAAGTTAGACTTCTGAGAACTTCAAAATCTCTTTAACTTAGGCAAAACAAGAAACAAACAAACCTGAAAACTAAAATAAACAAAAAAATCCCAAAATCAAAAACCAGACATTAGAGAAAAATCTTAGGCTAAAGAAGTGACTATAAAACCCATAGACCTCAGAGCAAGAGTGCCTTCATATAACTGCCCATTTATTTCCTGTTATTCCTTCCTTCCCTTCTTGTCCTTCTCTCCCAATTATTTACTGAGCACCTACTATGTGTTAAACATAGAGTTAATGCTGGGCATAAAGCAGGAAAGAGGATGGGCATGTCCCATTTGTCAAGGAACTTACTTACTCCTTTGCTCCTGCCATCCTAATCTATCATCCTTCTTTATTGTAGTATAAAAAGTCAATACATTCTGAAATCAAAATTTCAGTATTCAAATATTGCCTCTCCCAATTAGTTACTTCTCTGTTCCTCAAATTGTGAAAGCCCTAAGTCAAAATCTGGCCCAGATGTAAGAAGTCATCATGAAAGCATGGAAGAGGATGGCATAGGAAGAGTGGAGTTCTGGGATGAAGTCTTGCTTCTGGCATTTTGACCCATCTGCCTTGAGCAGGTCACAGGACTTCTCTGGCCCTTGGACTCTCCACCTGTAAGGGACAGGGATTGTCCCTTTCATCAGTCTATGACTCTGGGCGCAAACTTTCAGAGTGATAACTCAGCTAATATCCCTGGCTCAAGTGCTGTGGTATTTGATACAACTAGCAGACACCACATCTGCCAGCCTGTTACAACACCTGCGGGGAAAGGGCTTTAAAGATGTTCAGGAAAAACAGGTCTTTCTCACTTCTCTGATGAAGAGATTGACTTTAAAGCCAGGAAGAGAGAACTATGTGCAATTTGATGGGATTCAGAACATCAAAGGCAGTTAAGTTGGTGTTTGGAACAATCTCTCAGGTCAAATCTAATTTTATCTAAGCTGATGTTTTTAAGCTCGGGTAATTGCTCCCAGCATAACCGCCACTTCCTTGTTATAAGGCAGTAAAGTGCAATTGCTGCAGGGGCCTGCAGCAGAGGGTCTAGCAGATGGCTTTTATCTTTGTTGCTGCTGGGGCTGGGGCACTGAGCTAGATTTAAATCTTGGGAGCTATAGATTGACACAGCAGAGAGGACACCAAACCTGGAACTAGGACCACTGTCTTCAAATCTTGGCTCTACTGCAGATCCTCAGAGATTCTCCTTCCCAAGGGCTTTCCCATTTGGACTTGGCAGTTTTGTGACAGAAGAGGGATGGACAGGAGATTGGGCTGTGGACAGCAGGGTTCTGTGTGGCTCTAGGGAAGGCAAAGTTGACAGATGGAAGCGCAATATGGTACAAGGACTCTACTTAGAGCCATTTTCCTGACTTGGAGAAAAGTATCAGCCTAAATATTAGGAGGCACTTAGAACTACAGGAGGGTCCTGTAGTTGGGACAATACAGTTGGGGAGTAAATGTCCTATGTCTGCAGCAGCCTCTTGCATTCAAACAAGGGAGGTTGAGTCAAGAAGTAAAAATAACACAGGCAGAGTCCAAGTCAACTCCTTGCTGATAATCTGTTTTGAATCTTCTAACCTCTTGCCAGACACACCAAAGAGCAAGTCGACTATTAGCCAAGCACAGCAGAGTGGCCTCTAAATTGTGGAAGAGATTTCCTAATTCTTTATTATATCTTTCTGCCTTTCCTAGGTGGTGATGGGTTTTGCGATCCCATCAGTATTCCCAGCTCACCCTCCTAACTTAGAAACAAACATGGCAGACACTCTTTGCAACATTTCCACTGGTGTGCTTTCCAGATTCCACTTGAGAAGCTCTGAAACTCTCACTTGGTGTCTGTCTTGCTGAAGTTGGGGCATCCACAAAGGATGTGGGAATGCCAAGGGGATATTTTCTGGGCCACAGCCTGAGCTAGCCTTGCGCTACAGGCAGAAGATATAGGCAGAAATAATTGTATTTGCAGTGAAAAGTATTTTGATATTATGTGTGTGATTACTTTGATCTCTTTTTCCCTACACCTTTCCCTTTATCACTGAAGAAAAGGCTTTTCATGTACACTGCCCTTAGGCTACAGATGGTACAAAGTTAACAAAAGAGTCAAGTTCCAGCATTTGAACTTTTAATTAGTCATTTGTTGTTCTGGTAAATCTATAGCAGATTCTGCAATCATGAATGCCATAGAGCTTTCTTCCAAGAATCAGGCGCTTGTAAAGAAAAAAAGTAAATATTTGAATTCCCAAAAGCTTGGCTAGAAGATCAGGAGGAAAATCCTGAAGAAAGAGGGCAAACATTGATTACAAAGAGGAATTTGAAGAACAAAATCCTGCCTCAAAGGGAGTGAGAGCAACTGAATTTTACTAGAGAGGGCAGAAACATCCAAGTTGCAGAGAGGTCTGCTTACCAGAAGCAGCCATGGTGTCAGAGGCGTTTGAACCAGAGTAACTCCATCTTGAATAGGAGCTGGGTAAAATGAGGCTGAGACCTACTGGGCTGTACTCCCAGACTGTTAACGCATTCTAAGTCACAGGGTGAGACAGGAGGTTGCCACAAGATACAGGTCATAAAGACCTTGCTGATAAAACAGTTTGCAGTAAAGAAGCCAGCTAAACCCCACCAAAACCAAGATGGCGACAAGAGTGACGTCTGGTCATCCTCGCTGATACACTCCCACCAGTGCCATGACGGTTTACAAATGCCATGGCAACATCAGAAAGTTACCCTATATGGTCTAAAAGGGGGAGGCATGAATAATCCACCCTTGTTTAGCATATCATCAAGAAATAACCATAAAAATGGGCAACCAGCAACCCACAGGGCTGTTCTGTCTATGGAGTAACTATTCTTTTACTCCTTTACTTTCTTAATAAACTTGCCTTTCACTTTACTTGATGGACTCGCCCTGATTTCTTTCTTGAATGAGATCCAAGAAACCGCCCTTGGGTTCTTTTGATTCCAGTAACACTGGGCTGGAGGGATGACAATCCAGTGGCTGTAGCATGGGGCCTAGAAGGTCAGGGGCAGATGTCGAAGGCGTGGGAATCCCAGCAACATCTCAGCCTCAGCCACCTCTAAGATGTGCTCTGCTCATGCCAGGCAAAGGATTTACCTAAATGAGAGTAAGTTTTAAACAGGAGTGAACAAATTGTTTTGAATTAGTAAGATTACATTTTCGGTCATCCGTGGGATCGGAGTTTTCAGACCTAAGCCAAGTCATTTCAAAGATAATTATTTGTCTTTCCACCTCTCATTTTTTTTTACTACAATATTTATTCCTGCCTTGATGCCATTGCTGAAAGCAGCCACATTTTGCTAGGCTGTATGGGTTTGTAGATCACAGTTCTGGGATGCTACGACCATCCTCATTCAGGAGAAAAGCTGGTTGAAGTGATCTGGCAGATTTGAGGCTGTCCTCCAGGAACCAGAGTTGTCCATTTGTCATTTTTTTCTTTATTACCACCTTTGTTCATGTTAACAGCATTATAAATAATAGTTACAATTATTTATTGGGAATTTGTTATATTTCCAGTCATTGCACAAAGTGCAACACATGGGTGATTTTACTTAAGCTGCATGACACCTGGTTGAAGCTGATGTAATCATCTCAAGTTTATAAATAATAAACTGAGGATCATAGAGGTTAAGTAATTTTTTTTTATTATACATCTAGTGGGTGACAAATGTGAAATTTAAGCTCAAGTCTTTCTGACTAAATCTGCTATTTAAAATGACCCAGTTATACTGCATTGAATAAACTTGGACACTGGCCAGAATTGTCCGATGGACCTTTCCCCAAATCCTTTTAATTGTTAGAAATATAATGAATGTTGCCAGTTACTTTGGCTGTTCATCAACTGCATTTCTTTCTGTGTTTAAGATGTTTCCCACTTTGGGGTTCTAGCGGAAGAACTATTTGCAGTGTTTAGGTGAACACCAGCACACAGTACTTGGTGCATGCTGATGTTCAAAGGCAAAAGGGTCAGCGGCATCACGGGTTGCCCTTTCTCTCCTGTCATGTTACAGAACAGTATTGAGATCTGTACAAGACCCCCTGGATGCACCATGAGGTTGTGCACCAGGAAAGAGACCTCGCCTCCCTTTCACTCTCTAATTTTACAGAGCAAGTATGAGAGTGATTTTGCAGGCAGCAAATAAACATTACGGACTTGGGAACAAAATCTAACCTTGGCTGGGCCAACTGTGCTGGAAAATGCCAACTGGCTAGCATCTGGAGACTTTGGAAGTTGAAATCATGTGCAAATTCTCTCCATAAGGAGAAGGGAGCCTCCCGTCTCAGCTAGCTTATTGCAAGACTACGTGACTTTCATGTGTTCTTCTTCTCTTTTTTTTTTTTTTTTTTTTTTTTGAGATGGAGTCTCGCTCTGTCACCCAGGCTGGAGTGCAGTGGCGCGATTTTGGCTCACTGCAGCCTCCACCTCCCAGGTTCACGCCATTCTCCTGCCTCAGCCTCCCAAGTAGCTGGGACTACAGGTGCTCGCCACCACGCCTGGCTAATTTTTTGTATTTTTAGTAGAGACTGAGTTTCACCATGTTAGCCAGCATGGTCTCGATCTCCTGACCTCGTGATCCGCCTGCCTTGGCTTCCCAAAGTGCTGGGATTATATCATGGGTTCTTCTTTAGGTAATCCTGCTTGCCTCTCCATAGTCTGCGGGCTCATCAGACACAAGTCTTTCTAGTAAGGAAATCATGGGTCCATATATAGAACATGAAGAAAGAAAGGATCATTCAACCTCCACTTCTATGCACTTCCTGGTACTAAAAAAATTTATATCCAGCCTTAGGCAAAATCTCTAACCCAATTCTTGTTCATTCAGGTGATTTCACTTTAAGTGGTGAGAACCGTTCATTTCCAGCTCATGGACAGCTCCGACTCAGGTAAAGCCTGTTGTCTACATGCTTCCAGCTGCCGAGCTCAACCTGGACAAGCAGAGGCATTCACTGATGAAGGGCAGATGGAGGATGAGGATTAAACCAGCCAAAAGGGAAGCCACGTGCCCTCCTTTCTCCACCCTCAAAATCCAGGGATCCCTGATGGGGACCTTAGCCCCTTGGCCCACACTCCACTCTCTGCCATGTTCCAGCAAGAGTACGAAAAGGCAGAATCCGTGCCATCTCAAACTCTGGTTTGTGTTATTTGTATCCCTCACTCCAGCCTCCTGAGTGCCTAGGAGCTTTGCCAGAACAGAGAAGCCTGGAATGGTGGTTATTCTTTCAGTAGAATCTTCTCATTCGAAGTCCCTGTGAAGTCACCAGGAGTTGTCTAATTGATATGTTAAGACATTTCCCTAGGATCAAAGGAAGAGCAGCCACATCCACTTGCAGCTGTTTGTGCCTCAGTGCCTGACAAGCTGAGTAATGCCTGGGTGTTTCCTGGCTTATCAGTGCCCTGGCGGCCACATTTCCATCACCCGAGGTCTTGCCTATTGGATTCTTCTGTGTCTGGCTTTCTTTGCTCAGCATCATGTTTTCAAGATTCATCCAAGTTGGTTTCTGTATCAGCAGCATGCCTCTTTTTCTTGCTGAGTAGTACTCCATTGTATGAACACACCGCAAATCATTAATCTGTTCTCCCAATAATGGATGGATGGTTTGTGTTCCAGTTTGGGGTAATTCTGAATAAGACTGAGGTGAGCATTCTAGCGTAAGTGTTTTTTGTGGACATATGCTTTTATTCCTCTCTCTCTCTCTCTTTTTTTTTTTCTTTTTTGAGACGGAGTCCCACTCTGTCGCCAGGCTGGAGTACAGTGGCGTGATCTCAGCTTACTGCAACCTCTGCCTGGCGGGTTCAAGCAATTCTCCTGCCTCAGCCTCCTGAGTAGCTGGGACTACAGGCATGCACCACCACACCCAGCAAGTTTTGTATTTTTAGTAGAGACGGGGTTTCACCATGTCGGACAGGATGGTCTCGATCTCTTGACCTCATCATCCGCCCAACTTGGCCTCCCAAAGTGCTGGGGTTACAGGCGTGGGCCACTGTGCCTGGCCTTATTTCTCATGAGCACATAACTGGGAGTGAAATTGCTGGGTCATCAGTTAGATGTATGTTTAATTTTAATAAGCTCCTTTTCTGCTAAATTTATGCAGAGTAGTAGTATTTCTGTGGCTTGTAATGAAGAGCTCTCATGCTACAAGCATTGCTGTTATTGTTGTTAATTATCCACTTTTACCGAGCACCATAAAATGTCAGGTATTCTGCTAAGTGTAGGGGATTCAGAGGTGAAAGGGACTTGGTTTTGTCTATGAGGCTATCAGTATCTAGGAAAGAGAGACAACACATCTGCATGTAGACACGTTAGGAAATACAAAGGGATATTTGCTGGGAGTCTGGCAAATGGAGACAGGATGCTCTCAATGTCAGAGGAGGGCATGTTCTCTGAGACCTGGTGCATCTGTGTAAGGCTTGCCAAAGACCTGGGGCTGGAGACGCAGCTTCCAGAATGACTTGGAGAATTTTTATTAAGTGGATGTTAAGTGGATTATTGAACATCAACTCCATGGAATACATGTTCATTAAAATTATAATTAGAAAAACTGTATAATAACTTGGAAAAAATAATGGTAGACTATTAAGTGAAAATGACAGAAAGAACCTATCTCTGTTATGGTTATGACTATGTAAATGATACTTATAAATGTGCGAAGGAAAGAAAGCTGGAAAATGAAAACAAATGATGTGTTTTCGTGGTGCAATTCTGGGTGAAGTTTTGTTTTAATTTTTAATTTTGTTTGAGGGTTTTTTTTTTTTTGGAACAATAACTTTTTTTTTTTTTTTTTGAGACAGAGTCTCCCTCTGTCCCCCAAGCTGGAATGCGGTGGCGCGATATTGGCTCACTGCAACCTCCACCTCCAGGGTTCAAGCTATTCTCTTGCCTCAGCCTCCCTAGTAGCTGGGATTCCAGGGGCCCGCCTCCACGCTCGACTAATTTTTTTGTATTTAGTAGAGACGGGGTTTCACCGTGTTAGCCAGGATGGTCTCCATCTCCTGACCTCAGTGATCTGCCGGCCTCAGCCTCCCGAAGTGCTGGGATTACAGGCGTGAGCCACCGCGCCTGGCCGACATTTTTAAAGCAATAAGAGTTGGGAAGGAGATGAGTATTCCTGGCCAGAAAAACAACCTTGTCACAGACTTAAGAATGTGAAAGTCGTTTGTTTGTGTGCTGGTATTTCTTTTTTTCTTTTTTTTTTTTTTTTCCTGAGACGGAGTCTCGCTTTGTCACCCAGGCTGGAGTGCAGTGGCGCGATCTCGGCTCACTGCAAGCTCCGCCTCCCGGGTTCACGCCATTCTCCTGCCTCAGCCTCCCGAGTAGCTTGGACTGCAGGCGCCCGCCACCACGCCCAGCTAATTTTTTTGTATTTTTGGTAGAGACCTGGTTTCACCGTGTTAGCCAGGATGGTCTCGATCTCCTGGCATCATGATCCGCCCGCCTCGGCCTCCCAAAGTGCTGGGATTACAGACGTGAGCCACCGAGCCAGGCCTGTGTGCTGGAATTTCTACACTTAAGTCTGTTGAACAGCTGTGCTCAGACAGTACTACTAAACCAGAAGCCAGAACCGCTTTGACCCTGCCACACAGGCATAACATAGGCAAGCAGCCTACCCATTAACTTAGAGGAAGAAATCCTAGCGGCTTACCATGTCCTTTAGACCTGAGGGACGCAGGAAGAGGAGAGAGACCTTTGGACTCATGGGTGGGAGGTGTTTGGTAGGTGGAAGAAGGCTTGATGAGAGGGTATTTAGGGCTGAAGGAAAAGCAACCAGAGGTGATGACACTCGCTCTGCTGGTTTTAGCAGCTACAGTCACACCTTTTGCCGATCAACGCCTACCCAGTACTGCTTTTTCCGGAAACACTGAGATATGGAAAGTTGCTGTAGGGATCAAAGGAAAAATCTCCCGTTTGCCTTCCGAATATTTGCTGAAAATCAAATGAAAAAGGCAAATTGATAGGAGAAAAGGCATACATATTTATTAACATGCATGGGAGGATATCAGAGTGATCTTCCCACCACACAGTAGGGTATGGGTGCTAAGATACCCTTCTTCTTAGGCGATAGGGAGGTGTGGAAGTATAAACAATTTTGGGGGGTAGTAATGATTTTTTGGGGAATTCAATGGCCTTGAAGAACATACAAAGGGCCTAGGACAAAGTCTGTACAGTCCGCAGACCAGATAATGGTTTGTAACAAAAGTCTGTCCAGGTATGTTGACAGATTTCAGTCTTTTTTCCTGCGATATCAGTTCAGTGAATGAAACTCAGGGAAAGAACCAGAGGTCATTGTTTTCTTTTTTGGCAGGTTTGGACTTCAGGCAGATAAAGGAACTTCAGAGAACAACTTCATCCTATGCTTGGAGAGAGACAGAGATGGGAGGGGAGGAGGAGAGGTCAGAGAGAATTAGAGGCTGCTTCAGTTCTGCATGTTCACAGCACCATATTTTGGGGTATCCACTTCTGAGCCCCAACATTGCTTATCCAGCAGCCTACCAAGTTGTTTTCAGTTTTACTTTAATTGACCCAAAGCTGGCTAATGCAGATATGGAAATGGTCCCTCCCCTAGCATCCCTCGGTGCAGTCAATGAGGCTTAGCGAGAGTACCCAGCATACAAGCAGCTCAGACAGGGGCACCCTCCGTGACCCAGATCAAAGAGATAAGCAACTTGTTTCCGAATGAATTATTGGCTAGAGCAGGTTGGGAGGCGCTCTCATTTTTCTTACAGAGAGCAACCTTGGAAAGGTCTCTCGAGGGGTAGGAGGCTAAGGAAATTCAAGAGATCTCAAGCACTTGAGCTGCGTTTAGTTTTCCTGGCTCACATATCTGATCAAGCCTTGGAATAGTTATCAGGGGCTTTCTCGATTCTTTGCTTCTGTCTCCAGGCCTCCCAACCTGTGGTTAAAAATGAGGTTGCGTCAGTGTGAATTGGATACTCAATGCTGCTGACTCCTGGTCTCTCTACTTGCTCCTTGTAACCTTCCCAAAGCCCCACTGGAAGTGCTCAGGTCCTCAGAGTGTTCACAGATAGCCCTCCTAAGTCCTTCTTCCCTGAGCTTCTTGTCGATGTCTGTGGCAATGTGGCAGCTTGAATGAAGTGCTACCCCACCACTGCTAAGGCTGCCGTGGATTTCCACACAGAATGCTGCTGCTGCTCCCAGCACGCTATCTCCCAGTTCAGCCAGGACTGCAGCGCCCTCAAGACAGTACAGCCAGGTTGTGTCACTGATCCCCGTGGCATTGATCTCAGCATGTGAGCTGGGCTGTCTCCTGTGGTTTTTGCCCAGCAATGGGGAGCATGCCTCCCACCAGCAACTCTCAGCTTTCCTTTTTGTCACTGGAGCCTCAAAGTCTATGCCCCGAATGACAGAAAAATGGTTACTTTGTTTTTTACATCCAGCTTTTCTCTTTTCAGGCAGGGCTAGGGAACAGACACCTGGACTGGTCCGTGGCATGCCTTCTGTCACATCCTTCCTTCCAGGAAGGTTCTTCTGCCTCCTAGACCCTTTCCATATACTTGACTCTATGCAAGGCTCAGCATAATTCCCTTCGATAGGCCCTCAAGTTTTCTGGAGACCTTCCCCAGATGTAGGTGCTGAATAAGAAGATGTGAGATACTATATCATACTCACCATCAAACCCATCCGTTAACTCTCTTCTCTTCTTGGTGCTTCACTGGGTACCACAGAGCATGGCATCCCTGACATGTGCTCTGACCTCACTTAGCATCAACTTCCAGCTCCTATTTGTCTAACACCAATAGCACTCTGAGTTTCCTTCCTGAGCCCCCAGTGGAGTATGAATGAACTCAGTTTATATTAGACTGGCGTGGTGGCCAGTGCCTGTAGTCCCAGCTACTCAGGAGGCTGAGGCAGGAGAATGGTGTGAACCCGGGAGGCAAAACTTGCAGTGAGCTGAGAACGCGCCACTGCACACCAGCCTGGGCGACAGAGCTAGACTCCGTCTCAAAAAAAAAAAAAAGACATGCTTACTGCAGGCTATCAGAAACGGTTTTATTTATTCAGTGTTGAGCAATCTTAAAGTCTACTTCTGCAGCTTGCAACTCACAGTTTCCAAGGGGGATCAAAACAAACAAGAAGGCAGAGATCCAAAGACTAAAGCCAGTCTCAAGCCATCATAGAACATCAGGGGCAACCTGAAAGGGGGAATTGGCCATGGAAGGGCAGCCTGGTCGGTGTGTGGAGAGAGGGGAAGGCCGGCAATACTGGCTGCAGAGTATGGACTAAAGGCCTGTGAAACAGCAGCCTCTTCCCCATTGCCCGAGCTGCTGAATTACCAACAAGAGTGAGTGAGCAACCCTTCAAAGGATGCTCACTCAGGCCCCGCCACACTTTTCCCTGAATCACTGGACCCACCATCATTTGCTGTCAGAGTTAATTCCTCCAAGACAAGGATTCCTTGATATAATGTTATTGAACAAAACAAGCTTGGATTGCCTTCTGGCTTTACAACTCACCTCCTGAATGTCTTTGGTGTTAAGTAACCTCTCTGTACCTGTGTTTCTTAAGCTGTAAAATGGGAATAATAATATCACTATTGCAGGGTTGTCATGAGAAATCAATATGATGAAGCATGTCAAGTGCCCGGCACAGAGCCTAACACAGGTAGGGGCTCCACAAACTTGGTTTCTTTCTCCTAGGTGGATATTACTGAGAGCATCTCTAAGGTAGCCCTTTTCCTACAAAGTATCACACTGCAGAAAGCAGAGTGTGGATTTGTGTGTGTGTGTTTTGCTTTTGTTTTTCTTTTTTTTTTTTTTTTTACAAGACTTATGGTCCTTGAAGCCACCACAACATTTAGACCAGAATCAAGAATTGCAGGAAACACTTTATGAAATCATTTTATCCTCTGAGGCTCCCATGATGAGACTCACAATGACTTGGACGTAGAAATTCAGGGTATTTGTTTGTGCTTCAAGTCTACTGAGGGAGCCTTTTGAAAACTGCCACATACCCTGGACACTAAGTGGAGAAGAGACTGGCACTTGCCCGTCTTTTCCCTGCCTGGGGAAGGATTCTGCTCCTTAGCTACAGAAAAACGCCAATGGGAAATAAATCAAAGAAGCTTTATTTTTTATTTTATTTTACTTTAAGTTCTGGGATACATGTGCAGAACATGCAGGTTTGTTACATAGGTATACATGTGCCATGGTGGTTTGCTGCACCTATCAAATTATCATGTAGTTTTTAAGCCCCGCATGGATTAGGTATTTGTCTTAATGCTCTCCCTACCCTTGCCCTCACCCCCTGACAGGTCCCGATGTGTGATGTTCCCCTCCCTGTGTCCATGTGTTCTCATTGTTCAACTCCCACTTATGAGTGAGAACATGCAGTGTTTGGTTTTCTGTTCCTGTGTTAATTTGCTGAGAATGATGGTTTCCAGCTTCATTCATGTCTCTGACAAAGACATGAACTCATTCTTTTCCATGGCTGCATAGTATTCCATGGTATATATGTGCCACATTTTCTTTGTCCAGTCTATTATTGATGGGCATTTGGGTTGGTTCCAAGTCTTTGCTATTGTAAATAGTGCTTCAATAAACACAGTGCACAGTTCAATAAACTGTGCATATGTCTTTATAGTAGAATGATTTATAATCCTCTGGGTACATACCCAGTAATGGGATTGCTGGGTCAAATGGTATTTCTGGTTCTAGATCCTTGAGGAATTGCCACACTGTCTTCCACAATTGTTGAACTAATTTACACTCCCATCAACAGTGTAAAAGCTTTCATATTTCTCCACAGCTTTGCCGGCATTTGTTGTTTCCTGACTTCTTAATAATTGCCATTCTAACTGGTGTGAGATGGTATCTCATTGTGGTTTTGATTTGCATTTCTCTAATGACCAGTGATGATGAGCTTTTTTTCATATGTTTCTTGGCCACCTAAATGTCTTCTTTTGAAAAATGTCTGTTCATATCCTTCACCCACTTTTTGATGGGGTTGTTTGTTTTTTTATTATAAACTTGTTTAAGTTCCTTGTAGATTCTGGATATTAGACCTTTGTCCGATAGGTAGATTAAAAAATTTTTCTCCTATTCTGTAGGTTGCCTGTTCACTCTGATGATAGCCTCTTTTGCTGTGCAGAAGCTCTTTAGTTTAATTAGATCCCATTTGTCAATCTTGGCTTTTGTTGCAGTTGCTTTTGGTGTTTTAGTCATGAAGTCTTTGCCCATGCCTATGTCCTGAATGGTATTGCCTAGGTTTTCTTCTAGGGTTTTTATGGTTTTGGGTTTTACATGTAAGTCTTTAGTCCATCTTAAGTTAATTTTTGTATAAGGTGTAAGGAAGGGATCAAGTTTCTGTTTTCTGCATATGGCTAGCCAGTTTTCCCAGCACCATTTATTAAATAGGGGATCCTTTCCCCATTGCTGATTTTTGTCAGGTTTGTCGAAGATCAGATGGTTGTAGACGTGTGGTGTTATTTCTGAGGTCTTTGTTCTGTTCCATTGGTCTATATATCTGTTTTGGTACCAGTACCATGCTGTTTTGGTTACTGTAGCCTTGTAGTATAGTTTGAAATCAGGTAGCATGATGCCTCCAGCTTTGTTCTTTTTGCTTAGGATTGTCTTGGCTATATGGGTTCTTTTTATATGGGTTTCATATGAAATTTAAAGTAGTTTTTCCCAATTCTGAGAAGAAAGTCAATGGTAGCTTAATGGGAACAGCATTGAATCTACACATTACTTTGGGCAGTATGGCCATTTTCACAATATTCATTCTTCCTATCCATGAGCATGGAATTATTTCCATTTGTTTGTGTCCTCTCTTATTTCCTTGAGCAGTGGTTTGTACTTCTCCTTGTCCTTCATGTCCCTTGTAAGTTGTATTCCTAGGTATTTTATTCTCTTTGTAGCAATTGTGAATGGGGGTTCACTCATGATTTGGTTCTCTGCTTGGCTGTTGTTGGTGCATAGGAATGCTTGTGATTTTTGCACATTGATTTTGTATCCTGAGACTTTGCTCAAGTTGCTTATCAGCTTAAGGTGTTTTTGGGCTGAGACAATGGCATTTTCTAAATATACAATCATGTCATCTGCAAACAGAGACAATTTGACTTCCTCTCTTCCTATTTGAATACCTTTATTTCTTTTGTTGCCTTATTGTCCTGGCCGGAACTTCCAATACAAGTTGAATAGGAGTGGTGACAGAGGGCATCATTGTCTTGTGCCAGTTTTCAAAGGGAATGCTTCCAGCTTTTGCCCATTCAGTATGATATTGGCTATTGGTTTGTCATAAAAAGCTCTCATTATTTTGAGATATATTCCATCAATACCTAGTTTATTGATAGTTTTTAGCATGAAGGAATGGCGAATTTTATTGAAGGCATTTTCTGCATCTATTGAGATAATCAGGCAGTTTTTGTCATTGATTCTGTTTATGTGATGGATTATGTTTATTGATTTGCATATGTTGAACCAGCCTTGCATCCCAGGGATGAAACCAACTTGATCATGGTGGATAAGCTTTTTGATGTGCTGCTGAATTCAGTTTGCCAGTATTTTACTGAGGATTTTTGCATCACTATTAATCAGGGATATTGGCCTGATATATATATATATATATATATATATATATATATATATATATATATATATATATATATATTTTTTTTTTTTAGTTGTGTGGTTTTAAGTGAGTTTCTTAATCCTGAGTTCTAATTTGATTGCACTGTTGTCTGAGAGACTGTTATGATTTCTGTTCTTTTGCATTTGCTGAGGAGTGTTTTACTTCCAATTATGTGGCTGATTTTAGAATAAGTGCTATGTGGTGCTGAGAAGAATGTATATTTTGTTGATTTGGGGTGGAGAGTTCTGTAGATGGCCATTAGGTCCACTCGGTCCAGAGCTGAATTCAAGTCCTGAATATCCTTGTTAATTTTCTGTCTCATTGATCTATCTAACATTGACAGTAGGGTGTTAAAGTCTCCCACTATCATTGTGTGGGAGTCTAAGTCTCTTTGTAGGTCTCTAAGAACTTGTTTTATGAATCTAGGTGCTCCTGTATTGGGTGCATATATATTTAGGATAGTTAGCTCTTCTTGGTGCATTGATCCCTTTACCATTATGTAGTGCTCTTCTTTTTATTTTTTGATCCTTGTTGGTTTAAAGTCTGTTTTATCAGAGACTAGGATTGCAGCCCTTGCTTTTTTTGCTTTCCATTTGCTTGGTAAATATTCCCCATCCCTTTATTTTGAGCCTATGTGTGTCTTTGCACGTGAGATGGGTCTCCTGAAAACAGCACACCAATGGGTCTTGACTCTTTATCCAATTTGCCAGTCTGTGTCTTTTAATTGGGGCATTTAGCCCATTTACATTTAAGGTTAATATTATCATGTGTGAATATGATCCTGTCATCATGATGCTAGGTACTTATTTTACACATTAGTTGATGCAGTTTCTTCATAGTGTCATTGGTCTTTATATTTTGGTGTGTTTTTGCAGTGGCTGGTACTGGTTTTACCTTTCCATATTTAGTGCTTCCTTCAGGACCTCTTGTAAGGCAGACCTGGTGGTGAGAAAATCCCTCAGCATTTGCTTGTCTGGAAAGGATTTTATTTCTCCTTTGCTTATGAAGCTTATGAACTTTGGCTGGAAATGAAATTCAGGGTTGAAAATTCTTTTCTTTAAGAATGTTGAATATTGACCCCCACTCTCTTATGGCTTGTAGGGTTTCTGCAGAGACACCCACTGTTAGTCTGATGGGCTTCCCTTTGTAGGTAACCTGACCTTTCTCTCTGGCTGCCCTTAACATTTTTTCCTTCATTTCAACCTTGGAGAACCTGATGATTATGTGTCTTGAGGTTGCTCTTCTCAAGGAGTATCTTTGTGGTGTTCTCTGTATTTCCTGAATTTGAATGTTGGCCTTTCTTTCTAGGTTGGGAAAGTTCTCCAGGGTAATATCCTGAAGTATGTTTTCCAACTTGGTTCCATACTCCCCGTCACTTTCATGTACACCAATCAATCATAGGTTTGGTCTTTTCACATAGTCCCATAGCTCTTGGAGGCTTTGTTTATTCCTTCTCATTCTTTTTTTCTCTAATTTTGTCTTCATGCCTTATTTCAGTAAGTTGATGTTTAATCTCTGATATCCTTTCTTCTGCTTGATCAATCCAGCTATTGATACTAATGTATGCTTCATGAAGTTCTCATGCTGTGTTTTTTAAGCTTCATCAGGTCATTTATGTTCCTCTCTATGCTGATTATTCTAGTTAGCAGTTTCTGTAACCTTTTATCAAGGTTCTTAGCTTCCTTGCATTGGGTTAGAACATGCTCTTTTAGCTCAGGGGAGTTTGTTATTACTCACCTTCTGAAGCCTACTTCTGTCAATTCAATCTCAATCGCTGTCCAGTTTTGTGCCCTTGCTAGAGATGAGTTGCAGTCATTTGGAGAAGAAGAGGTATTTTGGTATTTGGAATTTTCAGCATTTTTGTGCTGGTTTTTCCTCATCTTCGTGGATTTATCTACCTATGATCTTTGAGGCTGATGACCTTTGGATGGGGTTTTTTGGGGGGTTCCTTTACGTTGATATTGATGTTGTTGCTTTCTCTTTGTTAGTTTTTCTTCTAACTGTCTGGCCCCCTTTCTGCAAGTCTGCTGCAGTTTGCTGGAAGTCCACTCCAGACCCTATTCACCTGGGTATCACCAGGGGAAGCTATAGAACAGCAAAGATTGCTGCCTGCTCCTTCCTCTGGAAGCATCATCCCAGAGGGGCACCAGCCTGATGCCAGGCAGAACTCTCCTGTATGAGGTGCCTGTTGACCCCTGTTGGGAGGTCTCTCCCAGTCAGGAGGCACGGGGATCAGGGACTTACTTGAGGAGGCAGTCTGTCCCTTAGCAGAGCTGGTGTGCTGTGCTGGGAGAACCCCTCTTGTCAGGATCAGCTGCTCTCTTCAGAGCCAGCAGGCAGGAACAATTAAAAGCACTGAAGCTGCACCCACAGCCTCCCCTTCCTCCACTTGCTCTGTCCCAGGGAGATGGGCATTTTGTCTGTAAGGCCCTGACTGGGGCTGTTACCTTTTCTTCAGAGATGCCCTGCCCAGTAAGGAGGAATCGAGAGAAGAAGTCTGGCCATAGCCACTTTGCTGTGCTGTGGTGAATTTGCCCAGTCCACACCTCCCAGCCTCCTTAGCACTGTCAGGGGAAAACCGCCTACTAAAACCTCAGTAATGGCAAATGCCCCTCACCTCACCAAGCTCGATGGTCCCAGGATGACTTTAGACTGCTTTGCTGGCAGCAAGAATTTCAAGCCAGTGGTTCTTAGCTTGCTAGGCTCTGTTGGAATTGCAGAAATCACCTGCCTTCTGCATTGGTCTCACTGAGAGCTGCAGACTGGAGCTGTTTCTATTTGGCCATCTTTGCTTGAATTTTTTTGAAGCTCTTTTCCAGAACCATGAAAAATGTTTTCTATTTCTATTGTTGTTGTTTAAATAAACTTCATTTTTAAAGCAGTTTTAGGTTAAAGCAAAATTGGCAAGAACACATAGAGAGTTCTACTATACCCCTGTCCCCCACCACCCTGACAGTCTCCTCCATTATCACAGTGGTTCATTTGTTACAATCAATGAACCTACATTAATACATCACTATCATCCAAACTCCAGAGTTTACATTAGGGTTTACCATTGGTTTTGTACATTCTATGGGTTTTGATAAATGTACAATAGCAGGTACCCACCATTACAGTATCATACAAAATAGTTTCACTGCCCTAAAAATTCTCTGTTTTCCTCCTATTCATCTCTCCCTCCCTTTTAACCTCTGGTAACTGGTGAACTTTTTACCCTCTCCATAGTTTTGTCTTTTCCAGAATGTCGTATCATTGGAATCACGCAGTATGTAGCCTTTTCAGATTGGTTTCTTTCACTTATTAATATGCATGTTGGTAATATGAATTTCACTCAATGATATCCATGTCTTTTCATGGCTTGATAGATCATTTCTTTTTAGCACTGCATAATATTTCATTGTCAGGATTTGCCACAGTTTATCTATCCAGTCACCTACTGAAGGACATCTTGGTTGGTTCCAGGTTTCGGCGATTAAGAATAATGCCACCATAAACATCAGTGGATTGCTGGGTTTTGATAGAGCACACTGTCAGACAGAGAGAGCTTGGACTAGGAATCAGACCCTGGCACTGCTAGTAACTGGCTGTGCAAACTTGGGCAACCTTCAACTCTCCTGGCCTTTGGTTTCCTCAACCTGTGTTTCAAATGCCTTTGGTGCCTGCTGCCTACTGTGGCTGTGTTCTGGAATGATGAAGCTTTCCTTCATCTTCTTATCTTCTTCTGAGCCCTCCAAACTCTTCAAAACCTCTGTTGTTAGCCAGTTCCAAAGTCACTTTCATGTTTTCAGGTATCTTTATATCAATGCCTCACTCCCGGTACCAATTTTCTATATTAGGCCATTCTTGCATTGCTATAAAGAAATACCTGATACTAGATAATCTACAAGAAAAGAGGTTTAATTGGCTCACAGTTCTGCAGGCTTTACAGAAAGCATGGTGCTGGCATCTGCTCGCCTTCTAGGGAGGCTTCAGGAAGCTTACAATCATGGTAGAAAAAAAAGGGGGAGCTGACATGTCATGTGGCAAAAGCAGGAGCAAGTGAGAGTTGGAGGGGGAGTTGACACACACTTTTAAATGACTGGCTCTTGCAAGAACTCACTACCATAAAGGCAGCACCAAGCTATTGATATGGCTCCAATGAGTGGAGGAACACCAGGGTTCTTGGTCTTTGCGCCAGTTTGTATAATATGATGCAGAAACATGTGGAGTAGTTTTAAGGAGTGAAAAGTTTAATAGGCAAAAGAGAAGGAAGGAAGAAGAAAACAGCTTCCCCATACAGAGACAGAGGGAGGGGGGATCCAAAGCCCAGGGAGGAAACCCTGAGTGCTAAGGAAACATTGCTGCTTATATGAGGAGGCTGGAGGAGGCAGTGTCTGATTTGCATAGGGCTCAGGGGATTGTTTTGACCAGGCATGTCATTCACATAGCCCTTGAAAAAACTGGTCCTCCCACCTTAGCTTTTTAATATGCAAATACAGGGCACCATGATGTTCTATACATGCCCTCCCACCCTAGCCCTTTAATATGCAAATGCAGGGCACCATGATGTTCTACACATGTGGGAATATGTGGGGATGGCCATGTTGCCAGGAACATGTGGGGCAAGGGCAAGAAGAAGGTGGAGAGAATTGCCATGTTTGGGTGGACCCAGTCTAATGTTTGGCATTTGCATATCAAAATTTGCTGGCCTGGCTCTAGAGCCAGGGCTTTCTTGCTAGACAAGAAACATTTCTGGAGCTGCTTTAAAAGAAACAAAAACTTCCCAAGGACCTCTTTTCCTCTCTCTCTGCCTAAAATAATTTCTTAATAACTCCTATAACATTATGACGCATCCAACCACATGATCCACACATCTCCCACCAGGCCCGCCTCCAGCACTGGAGATTACAATTCAACATGAGATTTGGACGGGGACAATAAACAATCTCTCTGTGTGTGTACATGTGGTTATGCGTGTGTGTGTTATATACATAAAAGCAGGAAGTATATATGTATATAACACACACAAACACACACAGTATTAAAACATGTATACCTACGTGCTATATTTCAGTTTTAGCCATTTCTTAAACTTTATATAATGAATTATACCATATGTGTTTTATTGTTTCTGACTTCTTTCAATGATGTGTTTTCACATAGCTTTATATGTGTTTTCATTGTGATATTCATGTTGATAAGCTTTATTTTCATTGCTATATAATATATCAATATATGAATATACCACAATTTATTTATCTGTTTGTACTGTTGATGCGTGTTTGGGTTGTTTCCAGTTTGGGGCTTTACAAACAGTATTGCTATAAACACTCTTGAACATGATTCCTGATGCACAGGTGCATGCACTTTTGATAGGTGTATAATTAGAAATGGAATTACTGCATTATAGGGAATGCAGATCTTCAATTTTAGTAGGCAATGTCAGTTTTCCAAAGTGATCACATTAATTTATATTCTCACCAGGAATATATGAAGTATATGAATTTATTTTCATATATTTTCATATGAAAATATATGAAATGTATGAAACTTTTGGTTGCTGCATATCCTTACCTATGTGGTAAAATCAGCCTTTTACATTTTAGCCATAGTTCTTATGCATATGCAGTGACTTTACATTCTGTTTTTAATTCACATTTCTATGATTTCTAATGAGGCTGAACACTTTTTCATGTTTATTGGTCATTAGGATATCTTCTTTTGTTTAAGTTCCTCTTCAAGCCTCTTGCCCATTGTTCTTTAGACCACCTGCATTTTCTGATTGACTTATACAAGTTCTTTATATTCTAGACACAAGTCTTTCAATGGCTTTATATGTAGCAAGTATGTTCTTCTAGTCTTTGAGTTGCCTTTTCATGTTCTTAATGGTACTTTTCGATGAGCAGAAGTTTTTAATTTTCGAATATAGAGTTAACATTTTCCTTTACACTTAGCATTTGTATGCATGTGTGTCTGTGTGGGTGTGTGTGAAAGAGAGAAAGAAAGAGAGAGAGAGGTTTAAAAGTCAACTGGGAGTGGTGGCTTATCCCTGTAATTCCAACACTTTGGGAGGCCTAGACAAGCTGATCACTTGAGCCCAGGTGTTCAAGACCAGACTGGTCAACATGGCAGAACCCCTTCTCCACAAAAAAATACAAAAATTAGCTGGGCAAGATGGCGTGCACCTGTAGTCTCAGCTACTTGGGAGGGTGGGCAGGAGGATCACTTGAGCCCAGGAGGCAGAGGTTGCAGTGAGCCGAGACTGTGCCACTACACTTCAGCCTGGGTGATTACAGCACAACTCCATAATAAAAAATAAAAAATAAAAAAAATAGTTATTGAGAGGTATGTTAAAATCTTCCACCATGATCATGGATTTTTATCTATTTATCCTTTGGTTCTGTTAATTTATCTGTATATATTTTGAGACAATATAGTTAAGTGCATACAAACTTACAATTGTTATATTTACTGGTGAATTGAACCTTTTGGTCATTGTAAAGTATTCCTCTTTATCTTTGACTTAAAGCCTATTTTTTTCTCTTATTAATATAGTTACAATACTGTCTTAGTCCATGTATATTGCTGTAAAGGAATATCTGATGCTGGCAATTTATAAAGAACAGAGGTTTATTTGGCTCACAGTTCTACAGGCTGTACAAAGAGCATGGCACCAGCACCTGCTTCTGGTGAGGGACTCCGGCTCCTTCCACTCATGGTGGAAGGAGAAAGGGAGTCAGCATGCGGAAGTCACATGGCAAGCCAGCGGGGAGGTGCCAGGCACTTTCAAAAAATCAGTTCCTGGCCCAGAGCAGTGGCTTACACCTGTAGTCCCAGCACTTTGGGAGGCTGAGACAGGTGGATCATGAGGTCAGGAGTTTGAGACCAGCCTGACCAACAAGGTGAAACCCCGTCTCTACTAAAAATACAAAAATTAGCCAGGCATGGTGGCGCACACCTGTAATCCTAGCTACTGAGGAAGCTGAGGCAGGAGAATCACTTCAACATGAGAGGTGGAGGTTGCAGTGAGCCGAGATCGCACCCCTGCACTCCAGCCTGGCTGACAGAGCGAGACTCTGTCTCAAAAAAAAAAACAAAAAAAACAAAAAAACAGGTCCCGTGGGAACTAAATAGAGACAGAGCTCACTCATTATTGCAAGAAGAGCACCAAACCATTCATGGATTTGACCTGATGACACAAACACATCCCTTTACACTCCACCCCCAACACTGGGGACCAAATTTCAACACGAGGTTTGGAGGTTTGGAGGGGACAAATATCCAAACTATATCTACTACCTTTTTCAAATATTGGATTTTGCATAACATTTTTTTCCATCCTTTTATATTAATCCTTTTTGCATCCTTGTATTTAAAATACATCTCTTATACGAAGAATATCGTTTGACTATTTTAACCCAGTCTGACAACTCCTGTATTTTCACTGGTGTAATTAGCTTATTGTTTTTTATTATAACTACTAATATATTTTTTGTTTAAATATTTATACCATGTTTCTATTTGTTTTCAATTTTTCCCATCTTTATTGCATTTATTTTCTTCCCTTTCTGCTTTTGGATCTTATTACTGTGTTTTCACATACACAAGTTTTGATTATTCTTTTAGCATTTACCTAACTTTCACTTTTGAATTTTTAAAGCCTAATATTGATTAGTTTTTTGTATCTGTTCCAAGAAAATATAAGCAACTTGAACTCTGTAACTCAATTTCACCCTTTTCATCTTATAAACAATTTTCGTATATTTACATTACATAGATTTTATATATATATATATATAATCTAGATTACTATTATCCTGTTGTTATACAGTTGACTCTTGAATAATATGGGTTTGAACCGCAAGGGTCCACCTATACATGGACTTTTTTTCCCACTTCTGTCACTCCTGAGACAGCAAGGTCAACTCCTCTTCCTCCTCCTCTTCAGCTTACTCAACATGAAAATGTTAAGGATGAAGACTTTTATCATGATCCACTTCCTTTTAATTAATAGTAAATATATTTTATCTTCCTTATGATTTTTATTTGGTACTAATTTTTTAAGAGGTGAGGTCTCATTATGGCTATGATATTTTGCCTTATGATTTTCATTTTTTATTTTTTTTCTTTTTTGAGATGGAGTCTTGCTCTGTCACCCAGCCTGGAGTGCAGTGGTGCAATCTCGGCTCACTGCAAGCTCTGCCTCCCGGGTTCACACCATTCCCCTGCCTCAGCCTCCCCAGTAGCTGGGACTACAGGCACCCACCACCACGCCCAGCTAATTTTTTGTATTTTTAGTAGAGATGGGGTTTCACTGTGTTAGCCAGGATGGTCTTGATCTCCTGATCTCGTGATCCACCCATCTCGGCCTCCCAAAGTGCTGGGATTACAGGCGTGAGCCACCGCATATGGCCATGGTATTATTTTTTTAAGAGGTGAGGTCTCATTGTGACTACTCACAGGCATGATCCCACTCTAATCAGCATGGGAGTTTTAACCTGCTCTGTTTCCAACTTGGGCCAGCTTGCCCCTCCTTAGACAACCTAGTGGTCCTCTTCTCCCAGGAGGTCACCATATTAATGCCAAACTTAGTGTGGACACCCAGTTGGCAAAGTGCACAGCAGTCCAGAATGCCTGGACTCCAGTGATTCTTCTATCTCAGCTTCCCAATTAGCTGGGAATACTGGCGCATCCCACCATACCTGGCTTCCTCATGATTTTCTTAATAACGTTTTCTTTTCTCTAGCTTACCTTATTATAGGAAGGCAGTATACCATACATATAAGATGCAAAATATGTGTTAATCAACTATTTATGTTATTGGTAAGGCTTCCAGCCAAAAGAGGGCTGTTAGTAGTTAAGTTTGGAGGGAGTCAAAAGTTATACATACATTTTCCATTGTGTGGAGGGTTGGAGCCCCTAACCCCTGCAGTGTTCAAGAGTCAACTGTACATGTAATATTCACTTGCCCATAGATTTTAATTGTTTTTTATATTCTTGAGTTCTTGATGCATTTCTGAACTTTTATTTGTATTCATTCTCCTAAAGAACATCATTTTGTATTTCCTTTAGTGTAATTCCTCTGTTAATAAAATTATTTACCATTGTCTGAAAATATTTTTAATTCTTTATTCTGGAAAGCTATTTTTTCTGTACAGGATTCTAGGTTGGCTATCATTTGTTTTCTTTCATCTTGAATTTATCATCTATTATTTTCTAGTTTCTATTATTCGTCTTGAGAAGTCAGCTGTCAGCAAATTAGTGCTCCATTAGATGTAATTGCGGAATTTCTTAATGCTGTTCACCAACTATTTCTAGTTCCATGGTTTAGTCACACTTTTTACATACCTGAAGTTGGATGTGGACATGTGATTAATTCTGGCCTGTGAGTTGTGGATAGGAGTGAGGTGTGCCACTTTCAACTGAAGCATTTAATTGCTGATGCAAGGATCCCCCAAAACTCTCCTGTGGTTCTGGCATGGGGACCAGCAATGTTATTGCTGATGGCTGCCCCCGTTATGTCAGTTCTGGTCCTCCAGGAAGTAGAGGCTTTGACAGAGATGTGCAAGAGTTGTATGTATGGGTGTGTTAACAACTGTGCAAGATAAAGAAGGAAGAAACAGAACTGGGTAAAGAGGAGAAAATCAGAATCAGATGAGGCAGTCTCAGATATCATGCGAATGAGACAAAGCCTTGGCAAACCCAATGAGGACCTCTAGGACAAAATTGTTTGTTAGAAGAGTATCGGCTGGGGCATGGTGGCTCACGCCTGTAATCTCAGCACTTTGGGAGGCTAAGGCAGGCGGATCACAAGGTCAAGAGATCGAGACCATCCTGGTCAATATAGTGAAACCCTATCTCTACTAAAAATACAAAAAAAGTTAGCCGTGTGTGGTGGTGTGCGCCTGTAGTCCCAGCTACTCTGGAGGCTGAGGCAGAAGAATTGCTTGAACCTCGGAGGCAGAGGCTGCAGTGAGCCGAGATCGTGCCACTGCACTCCAGCCTGGTGACAGAGCAAGACTCCATCGAAAAAAAAAAAAAAAAAAAAAAGAGTATCATGTTGAGCAGAAGTGGTCATGCCTTTTACCCCCCACTTTGCTCAGTCATTAGCTGAAAGATGCTTGGGAGGCGTGTAGATCAGCTGCTGTAAATCTTGAAGGTGTTGCCGCTAGAGGCTCAGTTAGATGACTCCTTGCAGCTGAATGGCAAGTTCCTCCTTGAAGAGAAATCCGAGTGGTGTACTTTTACGGCTGCCACACACATCAGCCTGGATTTTTGAGTGATTTATGATGAGCAGTGTATCTTTGCATTCCTAAAGATATGCAATGGCTGTGTAATGTGAGCAACAAACTTACCTTTATTTTATTTTATTATTATGTTTTTTTTGGAGACGGTGTTTTGCTCTAGTCACCCAGGCTGGAGTGCAATGGCATGATCTTGGCTCACTGCAACCTTTGCCTCCCGGGTTCAAGCAATTCTCCTGGCCTCAGCCTCCTGAGTAGCAGGGATTACAGCCGCGGGTCACCATGACCAGCTAATTTTTCTATTTTTAGTAAAGACGGGGTTTCACCACGTTGGCCAGGCTGATCTTGAACTCCTGAGGTCAAGTGATTGGCCTGCCTCAGCCTCCCAAAGTGCTGCGATTACAGGTGTGAGTCACCGTACTCGGCCGCCTTTCTTAAAGTTACTGTAACTTTGAGTTGTTTATCTACCTTATTTGCTTTATAAGTACTATTTTTCCCTCTCTAACTTCTTTAAAAGTTCTCTGTCTTTGGTTTCTTACAGTTTTCATTATTATGTACTTAGATCTGAACTTCCTGTTGTTTTTCTTTCATGGACTTCACAGTGCTGTTTGAATCTTTGCCACTTTCTCTCATTAAGCATTGCTTCCTCATGCACCCCTTTCTCTCCTTGGGTGCCTCTCCTCATCAGTTTTATTTGTATATATCTTATCTTCTATTTTGTATTTTCTATCCTTTTGTTCTCCAAGGTTTATTCCGTATATTGTCTTCTGACTATATTTCAACTCACTCATTCTCTTTAGCTGTGCCTAATCTACTGTTAAATCTTGCCACTGAATCCTTAATGCCACTTCTTATTTTCATTCTAGAATTTTTACTTGAATCTCTTTTATTTCATAGTCAATTCTTTGCAAAAAGTCTCAATCTTGTCTTTGGTCATAAACATAATAATCATGTACATTTTAAGGTCTCTGCCTAATAACTTGCTATTTTTTTCATATTTTTTTCTCTTGTGCTGTTTTATTGTGTGGCATATTTGTATTTCAAAAATTCTTTGTAAAAATAATTTACATTTGCATCCTTACAGGGAATAAAGCGGACCTTTGAGTCATCTATATATCTGGTGACCCAGATATACAGTATGGGATCAACAGATATATAGATGACTCAAAGATACACTTTATTCCCTGTAAGGACTTGTCTACTTATAGTTAACTCTGATTTCTAGGATTCTGTCCCTTGACATTGCAGCTTAAGGTGAGAGAGGTCAAAAAAAACCGGCGGGGTGCAGTGGCTCACACCTGTAATCCCAGCACTTTGGGAGGCAGAGTGGGGCAGATCACCAGGTCAGGAGTTTGAGACCAGCCTGGCCAACATGGTGAAACCCTGTCTCTACTAAAAATACAAAAATTAGCCAGGTGTGGTGGCAGGCACCTGTAATCCCAGCTACTCGGGAGGCTGAGTCAGGAGAAACACTTGAAACCAGAAAGCGGAGGTTGTAGTGAGCCAAGATTGTGCCATTGCACTCCAGCCTGGGCGACAAGAGTGAGGCTCTTTTTTAAAAAAAGAAAAAAAAACACTGCTTAGTGGACCCTGAACTCCAATTTTTTGCCACTCTAACCTCTTCCAGCCATCCCCTAAGGAATCAAAAATTACCCAGAAGTAGTAAATGACCACAAATTCTAGGCTCGACTTCCTGGGATCTGTCCTTACCTGAATCATGGCCAGAAACTTTCTACTTCCTTGGTGGCCTTCCTTTGCAAATTAGTTTCTTGGGAGACTGATTTTTGAGATGGAAATTTTGTAATGTAGTTTTTGTTGTCTTGAGATGTCATAAGAACACAATTATACTATAATATGTGTATATGTGTATACATTTTATATGTATATTATATATATGCATATATAACTTCTTATTGTAAAGCTTTAAGTGGGAAACAAAAATTCAGTTGCATACAATGTAGGTTAATGGAAGATGATACTTTAAAATCAATCTATATTGTTACAGTACCCTAGTGTTATATACTGTACAGTACTGATTGTGCACCAAAATGAGAAAGTCTCAAATGTTGACAAGACTTTCACCTCTTACTGTATTCCTTCTCCATTAATTGATACTAACTTAATCTATCCCTGTTTCCAAATGAGGGCTGACCAGAGGATGGGAGCCTAAACATCAGTAGTTTCTTACAGATTCATGTAAGTGTAGAATGCGTTATTTCAGTGTGTGTGTGTGTCTGTGTGTGTGTCTTGAATTAAAATCTAAGGATTATTGTATTTGTAATCATGAGAATACAATCTTCTCTAGCTACTTTAAGCAGAAAGAAATTTATTAAAATATACTTAGTAACTTAGAAAATCTTTGGAAAGGCTGATGAACAGACTTTAGGTTAAGTCTGCAGCAACAATTATGAGTGAGAGCGAAGAAGCAGAACTAAGCCACCTCCAGTGTGTTCTGAAGGCTGTTGCTGTTACCTTTCTCCATTAAATGGATGAGCCACACCCACCTCTTAACTCAGCATTAAGTCAAAGTCTCACTTCGATTGGTGAAAGTTCAATTTAAGGTGCCTGCTATTATTGTGGTTGATTTTATACTATTGACCCTTGAAATTCAACACGTTTTTGTCAGCTGCTTTGGGAGCAATTTAAAGAGCCACCGCAGATTCTTGTACTTGGCCTTAAAATAAACTTGGGCTTCTGAATTACCCTAGGCTTCTTATTGATCTCATACTTTTCTTTTGTTGGCTCCCAGCACGGCCGATATTATTGGTATCTTACACTGTCTCTTCCTGTTATGTCCAACTCTGTTTGAATTGATGACCTCATTTGAAACTGCCTCTTTGGGTCTTCAGGCAGTTTCCAGTGATTTTGCCTAAGTTCCATGCACCAAAGCCCTGGGAAAATTTCCTCCATCACATACGCCCCACACAGGACTTTGAAGTACTCCTCAAAACAGTCCCACAATATCTTTAGCCCTTTGAGGGAGGGGGAGGAACTGTATTGACATTGTAATAAAAGAGAGCCCTCTGGCAAAAGAATGCTCACAAATTAAGTGACTGGCTTCCCCTAGATTTCTGCAACATGGTGGTACTCACACAGTATCCGCTGGTGAGAGAAAGAACCAGAGCTAAGAGGAAGCAAATGGATACAAAGAGGAAAGGGGAAGAATGAAACCTGAGATAATTTACAAAGACCAACATAGTGGCTTTTAGACATCCGAGGCCCCTAACAGAGTTTTCTTGCAAGCAGCAAATTAAAGGGCATTGTGATACGTTTCCCTGTGCCTGCAAACCATGGGTCATCTCAGTGAATATCTGGATGTGGGGGAAGGGATTGGCAGACACTTGTGTTCTTACTGTTGTACTTTGAAGCACCTTCTTTTGATTATTTCCTATTTCATGCGCTATGTTTAGCACTTTTACATTTCCACTTATGCCTATGATCTTTTGAAGATCTAAGTGCAACTCTGTAAAGGTCAAAGAGATCTCATTTAATATTATCTCCAATTTGTAGGTGATTTTTTTTCCATTCGATAATGAAGAAAAAATAAGAAAAACTGTCTTTGATTTCCTAACTTTGACAGCCCCTTTCAAATACATTTTTCACATGTGCACATGTATTTGTATATGTCAGACTCTGCAACTTTGAATGATTCATGTTTATGGAATTCAATATGTGCATTCAGCCATGGTGTGCTTGTGTATACACATATATGTAGATTATGAACTACTATTACAAAGTAAAGGTATTGTTTTTGGTAACAAGAATGCTAAAACGGCATAAGTAGCAAACATCTAGGGCAGCGAATCTCAACTGGGTGTGATACAGCTCCTCAGGGGACTTTTCACGATGTCTGCAGACATATTTGGTTGTCACAACTGGGACTGGAGTGTTACTGGTATGCAGTAAACAGAAACTAGGGATGCTGCCAAACACACCAGACAGCCCGCTACAGCAAAGAGTCCCACCCAGCCGAAGGTTTCAGTAGCCCCAAGGTTGATAAACTCTGTGCCAGAAATAGACAAGTAGGCATATCATTAAATAAATGGTTATCCGGCACCTATAATATACAAGACTCTCTTTTAGCCGTGGTCAGATATAGGCATAATGCAAGCATTTATTAATGTGCTCTCAATTTATTTATAGTATAGGAAGAGGATGTGCAAGGTAACATACCAATAATAAACATTTAGTATACACAGAGTAAGTTAAGCTGAAGATCTACTTGCAGAGGAATGAATATAGGTGAGGCTTAAGGAGCATTGTGGTTATCTGGGTAAGTAGTACTGAGGTATTATCATCCCTAGCCCCTTCAGAAGTAAGGTGGGTGGTAGATGCTGGAATTTGGAAAGGTGAGAGGTGAAGCCGGCTGGGCTTCTGGGTCGGGTGGGGCCTTGGAGAACTTTTCTGTCTAGCTGAAGGATTATAAATGCACCAATCAGCACTCTGTGTCTAGCTAAAGGTTTGTAAATGCACCAATCAGCACTCTGTAAAAACAGACCAATCAGCACTCTGTAAAATGGACCAATCAGCACTCTGTAAAACGGACCAATCAGTACTCTGTAAAATGGACCAATCAGCAGGATGTGGGTGGGGCCAAATAAGGTAATAAAAGCAGGCCACCAGAGACAGCAGTGGCAACGCACTCGGTCCTATTGCAGGTCGTGGGAGGTTTGTTCTTTCATTCTTTGCGATAAATCTTAGTGCTCACTCTGACTGCGCGCTGCGTTTGTGAGCTGTAATCTTCACCTTGAAAATCTGCCGCCTCACTCCTGACGTTAGGAAGACCACAAACCCACTGGGAAAAATAAACAACTCTGGACTCACCGCTTTTATGAGCTGTAACACTCATGCCGAAGGTCTGCAGCTTCACTGCGGAAGCCAGCAAGATCACAAACCCACTGGGAGGAACGAACAACTCCGGACGTGCCACTTTTATGAGCTGTAACACTCACTGCGAGGGTCTGCAGCTTCACTCTAGAAGCCAGTGAGACCACGAACCCGCTGGGAGAAATGATCAGCTCCAGACACGTTTCCTTTAAGAGCTGTAACACTAACTGCAAAGGTGTGGGGCTTTACCCCAGAAGTCAGTGACACCACAACCCCACCAGAAGGAAGAAACTCTGGACGCTTCTGAACACGTGAAGGAACAAACTCCGGACGTGCAATGTTTAAGAACTTTTTCACCGCGAGGGTCCTCGGCTTCATTCTTGAAGTTAGCAGGACCAAGGACCCACGGGAAGGAACCAATTCCAGACACAAAGGGATAGGGTCTTACCGTTTCAGGCACCTTGAAAGGAGTGACATTCAGTTGAAAGACGTATGTAGTCACCATGAGGTGACCTTTCAGGGAAAGCACTGAGGTATTACATATCCCGACCTCTTTTCTTCCCGCTGTGACAGCTCCTCCCAGGCCCATTCCCGCAGACGCTGGAGAGTATGTGGGTCTATTGGTGTTTTGCAGCCGCTCAGCTGAAAAAGGGATGGAGAGAATAAAAAGTGAAGTGGGGCTGGGGGGAGTGGGGGGCAAACCAAAGGTATCTGAACAAAGGAGTTGCTTTCCAAAATAACTTTTTTAAAGCAGAAATTGTTCAGTGCCATAAGGGAGGCCCAAATCAAGGGCTCTCAGCTTTCAGAGGTGTGAAGAATTTTTTCCAGCTTGGATGAGCTCAGGGAAAGCTTAGTAAAGGATGTGGCATTTGAGAAGATGGTCCCGAGGAGTGAGTAGAGTAACCTACACGTCAGCCTCTTCTCGTTTTGAAAGGTCAGCTGCTTTTCATGTATACGGGGAAGGAGAAAGGGCTTCATTTACAAGCCTTCCAAGACTCACCATTCTGCTTTGCTTCCCACGGCTCCCAGCTCTATCTTGGGCCTCTGACCGTTTATTTGGGAAGGAGGTTTTCTCTAGGATGCCTCTTCCTCTGCGTGGCACCCTCAGAAGGGCAAATTGGCCAGGCCCTACTTCCTTCATTATGCTGTTCTTCACAACACTGCTGGTAGGCATATGTGCATGTGTCTACCGCCATAACATGCAGAACGCCTCTGATCTCCTTTGATATATATGTATATGTCTGTATGCATGTCGACTGTTCTGCAGGATTGTAATAACAAAAGGAAACCATAATACAAGAGCACAGATATCTAAAATTTCCGTTGCCATAATACAAAGGAAAAACACAATATGAAATCCGTATAGGGATGCTCTTATGGGCTCCCCTAATTCCTAGCCATACACCCTTATTTTGGGGGTCTGCTCCTTATTGAGAAGCATCTCTCCCTATTCTCCTTCCTGTGATTCATTATTCATTTCAGCAAAATGTTCTTCCTCCCTGCAGAGACTGATCTCAAACCAGTAGCTGCCTCCTTCCCCACTAGCAGAACTTTTATCTAGCTCTCAGTCCATTTAAGACAGTATCCCAGAGAGAGTTGATGGTGGACTTGGCATCCCCAGTCCCACAGAATCGTCCCGAGCTGGCCTGGACACTCCTCATCCGGTCCCCTTGGGGTCTCCATACCACAGTGAGTTGGAGACAATCTTCATAGCCTATTGATTGCTCATTGGAAGCTGTGGGCTCTCCCTGCAACCTTGCACTCATCAACCACACTTTTCTCCACTGCACGTACACACAGCTCTCAAAGATAAATATTAACTATCAGATCTATTAGTCTAAGCCCATAAAATGGAAGAGAAATACTTTTTAAATATCCCCGTAGTTTTCAAAGCCTCTTCTCTCCATGTAGTTAACACCTTATGTAATTTACCTTTGAACAATGTAAGTACTCCCACCCTTTCAAACTGTGACTCCTAGGACCTGTTGAAAATAAGAAATGGGCCCATTTTCCAGCTTTATGCCGCTTAAGAACTGCTCTTATAACTACCCAAACGCCTCACAGAGGTTTTGTAATTAGTTCTGGAAAGAGCTAGATTAAATTCTTAGCCAAGGGACATTCTCTTCCCCATTCTCTTCCCCAGAGTCCCTGAAGGAAGAGAAAAAAAGATGGTTTTGTTTCTCTAGCAATATAAAATTATAAATTTTGAGATACAAATTGAACTGGGAGGACAGATATTCAAAGTGGAGAGATGTGAGTACGAGCCCAGTGGCTGAACGTAATGGACATAACCTAGTTTAAATTAACTTGTCTAAAAACGGGAAAGCAATTAATTGCATATATCTATAGGGGGGCATCAAATTAAAGGTAATGTTTTCTCATTTCTTTGAAAATGTTTTCGTAGTTTTATTTATTTACTTGTTTTTGAGACGGAGTTTCACTCTTGTCGCCCAGGCTGGAGTGCAGTGGCACGATCTCGGCTCACTGCAAGCTCTGCCTCCCGGGTTCACGCCATTCTCCTGCCTCAGCCTGCCGAGTAGCTGGGTTTACAGGCGCCCGCCACCATGTCCAGCTAATTTTTTGTATTTTAGTAAAGACGGGGTTTCCCCATGTTGGCCAGGCTGGTCTTGAACTCCTGACATCAGGTGATCCACCCGCCTCGGCCTCCCAAAGTGCTGGGATTACAGGTGTGAGCCACCACGCCTGGCCTGTAGTTTAAAAAATTAATTTAAAAAAGAGTGTCAGCTCACTAAAACGAAAACACGAAATCATTTTTTTTTCAATTTCTGCTGCGACTTGTGTTTCATTCAACGTTTCCCCCACGTGATAGTGGATTCTCCTCCCGATAGCACAGTTGAATTCCATTGTTCTTTGATCACTTTTAGTTATTAGATCCGTCTTACATCCTTTCTCTTAGATTCAGTGTTGTTTATTTTGATGGTTAATTTTATAATCATTTTAAGGTCCTCCTCACCAATCCCTGCCTATAGGGGTTACACTTGTGGCTCGTGGCTTGAATATAGAGGTGGCACATACCGCATCGATGTCATAGCCCAAAGGAAGGAGAGGAGTGCCACGGGGCCCTTATTGGCTGACCCGTAGCAAAGTCACCACTTCTTTCTGTTGGCTTTTGTCTGTTTTCCGACAGCCAGTAGCCATCGATTCTAACTGTGTATCAAGTCTCCAAGACACATAGCTGTCAGATTCCAAGAATACTGGTTATTTCAGAGAGGGTGTTGGCTGGTGTTTCTGAGAGCCCTGGGGGACCCACTGCCTGCACATTCCTTTGGATTTGTTTCTCAATTTCAATATATCCCCCTCCTCCCAAAACTCACTACAGGCCTATCCCATCTTGCTTCTTTGTCCCCCATACCATGCCTGCAGCCTTATAGGCTGAAATAGCTTCAAGATATCTGGAGCTATCTACCTTTATGTCTTAGAAAACTTACACATCTTTGCCACATGAAAATGTGAGGAGTTCTGGCTCCCCCACGGAAGTCTCCCCCCATTGCAGCCGTATCTTCTCTCTTCTACCTTTATTGACATGCCCTACTGGTAATTAGGTTTGCCAGTCCATTCGTTTGTCACCTTTCTGACAAGATGATCTTCTCATCCCAGAATTAGTGGAGGGAGAAAAGATTTAGGCACTTCCCACTGTGTGGTGGTTTGTCTTGGTGGCGCCTTCCCTCAGCCTTGGAGAGAAGAGAGAGCTACTTTTTGTAAACATGACATTTCTTCAAAATGCCACCTCCTCTCTCTCTCAGCCATCTTTTTATATTAGAGTGGTGCGTGGGGAGTAGGTGGGCAGTGCTAGATTTTCTGAATGGCATCATTTTACACACCCTGAAGGAAGAGGACTGACTGCATAGCTAGTGACCCCCTCAACTGAAAATGTAGGGTACGTTGCAAATTTTCTTTTTCGTAGTGGACCGGAGTAACTGTTATGGACTGAATGTTTGCATCCTTCCAAGTTCATCTGCTGAAGACTTAACCCCCAATGTTGTGGTGTGAGGAGGTGGAGCCTTTGGGAGGTAATTAGGTTTAGAAGAGGTCATGAGGATGGAGTTCCCATAGTGGGATTATAAATAGGACACTCCTACAGTGTCCTTATAAGGAGGGGAGGAGAGACCTCGCTGTCTCCATGTCCATGCCCAAAGAAAAGGTCTAGTGAGCACACAATGAGCTGAAGGCTACCTGCAAGCCAGGAAATGGGCTTTTGCCAAGAAACACATCTGCCACCAACACCTTGATCTTGGACTTCCCAGCCTCCAGAACTGCGAGATATAAATCTCTGGTGTTTAAGCCACCCAGTCTGTGGCATTTTGTTATAGTAGCCTGAGATGACTAAGACACTAACCACTTCCAATATTTGGTAACTAGCAACATTTTATTACTATTGTGGCCACCTTCCAAGAGGGATAGACCTCCCTCCCAAACTGGTTTAGATGTTGCAACCGATGATGCCACATGTTCATCAAGAGACTGTGAAAACTTTTATTACTTATATAATTGAGTTCTCTGGGAGATCAGGGCAGGCCTCCCAAGCAGGTCCAAACTAACCTGAGAGATTGAAGAAAGGAGATTGATCTGAGTTTTAATGGTGGTTGGGGAGTAGAGCCAAGGTGAAAGTTCCTGTGCTGGGGCAGGGGGTTATAGGGTTTGAATTTCCTGCTAGAGCTAAGGAGGAAGGGCCCAGGCTTTATTATCTCTCTTTCCAGATGTGGGGCACAAGGAGTAGAGGAAGGAAGGAGATATAAAAGCCGTCAACAATTAAACACAAGAAAATGGATCCAGATTCTTTGTTACAATTACGTAGATATCAGAGAGAACAAAGATGACGCCATTCTTCAAAGTGATTACTGTGGAAAGCTGGAAGTCTTGCAAGAAGCAAAAACCAAAACGAGATCAAATGTGCAAGGTCTTTTAAGAAAAATGCCTGCAGGAAGGAAATACCTGTGGGGTAGGATCAGAGGGAGGCAAGCTGGGAGAAACATCAGACCATGAGGCAAGTTTGACCTTGAGTGAAGGATGGAGAAAGAGAAGGTTTGATGGAAACATCCTAGATTTCTGTGTAGTCTACAAATGGTTCAGCAAAGTCTTGGGATGTCTTTGAGCCAAAGCTGGTCATCAAGAGGTGTCCCTGCTAGGGATGAGTCTTCCTTCAGTCCCTGCTACGTTCTTTTCTGAGCTGGGAGCAGCCCGGGGAGGCCTGGCCTCTGTGTGAACAGGTAAATGGATTTCACACTTCAGTGGCTGGGCCCCTGGTCAATTATCTTCATATAGTTGTAAGACCGTGTCACATTCTCGTGGGTACCATCTACATTCCGAATCCAAATGATTTTTTTTATTGCTAAAAATATGTTGGAGTTCCTTTTCAGAGAAGCTTGTTCACAGACTAGCACAGAAGCAATAAATGGGAAAAATAGTTTGATGGTTTATTTAAATGACTTTTTACTCTTGACCAAAAACAGCATATCCGGCCTAACTACCTATCTCAGTACTTACCAGAATAGGCTCTGTGTGGCCTTGGCTATTTCAAATAAAAATGAATCTGCACTGAAATGATAAAAGTTACCATGATTAATGGTATTTTGAGGAATATGTCACAGGATCTGAAGGCAATTCCTGTAATTCCAGATAAATTCTAAACAATGGTAACATCATAGAAATAAGTGTGCAGCTTTCCAAAGTGATTTTATTCTCACTAGCTATAGGACTTCAGGAATAGCATAAAAAATAAAAGTAACTCTACACTTTAATTTCCTCTTTGCGTGTGCACAAACATATGGGTACATGTGAAGTTTATTCACTATGAAGCTGATGAAGGAGACCCTTTCATGGCTCTGTATCTAATTTTGCATTTGTATTTTTATATTTCTTTTATCAAAGGGAGCTTCCCAAATTTCATAACCTTTAAGGCTCACAAAACCTTTAACCACCACAAGTATTTGTAGTTACGTGTGCATATCCCAGGATGTCTTTAGTGTGTGTGTGTTTCTGTGGCTTTCCCTCTCCCATCCTCAAGCTTAGGTACATATGGTTCTCCATATGGGTTAATGCTTTCCATCACTCACGTTTCTAAATGTCTTCAGATTGTTGAATAAAAATACATTAGAAAGTATATTTTGAGAAAAACACTGTTTAGACAAATCTCTGAACCAAAGAGAAGCATGGAGGAAGGACAGCTTCTTTCCCTCCCAGAGACTCAAGTTTGAAGTTTCTACTGTAGCTAAGTTTTGGGAAAAGGATCTCTTTCTTCAAACCACTAGAGGGCATTGCTGTGCAGACAATTGCCGGATTTGGGCAGGGTGCTGAACTCCAGGGAGTAACAAGGAAGGTGACTCACATTCCTACAGCCTCCAAGTCCCTTTTCCTTTTCAAAACACATCTTTCTCTAATCAGAATGCTGCTTCTTGGCTCTGAGTCTTCCTAGTATCACTTCCTTACCTCTCACTCTCTAATAAGGCCACCCACACCTGTCCTCCAGATTCTTTGCCGATGTGACTATCATCTCTGTGAACGAAGGTTAAAGGACTCTCATTGACTTTGGGATGGTGGACCAGGGTGACATATAAGACATGGAATGAATGCTGAACTCACTCAGGAGACCTGGATTTGGGCCCAAGACCTTTCTTCGGCTATGCAAAGTTAGAAAATCACTTTACCTGTCTGAACCTAGCTGTGCTCACCTGCAAAATGGGACACAGAGTCCTCTAAAGTTCTGTGTCGATAAGAAGAGAACTGGATCTCACTAAACATCCTCATATGAAGGCAAAAGCCTAGTTCTTCCCTGTCATTCACTAAGTAAGAATACAAGTGAGTGGTTAAAAACTTTCATTTTAAAATTCTAAAAGCAAATCCTTCAGTGCTGTTCATAAACTGGTGAATAGAATTCCAAATTAAAGACTTCTTTGGGCTTCCAGTCCAGCAGGTAAGGAGCTTGGAAGTTGTCTCTTCCATCCACACAACAAGAGAAAAAGCTGAATAAACTTAAAGTGAACAGCTCTTCTTAAAGCAATCAGAAAACCCAGCATAGGGCAAGCAGCTGCCCCCCAAATGGAAGGATGAACAGTCAGATACAGAGAATCAATTAGTGGAGCAAAGCCCAGGAGCAGAAAACTCTGTGGGAACCAGTACCAGATCCCTTTTACCCAGTACATCATGTTTAGCTTGCAACAAAACATGACAAGGCATAAAAGACAACCCCCCACTGCCAGTTTGAAGAGAGAGAGCAGATCTCAGAAGCAGACTCAAACATGGCGGAGATCTTGGAATTAGACTGGGAATTTAAAACAACTATGGTTAATATGCTAAGGGCTCTAATGGGAACGTGAGCAACATGCAAGAACAGATGGGTAATATGGGCAGAGAGATAGGCATTCTAACAAAGATCTAAAAAGAAATGCTAGAAATCAAAAACACCATAATAGAAATGAAGAATTCTTTTGATGAATTCAACTGAGGAAAGAATCAGTTAGCTTGAAGAGCTATCAACTGAAATTTGAAAACTGAAATGCAAAGAGAAAAAAGAATGGAAAAGAACAGAAAACCCAAGGACTTCAAGACGATTATAAAATGTGTAACATATATGGAATGGAAATACCAAATTAAGGACTTCCACCTTCATCTACCCATGTGCTATTCAGCCACCATCACCCACATCAGCCACACCACTCTTGATAGGGTCAAAGCCCTGGGATAAACTAAGAAACCATGATTTTGCCTGTAATTCCTAACATTGCCAAATCTTATTACACTATCTATGTATTAAAAATGAAAGACTTCACAAGGGACCAAAGAGAATTTGAAGAAGGGGAAAGAAGGTTTATCCAATCTCTTTGCAATCTCATAGTCCTCATTAAATTGTGTCTGAAGCCACTTCTACCTTCTCAGGGCTTCTGCCTGAATCCCGTACTCCTCAAAAGACAGCTCGCTCAAACCACTGGGCTGTGACAAGGAGTTCTTAGAGATGATGTTTCTTCATCATATTAACTGGAATGTCTTATTCCATTTTTAATGGGGCTTTTTTTTGTATTGAGCTACGGAGAGATTGGGCCAGTTTGGAGCAACACATGGAGAGATAGCCTCCTTCTGTCCCTCTAAGAAAATAGGCTTGAGGTCTCCTGACTGTACTCATTTCTTCCATTCTAAACCTTTCTCTTCATTGGAATCACCTTTATTGTAGATGTCCTAAATATCATGAAAAGGCCTGCTGCATTCCATTCTCATTC
Organism: Homo sapiens; assembly: GCF_000001405.40. Lineage (NCBI taxonomy): Eukaryota > Metazoa > Chordata > Mammalia > Primates > Hominidae > Homo > Homo sapiens. The sequence continues at coordinate 11,142,859 of NC_000017.11, read as the reverse complement.
CTACCCTCCTCACTGTTCCATTTGCACCCTGCTTAAGGTTCTTCAGTAGCACCCCTCTTGAAAGTGACTTTCAAAGCCCTCTGTGACCTGCTGGAATGATCTGCTACCATTACTTTTATGGCAAAAATTGCAATTACGTTTCCACCAACCTAATACCACCTGCCAAGTTTCTGCAACACTAAGCTATTTGTAATTACCTAAAACCCAAGACATTCTCTTGCTTTCTTGTCTTTATACATTCTGTTCCCTATGCCTAGAAAAGATCTCTCTCCATTTTTTGGACTAAGTAATCAACATTATGTTTTAAGATTCAGCTCAACAGTCACCTCCACCAGGAAATCTTCCCTGAAAAGCCAGTCCAGGTTTTTGAAAATCCATAACTTTCCTAGGACTTCCTCCTTCATATGGGTATACCTTTGCTTTATCACTTGCCCTAGACTATAATGACTTCCTGGTAGCTCAGATGCCTGGAGGACAAGGATTATGTACATTTCTCTAAACCTATTTTCTAGTACAATACATGGAACAAGGTGTCTTATATGAATCAAAGAATAAACGAGTTGACAAAGTAAAATCTCAAAAATAAATTGTGAAAAAAATAAATGTGGGTCATGAAGCAAGAAAACCAAAGATAGAAGAAAAAAAAAAACAGGAAATAAAAAAGACAAGAAAATTCTATGTGCTGTTTTACACATAAAAACTGGATTAACGTTCCAGTCCTGATTCTGACAATTAAGGAAATGCAGCTTAAGAAATCCTTTTCAAAATGAATTTTTTAAAGAAAACTTACAGATAAAAGCAGTAGAATGGCAACAGAGTATGTCTTTCAAAATACTAAATCTGGGTGTGGTGGCTCACACCTGTAATCTCAGCACTTTGGGAGGCTGAAGCAGGTGGATCACCTGAGGTCAGGAGTTTGAGACCAGCCTGGCCAACATGGTGAAACCCCATCTCTACTAAAAATACAAAAATTAGCCAGGTGTGGTGGAAGATGTCTGTAATCCCAGCTACTCAGGAGGCTGAGGCAGGGGAATTGCTTGAACCTGGGAGGCAGAGGTTGCAGTGAGCAGAGATCGCACCACTACACTCCAGCCTGGGCAACAGAGTGAGACTCCGTCTTAAAAAACAAACAAACAATAAAAAACTTACAGATAAAAGCAGTAGAAGTGCAACTATGCACTGAATGTTTATTTAGTGCATAGCAGTCTTTGTCCCCCAAACTCATATGTTGAAGCTCTAACTTCCCAGTGTGATTGTATGTGGAGGTGGGGCCTTTAGGAGGTAATTAGGTTTAGATGAAGTCATGGGTGTATGACCCCTATGATGGTATTAATACCCTTATAAGAAGAGCAAGAGATCAGCATCCTCTCTCTGTCATGTGAGGCTACAGCAAGAAGGTGGCCACCTGCAAACCAGAAAGAGCGCCCACACAAGACATTAAATCCATTGGCACCATGATCTTGGACTTCCCAGCCTCCAGAACTGTGAAAAAATTAATGCCTGTTGTTTTAGCCACTCAGTGTATGATATTTTGTTATAGTAGCCTGAGAAGACTGAGACAAAGACACAACAAATATATCAGTTCCCTGCACCTCACCCTCTTTAATACCCTAGAAGCAACTTTGTTCAAATCTTTTAGCTGTTTCTTACACGTAGCTCCATGTTAAAATTGATGAACATAAGCTGATATCTCTTGATCAGTAGCTCTGGCTTCTTACAATGCCAGCAAATAATTGAGGTTTTGTTTATGTTTTTATTTTATATCCAGTTTATACTGATGTCATTCTTCTGATGTAGTTATATCACAATTTGGGGTTATGTCCACATCCAGTATTGTATTAGTTGCGAATGAGCTTGGTTGCAAATAACAGAAAACACTCTGAATAGTAGCTTTCAGGCAGTCAAGCGCTGATGTAGTTGCTTTGTGTTGTCATCAGAGACACAAGATCTTTTTGTTTTTCTATTTCTCATTTTTGCCGTGTGTGTGTGTGTGTGTGTGTGTGTGTATACGTGTGTGTGTTTTCTTATGATCATAAGGTAGCTGCTGCACCTCTGGCATTATATCCATGTTGCAGGAAGGAAAAAAGAAGAGGTACAAGAAGGAGAAAGGAAAATGAAAACTTCCCCAGGAACCCTTAGCACATGTCTCAGCAGGCACCGAGTCACATGGCTATCTCACACTGCAAGATAATCTAGCATTGCACAGATTTTCAGATAGACACATTGCTGCCTGAACAAAATTGATATTTTGATAGGAAAAAAGGGGTGTAGGAATTGGCAAAGTAGCTAACAGAATCAGTCACCAACGTTTTTATTACCATTACTATGTGAATAGTGCTAACTGCTTAACCAGTTATATATTATGAATATTTATGTTCTTGTACATATTTGCCCGGAATCAATGCTTGCTTCATTATTTGTATTTGCTTAGTTTCTTTTCCTTTCTTGAACTTGTGGCTAAGTTTTTCCATAAATACCAAAAGCTCTGTAAGATATTTCTCAATATAAGTTCCATGTGTTTAAATCTGGCATATATTCTATTATTTCAAGCCTTTTTCAGGAGACATCACCACTAGAGTCTCTACCCTTCTGCTCCCATGTAAATGAACTGCTTTCTAGGCTTGCTGCCAGACTGTCAGCCTGGGACTTAGCTTTGTCACATCCCTTTATTCCCTCCTCCAGTTTTCTGAGTCCTCTCTTTCTTTTTCTTGGATTACTACCAAAATTAGGTCCAAGCACATCCTTCAGTTGCCTTCTGGAAGGAAAAAAAAAAGAAAAAGAAAAAGATGTGCGGTAATTATTGCTTTCTTTAGGCTTTTGCATTTCTACCCAACACTTAATTGAAAACTTTGCCAGTCTGGTATTCTAGGTTAGAAAATACTTCTCTCAGATTTTTGAAGTCTTTGCCCCATTTCTTTCTAGTTCCTCTCTTCTGAAGTCTGGTGCTATTCTGACTCCTGATCCTTTGTTTGTGACCCATTTCTCAATCCATCTTCTATGTTTTTGGGTTTATAATAGTCAGGGCTCTTCAGGGAAACAAAACCATAGGATATCTAGATAGATATGAATAAAAGGAGATTTATTATGGGAATTGACTCACTCGATTATAAGGGCCAAGAAGTCCCACAGTATGCCATATGCAAGCTGGAGAGCCAAGAAAGCCAGTTATATAATTTGGACAAAACCGAATACCAGGAACTTTAGTGTCCTATGGCAAGAGAAGATGGATGTCCCAGATCAAGAAGAGAGAGTTTGCCTTTCCTCCACCTTTTTATTCCATCAGACCCTCGACATACTGAATAGTGCCTACCTACGCTGGTGAGCGTGGGTCTTTTTTACTCAGTCTACTGATTGAAATGTTAATCTTCTCCAGAAACACCCTTACAGGCATACCAAGAAATATTGTTTTACCAGCTATCTGGGCAGCCCTTAGCCCAGTTAATTTGATACATAAAACTAACAACCCCAGAATCCTCTCTTTATCTCATGGTCCTGAAATTTCACATCAGTTGTGTGAACTGATGTGAGCATCTTATCATGCATTATGCGAGGTACACTTTAAACTAGAATCTCTTATCTTTTAGTTATAAGAAGGTTAATTTTCATTAGTCCCCTGATATATTTTCTCCTACATTTCCTTAATTTTTTGCTTTCTAAAGCTAGGATTCCTCCCTCTTCTCTATTTCTTTATCATTTGTTCTAATTTCTTACAGACCCTTAAATTTTGTTTTCCAAACTCTATTGAGCTTTAAATTATAGTTATCATGTTTTTAATTTCCAAAAGTTGTTTTTGATCTCTAATTTCTCCCCCATTTTGTAAAGAGCATCCTATACTTATTATACAGATGTATTGTTTTATTATCTGTGAGAATATTAATTACAATTTCTTTAAAGTTTGTTTCCTGCATTGTTTCTACTATTGCTGATTTTCTTTCTTCCCTCTTTTTTTTTGCTTCGATTTTTTTTAATACCAGAAGCTTTCTTTAGAGATATGGTGATTCTCAGCTTATATGATTCCACTCATATTTAAGAGTAAGGCAATAACAATGGAAAGTTACATAGATGGAAGTGGTTGACTTCATTCTATGGCAAATAAAAAACCAGCTGGTTTTTCCTTTGGGAATCCAAATATCAGAGTAGTTAGGTCTTTTCTTTGGGTGTGTGTAGAAGGTTTAGTTCCTCTACCCCACCATGCAGAATTCTGAATCTGGTAGGTGTTCGTTTCATTCAGTATGCAGACTTTTACTTAACTCTTCTATTTTCAATTCTACCTCTCACCCTGGTGCCTCTCGATGTTTAACGTGGCTTAGTTTACAGGCTCTCTGGTTCCATGTTTTAAAATATTTGTCTCTTGCTTTATATTGGCAGTAACTGCCTGACTATGCAGGATAGTGGTAGGCAGAGCAGAGAATATTGGACATAACTGCTTTTTGTACAGACTTTCAAATAACCCCCTCGTTATCAGCTCTACCATACCTCTGACTTTGGCATTTGGAGCATCCAATTCCTAAAGCTTTCCAGGACCTGGCCAAGCATAATGATTTGTTTCTTATCAGTTTCCCCCTCCACTATAAGTAAGTTTGGCCTTTCTCCTATTGCTGAGTCATTTAATATTCGCCTATTGACTTTCCTTCTCCACTTACTGTAATGTGGGCTGGAGATGTCTACGGGTTTCACCAAAGATGGAATTTAGGTTTCAGTTTCTCTTTGTTGCTTTGGAACGATTTCGAGAAGAGGCAGAAACCAAAACACATTTTCTCTATGATTTTTTAAACTGGAAGCCTCATTTTGTTTTGATAAAAGTTATAATTTGCAGCTAATATATAACTGACACAAACTTTTATCTGGAGAATAATTTTACACCAAAATATGTAATAGCAAAATAGTTTATATTCACGGAGAAATTGACAGAATTAGAATCGTGGCAGGAAACATATTATACCTCTTTAAGTCTTTGACAGATCAATAGGCAAAATATAAAAGGTTAAAAAGCTAAAATGTGTAATTAATTAGTTTGATTTAAAAGATATATTTCAAACTCTGTACTTCACAGAAAATAAGGAGGAATAAACTAAGCCCAGTAATAGATCCAAGAACATATGAGAATGTGTTTCATGATGAAGGCGGCATTTCAGATTAGTAGGTACGTGGTAGATTATTTAACAAATGGTGTTGGGAACACTGACAAATGATTTGGAAATAAAGAGAAAAAAATAATAATTTCCATCTTTTACTTACTGCTGCTAATTCTTGGCAGAGAGTTTGACAACTGGGGCTTTTCTCAGAAAGTCCCTGTTCCCAGGCCTTTTACATACTACCAGAGGCTACTTTCTAGGAATTGCAAAGAATAATCACCATTAAGCTATCTGGCTTCACTTGATGATTTAAATGGCTGCATATTTCAAAAACCAAGAAGTCTTTATATTATAACCCTCTTAGTTCACTGCCCTGCATGCATTTGATAGCATGAAACTAGATATTGGATTCCCCCAGCATGGGAGCTGAAGGAGGGTGAGTATATAGGTTGACAAGGTCAGGAATAGCACCATCACTAAACAAGATGACTTTCTAGAATCACGCTTTCATAAAGGCCTTTAACACTCCCTGAGCATTCTCATGGTGCTCCTTTCAGCATTTCCATTGCCTCTGCACACCCTCTCCCCACATCCAGGAAGGATACTCAAAATACTTAACAACTGTTGTTTCCTTGTGTCATTGGCACGTACCAGTCAGATATTGCAACCAATGCAGTATCAGTCTATCAAGGAACTAAGTATAATTAACCAGCACACACCTGTATCTAGCAGGTGAACAACAGCCCTCCCTCTACTAAAGAGAGTGCCCCTACAATTCTCTTCAGAATCTTTCCCAAAAATTTCATTTTTCTTGAGGTGTTATATTCCTTCTGAATTTTTATCTTATCTCTCTTAACTTACTCCATTCTTTAGGACACTCTGGAGTTTTTTGGACAAACTGCATAAGGATTTCAAAGGTCACTGTCAGTTTTTCTGCAGCACAAAGACTTCCCTTCTCTGGCACGCTGTCTGCCTGATAAATAATTTTCCTGGTTTGATTTATTGTGAAAGTCTCTTGAGCAAGTACATTTCCTGAGTGGAACATAAGTGGGGACAGATGCATCCATTGGCAGACTAGAGAATGATATGATTAAGTGCCCCTGGTCTGAATGTTTGCGTCCTTCAAAATTTATAAGTTGAAATATAATCTCTAGTGTGTTGGTATTAAAAGGTGGGAACTTCAAGAGGTGACTAGGTCAAGGGTAGAGACTTCATGAATGGGAGTAGTTCCCTTATAAAAGAGGCCTGAGGGAGTTCATTTATCCTTCCTGCCATGTGAGGACACATAGAAGGCACCATCTAAGAGGAACAGGCCCTTACCGACATCGAATCTTCTGGCACTTTGATCTTGGATTTCCCAGCCTCCAGAACTGTGAGTAATACATTTTTGTTGTTTACAAATTATCCCATCTAAGGTATTTTGTTATAGAAACCTGAATGGACTAAGACCCTAAGCATGCCCAAATGGCATACCCCCTTTGAAAGTATCTTCTTTTTGCTTTTCATTTGGTGAAGCTCTTGGCAAATAGGATTTTTCTCTTCTCGACTACCCCATTTCATCTTCATTTATACTATAAACTAAGAAGCTGCCACATCTTCTGTTTTCTGAGGGCTAAAGAACAAAGAGGATAGATGTCTGCAGGATACCGAAGGAGATTGAGAATCCAACACTGGAAGTGGCCAATATCCTTTCTACCCACATTTCAGTGGCTAGTACTCAATAGCATATCCTCCTACCACTGCCAGGAAGGCTGGGAATGGAATTTGGCTTGTTGCCAGAAGAAGAAAATGGGTTTGGTGAACATATAACCAGTCTCTGCCTCACTTTATCATCCCTGTCCTGCAAGGTGTGTTACATGCTCTACATTAGTGACCAATATGTAATATTTCTTCTCTCTTTTTATGTAAAAGGGCATTTTATTGCTGTGTTTTTTTCTTAGGACAGTTGTTCTTAAACCTTGGTATGCATTGGAATCACCTGGAGGGGCTGGTAAAATGCAAATTTCTGGTACCACCTCTAGGAATACTAATTCACTTGCTCCAAGTGGAGTCAGGATATCCATGTTTTTAACAAGCAACCAAACTGATTCTGATGCAGGGCGTTTCACAGTTCATACTTTGAGAAACACTGCATCTTACTTTCAAAGTCATTAAAATAGGCCAGATGACATGGAGCCCTACAGAGAGAAATTTTTTTAAGGATAAGAAAAGTGGGAACAGGAAGCTGGATTTTACTTGAAGGCTAGAAGCCAAACGTGGAAAAAACTTACATCCTTAAGGAAAACAACATGTAAACATGCCTCGGTACAGACTAACACAGGCTCACTGTTATGATGTTTATAATTTCATTTTAGGTATATCCTCAATTCTAAGACACACAATTTTGTTTCACATTTTAACATTTCTGATACCTGGGTATATCTTACAGTCAATGGTGCAGTAAAATTATATTTGACAATGTTTTCCCTCCAGAGATGCAAAAAAAAAGTGTGTCTTAAAATCTTTGCATCTTAGATTCGTAAAATAAGAGTACTTCAGCATAAGGAATGTTAGTTATGTGTGTGATTGATGGTACCATAGTTGTGCTTAGTTGCTTAACTCAAGAATGCACACCATAGGAGTGGTAAGCTAGCATTGTAGTTGGAAAGCCCACCCACCAAAGAGGGCTATCAGAAGGCTTCAGTTGTCTTTGTTTCTGATCAATATCTTTGATCAATACTAGTTAGCATCACAAGTGCTAGAAATGGATCTTCATTGGTGAAATCATGGTGTTCCAAAAATATGAATTGGCTAAAATATTTTAGAAAGCCTTCCCAACTTTTCATAAATGGTATATAATATCTAGCAAGAATCTTAATGTGTACCTTTTTAATGCGTGCATCTGAAAAGTTCCATGAACAGCCATAATTTTGGAGGACTCTGGTTCCCTGATACCAGCTATAAAGTTAACTGAATTCTGCATCCAGATTGTTGGGTCTGCCTCAAGTGAGCCTTTTGTGGAAGGTCACCAGAGAGCAGGACTTCACTGAGCTGACCCAGCAGGTTATAAGAATTGCCTGTGTGCCCTCCTGTTAATAATTGTTTTTGTCTAATAAACACCTCATATGAGATTTTGGTTGGAGATTCTCTTTCGTTAGACCCTGGTGAACAAGACTGTGTAAGACTAGCTACTTGCCACCTACCTGAAACTATTGGAGGCCACGAAGAGCTACCTAGAATAACTCAATGTTTATGCATGACCACCTTCTTTTAGAACACTTCACAACATCTGGGGACACAGCTGCTTCAGTAGGAGTGGTAGTTACGGAGGCTCTGCCCTTGTCCATCCCTTTAGGCTTTAAAGGTCAGCGGATAGAAATGCTGGACTCTAGCTCCAGCTAGAGAGGAATGGGGAGCAGCGATCTTGAAGACAACTCTGGTGTGTGTGAGAGAGAGGGAGACAGACTTCCTCTGCAGTTTTAGGAGGGACTGGTGCCAGGCTTTTGTACTAACACACAGCTCTGGCATTGGAGGCACCAGCAGCACCCTGGCTTTCATCAATTGGCACTCAGCTCATGGCTATAGAGTTGCCCAACTCTATAACTGTGTGTGGACCGTGTTAAACCAACTCAAGACCAATTTGGTTGTTTGATGATCCTGTGGGGTGTGTGTTTGGGTGGGTGGGTGTGTGAATTGGGTAGCCTCTAGTAGTGAAAGGCAGGGAGCAGAGATACAGTCCTTACAGCCTCCCTAAGTGGTGACATAGTAATAAAACCAAGTCTTAGATCAAATTCCAACTAATGTACAGAGATTGTAAGAAGATGCACAGTTACAAACTTTCTTTGGTTGTTTGCTTTTTTTACACCTTTAACTACCCCTACCATCACTTTGTCTGAAAGGCTGACAATGCAATTATGTTCTTAAGGCTGTCCTTGGAGTAGAATTCAAGGCAGTAGGATCTTCCACAGTGGAAGCATAAACTGTTGAAACTAACTGTTTTATATTATATTCACAGAGGGCAGTGGGTCCTGTTAACCATTCCTACCCAGTCAAACCTTCAATACTACTGATCAAGTCTACTTAAATCAAAACATTCTTTTCTTTGTTTTTGTTTTGTTTTGTTTTGTTTTGTTTTGTTTTAGACGGAGTCTCACTCTGTCGCTCAGGCTGGAGTGCAGTGGCACGATCTTGGCTGACTGCAAGCTCCACCCCCTGGGTTCACGCCATTCTCTTGCCTCAGCTTCTCGAGTAGCTGGGACTACAGGTGCCCGCCACCACCACGCCTGGCTAATTTTTTGTATTTTTAGTCGAGTCGAGGTTTCACTGCATTAGCCAGGATGGTCTTGATCTGACCTCGTGATCTGCCCGCCTCGGCCTCCCGAAGTGCTGGGATTACAGGCGTGAGCCACTGCGCCTGGCCCAATCAAAACTTATTCTAACATTCCTTACCCAGTTTAGCCAACCTGAAGATATTTCATATCAGGACATCTCTTATGCTAATTGGCCAGGCCCAAGATGTGGGTTCATATTGGTTTGTTCTCACACATATCACACTGGTTGTATTGAAGAATTTAAAGTAAATTGCCACAAAAAGTACACTTTAATTATATGTTGATTATACATGCAATGGCTGACAGTGAACTATTAAAAACAATGTTATAGAAATATACATTTGTTGGCCGGGCATGGTGACTCACGCCTGTAATCCCAGCACTTTGGGAGGCCGAGGTGGGCGGATCATGAGGTCAGGAGTTGCAGACCAGCCTGGCCAATATGGTGAAACCCCGTCTCGACTAAAAGTACAAAAATTAGCCGGGTGTGGTGGTGGGCGCCTGTAGTCTCAGCTACTCAGAAGGCTGAGGCAGGAGAATTGCTTGAAACCAGGAGGCGGAGCTTGCAGTGAGCCGAGATCGCACCACTGCACTCCAGATTGGGTGACAGAGCGAGACACCATCTCAAAAAAAAAACAAAAAACAAAACAAAAAACAACAACAAAAAAAAAAAGAAACAAAAAAAAAGGAAAAGAAACACACATTTGTTGATAATGAGGAATGTTTACAATATGTGAATAAAAATCAAGGAAGGCTACAAAGTACAAAGCCCAGTAACAGATCCAGAGCATATGAGAATGTGTTTCATGATGAAGCTGGCATTTCAGATTAGTAGGTAAAGGGTAGGTTATTTAACAAGGTGGTGTTGGGAAAACTGACAAATGATTTGGAAATAAAGAGAAAGAAGCTAATCATTTCCATTGTTTACTTATTGTTGCCAATTCTTGGCAGATAGTTTGACAACGGGGGCTTTTCCCAAAGAGTTCCTGTTCCCAGGCCTTTTACATACTACCAGAGGCCACTTTATAGCATATATAATAAACATATATAACAAATATACATATATGTATATATATAGTTAGCCTCTATTCTCCTTTGTTGTAAGCATATATAGTATATATAATAAACATGTATATCCTTTATAGCATATATGATAAACATACAACAAATATATATATAAAAATATATACATGGTTAGCCTCTATTCTCCTTTTACATAAAAGTTTGACAATATAGTTAATAACCAGAATCTATAAGGAGCTCAAACTCAGTAAGCAAACAAACAAACAAAAAGTAATATTTTTTTAATGGGCAAAAGATCTAAATAGTCATTTCTCAAAACAAGACATACAAATGTCCAACAGATATTTGAAAAAATGCTCAACATCACTAATCATCAGGAAATGAAAATTAAGACCACAATGAGATATCCTCTCACCCCAGTTAAAATGGCTTTTATAAAAAATACAGGCAATAACAGATGCTGGCGAGGATGTGGAGAAAGGAGAACCCTTGTATACTGTTGGTGGGGATGTAAATTAGTACAGCCACTATGGAAAACAATATGGAGGGTCCTCAAAAAACTAAAACTAGAACTACCGTATGATCCAGCGATTTCCCTACTAGATATATATCCAAAAGAAAGTAAATCAGTATATCAGGAAGATACCTGCACTCCCAAGTTTATTGTAGCATTATTCGCAATAGCCAAAATACGGACTCAGTTTAAGTGCTCATGAATGGTTGAATGGAAAAGGAAAATGTATATATACATGATGGAACTTTTTTGCCATAAAGAAGAAGGAGACCATCCTGGCTAACATGGTGAAACCCCATCTCTACTAAAAATACAAAAAATTAGCCGGGTGTGGTGACACATGCCTATAGTCCCAGCTACTCAGGAGGTTGAGGCAGGAGAATCGCTTGAACTCGGGAGGCGGAGGTTGCAGTGAGCAGAGATCATGCCACTGCACTCCAGACTGGACGACAGAGCAAGGCTCCATCTCAAAAAAAAAAAAAAAGAAAAGAAAAGAAAAGGAGAAGGAGGAGGAGGAGAAGGAAACTGTCATTTGCAGCAACATGGATGGAACTGGAGATCATTATGTTACATGAAATAAGCCAGGCACAGAAAGACAAATATTGCACATTCTTACTCATATGTGGAAGCTGAAAAAGTGGCAGAGAAAACAGAGAGTAGATTGGTGGTTACTAGAGGCTGGGAAAGGTTGAGGGAAGACGGGATGAAGAGAGATTGATTATATGGGTGCAAATGTGCAAATATAGTTTGATAGAAATAAGACTGAATGTTAGATCAATAGGATGACTATAGTTTACAATAATCTATTGCATATTTAAACATAGTTAGAAATGAATAATTTGAAAGTTTCTATTAGGTTGGTGCAAAAGTAATTGCTGTTTTTTCCATTAGTTTAACAGTGGCAGAAATAGCAATTACTTTTGCACCAACCTAATAGCATAAAGACAAATATTTAAGGTGGTAGATATTCCAAATACACTGACTTGATCTTTACAAATTAGATGAATGTATTAAATATCACATATGCCCCTGAAAATATGTACGTTTATCATGAATCAACAAAATAAATTTCCAATTTAAAAAAGTTGAAAATGTATCAGCCAAAATGTTACAAAAGTTTGAAGGTGCATTGGCCAAAATGTTAGCAGGGTTTGTCTTTGCACTATGGGGGCTTTTATTGTAATTTCTTCATTTTTGAATGATCTGTACTTTCTAAGTGGTCAGATGTGAAGGATATGGTTTGGATTTGTGTCTCTGCCCAAATCTCATGTCAAATTGTAATCCCCAATATTGGAGAAAGGGCCTCGTGGGAGGTGATTGAACCACAGGAGTGGAATCCTCCCTTGCTGTTCTCATGATAGTGAGTTGTCACGTGATCTTGTTAAAAGTGTGTAGCGCCTCCCCCTTCACCCTCTTCCTCCTGTTTCAGCCATGTAAGACGTGCCTGCTTCCCCTTCACCTTCTGCCATGATTGTAAGTGTCCTGAGGCTTCCCCAACCATGCTTCATGTCCAGCCTGCAGAACCATGAGCCAATTACACCTCTCTTCTTTATAAATTACTCAGGCTCAGGTAGTTCTTTTTAGCAATGCAACAACAGACTAATACAGTGAACATGTGTTTATCAAGAAGGAAAGTTCATTTATTAATATTAAAAGTAACACTAATGACCTTCACATCCTCTTCTCAGCCCCCTTCCTATTTTGTCTCACAGTAGCATTTAATAAACAGTATTTTGTCTTTCAAAAATAAATTTTAACAGCTTTATTGAGGTATAATTTACCTACCACAAAAATACCTGTTGTAAAAGTACAAGTCAATGATTTTTAGTTATAGTGTGTAACCATCACCATAACTCAAATGTAGAACATTTTTATCCCCTAAAAAACTTCTCCATAACCATCTGTAGCTAATCCCTACTCCCACCTTGGCCCAGGAAACCACTGATTTTCAGTCTATATAGATGTTCTTTTTCTGGATATTTCATATAAATGGAGTCATTCAATAGGTGGCCTTTTGTATCTGACTTTTTTCACTTACCATCATGCTTTTGAGGTTCAACCATGTTGTAACCTGTATCGGTAGTTTGTTCCTTTTTATTATCAAATAGTATTTCATTATGTAAATATGTCACATTGTGTTTCTCTTTTCTCCAGTTGATGAACACTTGTATTGCTTCCACAGCTCTTATAAATAATGCTGCTATGAACATACTCCTACAAGTTTTTGTGTGGACATAACTTCATTTCTTTTGGGTGAATAGTTAGGAGTGGAATTGATGGGTCTATTGGTAAATTTATATTTAACTTTGAAGAAACTAACAAACTGTTTTCCAAGTGATTCTTCCACTATACATTCCCACCAGCACTGAATTAGGATTTCACCTTCTTCACAGCATTTCTGACACCTGATATGATCAATCCTTTCGACTTTAGCTATTCTAGGAGGTGTATAATAATTGCATCTCCATTGTACTCTTAACTGCATTACCCTAAGAACTACTTGTATCAAGCGTCTTTTTGATGTGTTTATTATTCATTTATCTTCTTTGATGAAATGTGTATTTAATTATCTTGCCCATTTTTAATTGGGTTGTTTGCCTTCTTATTATTGAGTTATAGGAGTTCTTTACATTCTGGATACAAATCCTTTTCAGATATGTTACTTGTAAATATTTTTTCATTCTGTGATTTAAAAAATTCTTAACAGTGTCTTTTCAAGAACAGAAGTTTCTAATTTTGACGTTAAATGTACTAAATTTTTCTCTTATGGATTGTTCTTTCGATGTTGTATTTAAGAAAACTTTGCTTCACTCAAAGTCATTAGATTTTCTCCTATGTTTTATTTCTAGGGCTTTAGCTCTTACAGTTAGGACTATAATCCATTTGAGTTGATTTTTGTGTATGGTATGAGATAAGAATCCAAGTTTATTTTTATTATTGATATCCAATTGTGCCAGCACATTTGTTGAAAGAACCACGCTGTTTTAATTGAAAATGTGATAAAAATATATGTAACATGAAATTTACACTTTTAGCCATTTTAAGTGTACAGTTTAGTGGTATTAAGGGCATTTGCATTGTGGTGCAACTATAAGCACCATCTATCTCTAGAAATTTTTTCTTCATCTTCTCTAACTAAAACACTTTAGCCATTAAATAATAACTCCCCATTCTCCCTTCTCCCAGGACCTGGATACAACCATTCAACTTTCTGTTTCTGTTGTGGGCTGAATTGTCTACTCTCTCAAATGCTTACCTTGAAGTCTCAACTCCCAGCATTTCAGACTATAACTGTATTTTGAAATAAAAACCTTTAGAGGAGGTGATTAAGTTAAAATGAGGCTTTTGGGGTGGGGTCCTAATCCAGTAGTACTGGTGTCCTCATAAGAAAGAGAAGGGACACCAAGGATGCTCATGCACAGAGGAAAAGACCAGTGAGGACACAACAGGAAAGGGCTTGCCCATCTGCAAGCCAAGGAGACAGGTCTCAGAAGAAACCAAACCTGCCAACACCTTGATCTTGGACTTCCAGCCTCTAGCAGGTGAGAAAATAACTTTTTGTTTTTTAACCACCCACTTTGTGCTATTTTGTCATGGCAGCCCTAACAAATTAGTACAGTCTCTATGAATTTGACTACTCTAGGTACCTCCTGTAAGTGGAACCTTACAGTATCTGTCCTTTTGTGACTGGCTCATTTCATTTAGCATAATGTCTTCAAGGTTCATGCATATTGTAGAATGTGTCAGAATTTCCTTTATTTTTAAAATTAAATAATATTCCATTTAATTTTTGACATTGGGAAATGTATATTTGATTTTCTTCTCTGTTTCCTGGCATACAGCTCCTAAAACCCTCGTAATCTCTGGAGTGTGTGATAAGAGTGTCTTTAGTGTGTTTGAGAGATAACTGGTGGCTGGGGGCCCCTATATGGCTTCAGGCTGGTCACTTGAAAGACCAAGGTATGATTACAAGGTTAGAACTTTTAGTGTCTCACCTCCCCCAACCACCACACACACACACATACATACATGAAAGGGAGAGAGGATGAAGATTAAATTAAATATCAATGGCCCATGATGTAATCAAACCTGCCTATATAATGAAACTTCCATAAAAACCCAAAGGGACAGGGTTTAGAGAGCTTCCAGATAGCTGAACATATGGAGGTTCCTGGGGGTGGTGCCCAGAAAGGGCATTAAAACTCTGCACCCCTTCCCATATCCCTTGCCCTCCACATGCTTTCCATCTGGCCGTTCATCTGTGTCCTTTGCAGTATCCTTCTTAATAAATGGGTAAACATAAGTGAAGTGTTTCCCTGAATTCTGTGAGCTGCTGTAGCACATTAAACAAATCAGAGGAGGGGGTTGTGGGAACCTTTGATATATAGATCAGAAGCATCAACCTACAAGAAGTGACAACGTACTACTTCAGACTGGCACCTGCAATGGTGGGAAGTCTTGTGGAAATGGGCCATCAACCCGTGAAACCTGACACTGTCACCAGGTAGATAGTGTCAGAATTGAATTGAATTAGAGGACACTCAACTGGTATCCACTGGAGAATTGCTTGGTGTGTTGGAAACAAACCCCCACACATCCAATGTCAGAGTGTTGTGTTAAGAGACTGTGTAAGAGATTAGAAAGAACACTTGGGTTTTTTCTATCTCATAAGATATGCATACATCCCATTTTGTTTAGCCATTCATCTCTTGATGGACCCTTGGGTTGCTTCCAACTTTGGGCTATTATGAACAATGCTGATATGAAATGGATGCACAAATATCTGTTCAAGTCCCTGCTTGCAATTTTTTGGGGGAATATACTCAAAAGTTTAATTTCTGGATCATATGGTAATTCTATTTTTAATTTTCTGAGGAAGCTTTTTGCTGTTTTCTATATTGACTGCACCATTTTACATTCCCACCAGCAGTGCACAAAGATCCCAATTTCTTCACATCTTTGTCAACACTTGTTATTTTTAAAATAATAGCCATCCTTATGGAGATGATGATAAAACCATTTTCCTTCCTTCTTTCCTTCCTTCCTTCTTCCTTCCTCTCTTTCTTTCTTTCTTTCTTTCTTTCTTTCTTTCTTTCTTTCTTTCTTTCTTTCTTCCTTCCTTCCTTCCTTCCTTCCTTCCTTCCTTCTTCCTTTCTCTCTCTCTCTTTCTTTCTTTCTTTCTTTCTTTCTTTCTTTCTTTCTTTCTTTCTTTCTTTCTTTCTTTCTCTCCTTCTTTCTCTGTTTCTCCCTTCCCTTCCCTTCGTTTCTTTTTTTTTTTTTTTGAGTCAGGATCTTGCTCTGTTGCCCAGGCTGGAATGCAGTGGCGTGATCATGCTTACTGCAGCCTTAACCTCCCAGGCTCAAGAGATTCTCCCAGCTCAGCCTCCCAAGTAGCTGAGACCACAGGTGCATGCCACCATGCCTGGTTCATTTATTTTTACTTTTTGTAGAGACAGGGTCTCCCTATGTTGCCCAGGCAGGTCTCAAACTCCTGGGCTCAAGTGATCCTCCCACCTCGGCTTCCCGAAGTGCTGAGATTACAAGCATGAGCCACCACGGCCAGCTCAAGCCATCCTTCTTGACTCTCTCCTCCATGAAACTTTTTTTTTCCCCACATGGCTTCCAGAGTTCCCCATGGCCATATATTTCCTCCTCCCATGCTTGCCATTTATTATCAGTCTCTTCTGCTGTATTATCTTCTTCTTCTCAATCTAACACTTTGGACCTCCTCTATTCTCTTAAAGAAAGTACCCTAAATATTTTAGAAATTAAAACCCATGATTTTCACTTTTTTTTTTTTTTTGAGACGGAGTCTCACTCTGTCACCCAGGCTGGAGTGCAGTGGACAGATCTCGGCTCAATGCCAAGTTCCGCCGCTCAGTGCAAGCTCCGCCTCCCGGGTTCACGCCATTCTCCTGTCTCAGCCTCCCGAGTAGTTGGGACTACAGGCGCCTGCCACCACACCTGGCTAATTTTTTGTATTTTTAGTGGAGACAGGGTTTCACCGTGTTAGCCAGGATGGTCTCGATCCCCTGACCTCGTGATCCGCCCACCTCGGCCTCCCAAAGTGCTGGGATTACACGCGTGAGCCACTGCACCCAATCGATTTTCATTTTATACATAGCCTAAATTCACTTGAATTAAAATCTCTAGTCCTAGTCTCTTTCTCAAACTCCAGATTTGAATATACAACTGCCCAGTCAACATTTCTATACTTATATCTAACAGCCTTCTGAGACTTAAAAGATCCAAAGTCTATTCTCAATTCTCACTCCAATTCTGTGAATCCTGTTGTGTTCCATATCTTGGATTATTTTTCACTCATTTCTTTCTCTCATGCCCTCATGCAATTCAACAGAACATCCTACCAGCAACCTACCTTCAAAATACATTCTGAATCAAACTATTCCTCATATTCTATGTCATTGGCATCCTGGTCCAACCTAAATTAAATGTCTTGCAGGACAATTGCAATATCTTCCCTACTGATGTCCTTGCTGGTACTCTCCTTCTCCCGACAGACAGTCAATTTTCCACACACAGTAGCCAGAACAATCCTTTGAAAATATCATTCTCCCTGCTCTCTATTCTCCAATGGCGTTCCTTGACCCAGTAGCATTCAAAGCCCTTACCAGGGTCCCTAAGGCCTGTGGGATCTCCACTCCGGCTTCTTCTCTATCTTGTGTTCTACATTTCTGCTCATGGCACTGTGGCCACCCTGACCTCCTCAATGTTCCTTGAGCATTTCAGGATCTTGGCACTTGCTCTTTCTTTTCCTAGTGTGCTTTTTTACTAAATATTTCATGGCTTCCTTCTTCACTTCAATCAGGCCTTTGCAAAAGCTTCATTTTTGCAAAGAGGCTTTTCTTGATCATCCCTTTTAAACAGGCACCCTGCCCCCTCACACAATGCCTTTTTACTTCTGCTTTATTTTCCATCCAGGCTCTTACCATGAACAGACTGGACATTGTATAATTTTTGTTCATATATTTATTTTCTCCCAGTCCTGTCTCATAACACAGAAACTGTCTCCTTCTGTTTACTTCTCTATTCCCAGCACCTAGAACAGAATTTTTCCCCAAAAGATTTTGTATTTGTCTTTTTAAAAATATTTACAAATTCGGCCAGGCACGGTGGCTCACACCTATAATACCAGCACTTTGGGAGGTGAGGAGGGCAGATCATTTGAGGTCAGGGGTTTGAGACCAGCCTGACCAACATGGTGAAACCCTGTCTTTGCTAAAAATACAAAAATTAGCCAGGCGCGGTGGCATGTGCCTGTAATCCCAGATACTGGGGAGGCTGAGGCATGAGAATCGCTTGAACCTGGGAGGCTGAGGTTGCAGTGAGTTGAGCTCTCACCACTGCACTCCCTCCTGGATGATGGAGTGAGACCCCATCTCAAAAATAATAGTAACACTAATAATTACAAATTTGTTGAGGCTCCCAAATAATTTTTCCTTTAAACCAATGAGTGGCTTTATTTAATGGAGAACTTTTACTTTCTGATTACATATTCAATCATAGTCAAATAAAATGTCAGTGTAAACCCAGTGTCTCAACATTCTGACTTCCTTTTTCTGGTAGTTCTTAAGTCTCCGTGAACACATCACTTTACCCTGGCCTTCCCCATCCCACTTTGAAGTAATCATCAAGACAGCCCTGGTTTCCAGGCCTCTACTTGGGTATCTGATCTCAGGCATAGCATCTGTACCCTGCAGTAAGAGATGGAGAAATCCCAGGAGCGTTGCTAAATTGGGAGACTGGCTTCATTGTTATGCGTCTCTAAGTGAATCCTAAGCATGACTTACAAGACTCCTTTTCGGATGATTAAAAGAAAGAAAGAAACTAATGAGAAGATCACTTCATTTGTAGCAAACATTTCAGGCAGTTTCCTTCCAAGATCTTTTAAAGAAAACCCAGAGGTGTGAAATGGGTCTCTCCACAATGGTATCTCCAAATCAGAAAATACAAGAGGCCACATATCTTAAAGAAGAGTGTGGGATGATCAGTAGAACCTAAACCTGGAGATCAATGGGATTGGGTGTAGTGGTTGAGTGTGTGTGGGGTGTGTGTGTGTGTGTGTTTGCTGGGTGGAGAGCTGATGCTGGAGAATGATGAGAATAAGGGTAGGTAGTAGCCAGACGGTAAAACATTTATAAGAATTTTGTACATTTCCTGATGGCAATGAAGAATGATTGAAGAGTTTTAAGCAAAGCCCTGACTCAATGGAACTTGCCATTTCAGAATGATCTCTCAAGTTACAGCATGGAAAAAGAGGTGGAGGGCACACCAGAGATGCCAAGACCAGTGACGAGGCTACTGTAACAATTCAGGATAGACATGACAGTGGAAATGTGGACAGAAAGAGAGATATTAAAGTGGTAGAAATGGCTTTATATCCATGAATTTGGAGGCAGAGAAAAATACCTTTAAAGGATTCTAACCTCCCAAGAGTAGCACATTGCTCTGTTTTGGGGAGACGAACGAAGGATGGAGCATTACATGCTTAGTGGCCTCTACAAATGCTGAGAACTTTTCCAGGAAGACTAAGGTCCTCTGTGTGCAAGTAAAATGAGCTTTGCCTTCTCCTTAGGTTCTGACAAAATGGACAAACTGGTGTGACCCCGTGAGGGACATGACCTATTTAAAGAGCTTTCCAGCATGAGAAGGAAAGTCAAGTGTTACCAACCTACTGAAAGTAACCTCTACTTTCAGTAGCTTTCCTCAACCCTAGTACCAAGGGCAGTGAGCCAGGCATAGATGCATGCCAGGAGAATCCTTTATGACTCTGCCAAGCAGGGCAGTGGACCAACGTGGAAATAACGACATGTTAGCTGTAGTAGATAGGTCATGTGTGATGTCAGAAGCCTGGCCACGAACCCTTTGTAGCACCTCCTCCACAAGCACCGTGCCAGCCCATGCTTCTGCAGGGTCAGACTAGGGTCCTCACATGGACCTCCTTCTGAGCTGCGATTTCCTACTGACTGATCTTTCCTAGCATATTTCTGCTGGAATAATTTGTCCCAAACCCACACATTAGAGATGACTGAGTTTTTCTTTTTAAAAGCAGAACTTCATATCAGATAGCAGCCCTGTGTTGTGATTTTTTCATCTGCCAATTCCTCCTCCAAACCTCCAGTAGATCCATTTTCTATCCTTCTGCACTCTGCCCTGTGTCCTCTATCACCCCAGGCTCTCTTTCCAGATGGTTTCTGGTTGGGTTCAGCCAATGGGACTATTGGCAGGAGATTGGAAAGGGAAGGAAAGAGACCAGGCCCATCTCCCTCTCTGCTTCCCAGCTTTGGTACTTTATCTTTGGCCTTTCTCCATGACTGTTGCTCTCACAGAGTGGTTCCTCCTCCACCAGGGGTCCAAGTCCTGAGAGTCCATGAACACCCTTTTCTCCCTATATTGCTCCAGCCCTAGGGGAAGTGACAGCTTCCCACTGTTGCTGGTCTCTGGACACCTCCTTATCCCTTATTTGCCCCCTGTACCCAGCCTACCCCTCTGGAAGTGGTCTTTTTATGTATTTATTTTAATTTAAACCATCTGCACTGAATTCTGTTTCCTGCTGGGACTCTGATGGGTGGAAATACAATTCCATAAATCCAGTGTGTCATCTGCATAGTTTGTGGTGCTTTGCCTCATGTTGAACATCGGTGACATGAAAATTATAGGATAGGATGCTAACTCCTATTAGGACTTACATGTTTTCTTGTATACACTCACCTTTGCAATGATTTGTTCTAATCTCTTAAGAATACTCACATGCATGCTTTGAGATTCCATGGCAATTTTTCACCTTTTCCAAAGCAAAAAGAGCTGGCCTCAGAGTAGCCGTTATAACTTCCCTTTTGAATCTGAGATACAGACCTCAATATCACATCTCAAGTTTAACAACCGTGGTCAGGCTGCAGTTCTGGTCTATTCTAGGGTGGGGATTTAATTTGAGATGGATGACATGGAGGCTGCACTTTAATCTCAACTGTTCAGAATACTTCCTATAAACATAACTCAAATCCCAACTCGGGATCCCCACTGCCTGAGCAAATGAGCAAGCTGTCTGTTTGACTCCTGGGCCAACAGGATACAAAACAGACACTTGGCCAGTTTTCACATAAAATCTAATCAGCCCTAACATTCACGAGCTCTATAGACTTAGCTAAAGGAGTGTTAAATCAAGTGTAGCCTCAAGCTGTCTCCTTACATATTTTAAGTTCTGCCTAAAGGTTTTTCTGTACATCGTGAACTATAACAAGTGAAGGTGTAAACAGACTGTAGCCTACACTTGTGCCAGTCAACAAGTTTTGGCCAATCAAATGTGACCAACTGCTCAAACCGTGTTCAAATAAGGCAAACGCCGACTTATAACCAATCCTGCTGTTTTTGTGCCTTACTTCCATTTTCTGCGTATCCCTGTCCTTTTTCTGTCCATAAATCTTCTTCCACCACGTGGCTGTGTGGGAGTCTCTGAGCCCATTCTGGCTCGGGAGGCTGCCCAATTCACGAATCATTCTTTGCTCAATTAAACTCTTTTAAATCTAATTCAGCTGAAGTTTTTCTTTTACCAGGGATAACATCCAATCAGGTGCAGCCTCCTACTTATTTAAAATAAGCAAACACACTTTACATATTTACCATCTGAGTCCTCACACCATATATTCCTAGTCACATGAAAGAGAAGCTGTAAATACACAACTGGAACACAGATCTCCTCTCCATAAACCACTCTTTCCAGGAGGCTAAACTCTTGGGTGGAAGCCAGTAACATCTTGTCTGGGATGCCCCTAGACATGCATTATGGTGCTTGGAATAAAAACAGGAGCTGTTATTCTCCCAGGTAGAGAATGTCTGTATCTTGTAAGCTCCAGATTAGATCGATAACAAACACACTTTCCTCATGGTTCTTTCTTCAGGGAGTGTCCAGTTTCCCCATCTGGAAGACCTTTTCCAAAACTGTTCAAAAAGCTTGTTCAATGCTTAGTTTACACAAGGAGTGTCTACTAGCTGTTTCTACTTCACAGTGATATTGCCTTCATTTTGAACCCCTAAGCATTCTATAATGCCACAATCACACTTAAACCTTGTGCCTCTGTCTCTTTATCCACAGACTGAATTGAGCTCCTCAACATCAATGTATTTTCCTTTTCTTTTTGCCCACTTTTGTTCCCAGTCACAAAATAGGTATGGTATAAATTATGGATCTGTGCAGTGATGTGATAATGCCTATATCCCAAAAGATGTGTATATGTGTGTGTATATATATATATATATATATATATATATATACACTTATGTATATATACACACATATATGTTATATGTATATATTTTTTAAATTGTCTATTTGATTTGTTATTATTATTATTATTATTATTATTATTATTATTATTGAGATGGAGTCTTGCTCTGTTGCCCAGGCTGGTGTGCAGTGGTGTGATTTTGGCTCACTGCAACCTCTGTCTCCCAGGTTCAAGCAATTCTCCTGCCTCAGCCTCCTGAGTAGCTCGGATTATAGGTGCTTGCCATTATGCCCGGCTAATGTTTGTATTTTTTTTTTCTTTGAGGCGGAATCTCACTCATCGCCCAGACTGGAGTACAGTGGCACGGTTTCGGCTCACTGCAACCTCCGCCTCCTGGGTTCAAGAGATTCTCCTGCCTCAGCCCCCCGAATAGCTGAGATTACAGGCACACGCCACCACGCCCAGCTGATTTTTGTATTTTTAGTAGAGACGGGGTTTCACCACATTGGCCAGGCTGGTCTTGAACTCCTGGCCTCATGTGATCTGGCTGCCTCGGCCTCCCAAAGTGCCAGGATTACAGGCATGAGCCACTGTGTCCGGCCTAATGTTTGTATTTTTAGTAGAGACAAAGTTTCACGATGTTGGCTAGGCTGGTCTCGAACTCCTGGCCTCATGTGATCCACCTGCCTTGGCCTCCCAAAGTGCTGGGATTACAGGCGTGAGCTACCGCACCCAGCCTGACTTATTATTAATAGCTAGTCTGGTGGGTAAAATAAATTCTTAGAAAAATAAAATATAAATGCTTTCCATTATCTGAAATAATATTGGCTCAAATGATAAAGTTGCATTTAACATTTAGGAATTAGTTGACAATCACCTTAAAATAATACTTTGATAAATGCATGCAATGACATAAATTTTTTATATTAAAAATTTATGTCGAGATTTATGTCTTCTCTACTGGGTTTTAATTTAGTCTGTGATTTAATTTAATGTCTAAGTTTTTGTAGTTATCACAGAATCTAGCATAATGCTTTGCACATAATAGATACGAAACCTGTTGTGTGAATAACAAATACACATTATTGAGATCCAATGTCCTGCCATGTCCCTGCTATTCTCTTACCAAGTTTTATTAATGCAATTTTTTTTTCTCCTTTCATCCACCGTCCCTCATACTATAGTGAATTCTTTTTTCTTTTTCTTTTTTTTTTTTTTTTTTTGAGACAGAGTCTTGCTCTTTCGCCCAGGCCAGACTGCAGCGGCACTGTCTCGGCTCACTGCAAGCTCCGCCTCCGGGTTCAGGCCATTCTCCTGCCTCAGCCTCCTGAGTAGCTGGGACTACAGGCGCCTGCCACTGCGCCCGGCTAATTTTTTTGTATTTTTAGTAAAGATGGGGTTTCACCGTGTTAGCCAGGATGATCTCGATCTCCTGACCTCGTGATCCACCCGCCTCGGCCTCCCAAAGTGCTGGGATTACAGGCGTGAGCCACCGCGCCCAGCCCTATAGTGAATTCTTATAATTTTATGTTGCCTTGGCGTCCATTTTTTGAATACAAGTTTAGCTTTCTCATACCAGAAGCAGGCTCAGTCACCCTGGACAGTTTCCAGTTCTACGCCACACCCAAATGGCTCGAGCTGGAGGCCAGCCTCAAGAACTTAGAGGGATCTCTGCTTCCTACCACACTGGGCTCCCTACTTTTCTGCTGCTTCACTTCCTTTAAAGGGACTATTCAGGCATTTGCCCACGAACTTAAAGTGACCCACATCCTATCCCCTTATCCATACTGCCAGTTGCCACGTTTTTCCTCTCTCCTTCTCTGCCTGACTCTTCATTCCTGCCCTCTGTAAGCTGGGGACACAGGACTGCCCTCCCGATTAATTATGCTCTCCCTGCCCAGAATCTGTAGGTAGAAATATTTGAATTTGTTTCCTATTGTGGTGATGTATTGAATTTGTGCCTTCCAACTCAAGAACTAGAGGCTGGCCCAGGCCAAGTTGTCCCCAAGACACTGGAGAGAACACGAGGTCGAGCTGCCATCACAGGACAATGGTCAGGCAGATGTAAACTGGACACAGGTCAGAGAAGACCTGCAAGGGTGCCCACCAGTACAAACAGTTTCCTATGTTTGGAGTCTCCTGATGGTAGGTTGGACAATTAGGCGTTAGGCTGCCTGCCAGTTGAAAGAAGTATCTGTGAAAGGCACACTTGTAGACACCCACATCCAGCTCCCCTTCATTTCCTCATAGGGCAGGTTTGCTAGCCACTCTTGTACTAGAACCCCAATTTAGCCATGGAATCTCAAAACATACAGCCATGGAAATGTATCTGAACTAGGCCTTGTTCTCATGGTTCTAGAAACAGTTAGCTGTGATGACAAATGTACGCCAGCTCGTATGGTCAATAAGTTAAGGTGATTTTAGGTCCCGTAGCAGATCAACCATTGAAGCTCTATGGCTTAACACAAAATAATTTTACTCTATACTCACATGAAATCCAATATGGGTGACTCTAACTGGCAGGTGACTCTTCTTGATGTAATGACACCCAGGTTTGTTCCATGTTGTGACTCACCTTTTTTCAACATGTGACTTCCGAGGTTACTTGCTTGTCTGCCTCAAGCCAATGGAAGAGCAAAAAACATTG
The DNA here is from genome assembly GCF_000001405.40 of Homo sapiens. Taxonomy (NCBI): domain Eukaryota; kingdom Metazoa; phylum Chordata; class Mammalia; order Primates; family Hominidae; genus Homo; species Homo sapiens. The sequence continues at coordinate 11,118,044 of NC_000017.11, read as the reverse complement.
AGATTCATGCGTTAAGAGATTTTTAGAGACCAGGCTTGGAAGTGGTGCTCATCACTTTAGCTCAAACAGCATTGGCGGGCCAGGCACGGTGGCTCATGCCTGTAATCCCAGCACTTTGGGAGGCCAAAGCAGGTGGATTACTTGAGGTCAAGAGTTCCAGACCAGCCTGTCAACGTGGTGAGACCCCGTCTCCAACTAAAAATACAAAAATTAGCCGGGCATGGTGGTGCACACTTGTGATCCCAGCTACTCGGGAGGCTGAGGCAGGAGAATCGCTTGAACCCTGGAGGTGGAGGTTGCAGTGAGCCGAGATTATGCCACGGCATTCCAGCCTGGGTGACAAGAGCGAAACTCCGTCAAAAAAAAAAAAAATCCTAGACATAAAGACTCCTTTAATGTTGGTATTACCTAACTGAGATTTGATAGAACTGAGATATCTAACAGAGGTTTTAAAGTTGCTTATTGTGGCATGAATGATATAAATCCTTCATCCATATGATATTCAATAATATTTTCCTTGCTCAGGAAAGTCTTTGTGAACATACATTATTTTATAAGTATTGAAGAGAATGTCCTAGTTCTCATGTTGTTCAACATGGTGAAGAGCAAAGACAATATTCAAGTTTAAAAAAAAAAAAAACTTGAGAATAGTGAAGAGTGTCCCTAAGAATCAGTGTAATTTGTAGGAAGCACTCCAGAGTTCCATAGGCTATAGAATTGCTAGAGATAAGAATAAATGATAAAATTAAGAGCATGAGTTAAGAGCATCTCGGACATCAGACAGGTGAACAGCACCACTTCATCCATAATGTTCTCCAAGCTAAAATTCTTAGTGTCATCTGTTTATTAATGTATCTATAACAGTTCTGACTGGGTCTCACTCTGTTGCCCAGGCTTGAGTGCAGTGGCAGGATCATAGCTCACTACAACCTCCATCTCCTGAGCTCAAGCAATTTTTGTGCCCCAACCTCCCAAGTAGCTGGGACTACAGGTGCACGCCACCATGCCTGACTAGTATTTTTAAAATTTTTTTAGAAACGGAGTCTCACTATGTTGCCCAAGCTGGTCTTGAACTCCTGGACTCAAGGAATCTGTCTGCCTCGGCTTTCCAAAGTGCTGGTATACAGGCGTGAGCCACTGCACCCTCCTATCAATCTATCTATAAAGAAATATTGGTCAGGCACAGTGGCTCACTCCTGTAATCTCAGCATTTTGAAAGGCCAAGGTGGGGGGATTCCTTGAGCTCAGGAGTTCGAGACCAGCCTGAGCAACATAGTGAAACCTCATCTCTACAAAAAATCAAGAAAATTAGCCAGGCAAGATGGCACACACCTGTGGTCCCAGCTACCCAGGAGGCTGAGGTGGGCAGGTCACTCGAGCCCAAGAGGTTGAGGCTGTCATGAGCTATGGTCATGCCACTGCACTCCAGCCTGGCTGACAGAGTAAAGCCTTGTCTCTCTCTCTTTCTCAAAAAAGAAATATTTATCAAGTGAATGAATCACTGTTTCCTGTCTTTGCCTTACCTGCTTCATCTAAATGATACCTAAATCCTGTTGTTTTTAACTTCTTTGTGTCCCTCAAACCTATTTTCTCTATCCCTACCTTATCCATGCTGAAGAGAGAAATGGAGGAACTCCCTATTCAGTCTCCCTGGCTCCAGTCATCCCTTCTTCCAATCCATCAAATCAGTCTTCCTAAAATGCAAATCCAATCAAGTCACTTCCTTGCTCAAAACTCTTCAGTGGCTCCCAATTGCCCTCAGTCTTCTTCTTATTATTATTATCCTTTTTTTTTTTTTTTTGAGACAGAGTCTCACTCTCTCGCCAGGCTGGAGTGCAGTGATGCGATCTCAGCTCACTGCAACCTCCGCCTCCCAGGTTCAAGTGATTCTCCTGCCTCAGCCTCCTGAGTAGCTGGGACTACAGGTGCGCGCCACACGCCCAGCTAATTTTTGGATTTTTAGTAGAGATGGGGTTTCACCATGTTGACCAGGATGGTCTCGATCTCTTGACCTCGTGATCTGCCCGCTTCGGCCTCCCAAAGTGCTGGGATTACAGGTGTGAGCACCGCAGCCAGCTCCTCAATCTTATTAAAATGACTTACAGGGAGATTACTCCTGATTTGGCATCATTTATTTTAACTTTCCAGACTTACCATCTGCCAGTCTCAACCTCAGTGTTCACACAGTGTGCTCCTGCACTACAGTAAAATAAATTCAATCACCCCATATGCTCTTTTACCTTTGGGTCTCAACTACTTCCTGATTTTCTTACCCATGGGACTCAAACATGTCCTGTTCTCTCTTGCTTGGGACTTTACCAAAGCACCCTTTCCTACTCTCTCCATTCCATAAGAAACTCCTACCTACCTGCAGGTATCAGCTAGATGCTATGTCACCCCTGAAGTAATTCTTGGCTCCCCTGAAGTGTAGGTTTCCCTCTTCTGTGCCTTCATTGCTTCCAAAGCACCTGTCATGTCATATTGCATTTGTTGGTTTATTGTCTGTATCCTTTACTGGACTGATACAGACACACTCTGTAAGGGCTTGCTCTATCTTTGCATCAGTCATGGTCTAGTAAGAAAAACAGCCAACACCAGTAATTTTAACAGAAGGAATTTAATACAAGGAATTGGATAAGTAGGCATTGGAGGACTGAAAAGACCAAGACGGCAACACTGAGATGGCACAGGTAGAGTAACCGTGGGAAGCAGCTACCACCCTAAGGCTAGAAAGAAGAAAAGAAGAAACTCGTAGTCTGTGGGAGGCGCCCTGCAGAGCTGGGACCAGATCGCCAGGCAGAGGATATTTCCTGGCTGGTGCTGGTGCCTCAGCAGCCTCCAAGAGCGGCCCATTCAGCTTGGAGGAGGGACCTAGAGCCATGGCCATGCTAGCTAGCTGGAGCTGTTATCTCCTAGTAGGAGGAAGGGAGGGAGGACAGGAGTGGAGAGCAAGATGAGGCTGGTTTGGGGAGTGTGTGGGCAAAGTTGGTACTAACTGTAGGGTAAAAACCATTGTTTGGCGATGCTAACAAAAACAGCAGCAACTTTGGGAGGCCGAGATGGGTGGATCTCGAGGTCAGGAGATCGAGACCATCCTGGCTAACACGGTGAAACCCCGTCTCTACTAAAAACACAAAAAAATAAAATTAGCCGGGTGTGGTGGTGGGCGCCTGTAGTCTCAGCTACTCGGGAGACTGAGGCAGGAGAATGGCGTGAACCTGGGAGGTGGAGCTTGCAGTGAGCCGAGATCGCACCACTGCACTCCAGCCTGGCGAGAGAGCGAGACTCCGTCTCAAAAAAAAAAAAAAAAAAAAGCAGAAGCAAACAGGAAGACATGGGCTTCCACTTCTTCTTCCAAGCTCCCCCTAGTCCTCCCTGTTGGCAGAGCCTAGTGGGAGCCCACTGTCAGGACTGTACATCCAGGGTCACAAAGAGTGGGTTTGTATCTGACAGCTAATAGCTTAAGATAATAGAGACCCGTTCACAGTGATTGGGACCTATTAAGCACTCTAAATACTTATGAAATAGGTGAGCGAATTGAAAATGGGCATTTAGGCCGGGGGTAGTGGCTCACGCCTGTAATCCCAGCACTGTGGGAGGCCAAGGCAGGCAGATCAAGAGGTCAGGAGTTCGAGACCAGCCTCACCAACATGGTGAAACCCTGTCTCTGCTAAAAACACAAAAAGTAGCTGGGCGTGGTGGCACACGCCTGTAATCCCAGCTACTCAGGAGGCCGAGGCAGGAGAATCGCTTGAACCTGGGAGGTGGAGGTTGCAGTGAGCCAAGATCGCACCACTGCACTCCAGCCTGGGCGACAGAGTGAGATTCCGTCTCAAAGAAAAAAAAAAAAAGAAAAGAAAAGAAAAAGAAAAGAAAAGAAAAGAAAAGAAAATGGGCATTTAAACCTCTGTCCCCAGAAACTGACCAAAATGATTAGAGAGAAGTATCAATAAAGGGAAAGCTCCAAAACTCTCAACAAATGGCAGAAACAAAGGAATGGTACTAACCACGCTTGGTGCCAGCCAACCACTGTGCATGCTTACTTCTGGGTAAAGAGCAGGCTCTGCCAAACTCAAGAAAGACACAAGGAATCAGTGGATAACTTCCCTGCCTGAGAAGGCTGTGCAACTTTCTGAGAAACAGAAAATTCTGACAAATCCAGCTGATATCCCTTAAATAAGGTCGTGGATAAGCTGTAGGAGAACTGTGTGCTGTGTTAACAGCATCCCCAGACCATGCTCATGGTTAGAAAGAAAGCTCGTGGGATGGCTTTTCTCTGACACAGTTTAGGCTTTCTCTGGAGTGCACAGATGGTGAGTGAGAGAGGAGGACATAGAGAACGTCCTCTACGGTGTTGGGTGAGGTCTGAAGAGAGGGCAAACCAGGAGACCTTTGGCAATTACTCTACTGAGAACTGTTTCTTCACCTCGAACTAGTGAGAACAACTATGGAAAGCAGAGCCTTTAGCTAACAAGTAACTGGATCACTTCGAACTGAGATTGTGTTTTCAGAATTGGGAGACAATAATCAGCTCCCAAGGAGGAGAAAGGAGACAAACCCACTTGGTGTTTACATAATGAAGTTCATCCAAACAGGAAAGCTTGCAGAGAAAGCTTGTTCCTAGTGCTGCTAATCCAATGAACACAAAGAAAATAAAGTATGCAAGTCAGTCCTTCTGATGGAAATGTCATGAACTCAGCTCCCATCTCTACCTCTCTAAGGACAGCGCCCAGGTAAATAGTGAGTGGTCCCCAAGAGCATCCGCCATTCAGTTCAGTGGAAATGATTTACCTGCATTGATCTGAATACATTAAAGGAACAGTAAACAGCAGAGCAAACACAAGCCATGCAAATTATAAATTAGAAATCATGGCAACATTTACCCTAAGGAATCAAAAAAAGGTTAAACGACAGCTACCCAGGATTTTTTTCAAGTGGATTCTGAAAATAAGATGGCAAGATGATTAGGTTAAGAAAAAAATTGTTACAGGAGATTTAAAGAAAAAGGTAGCACATGCCTGTAATCCCAGCACTATGGGAGGCTGAGGCAGGAAGATGTCTGAAGTGCAGGAGTTTGACACCAGCCTGGGCATCACAGAGAAACTCTGTCTCTACAAAAAAAAAAAAAAAAAAAAAATTAGCCGGGCGTGGTGATGCACACCTGTGGTGTGGACCCAGCTACTTGGGAGACTGAGATGGGAGGATCACTTAAGCCCAGGAGGTTGAGGCTGCAGTGAGCCAAGATTGTGCCACTGCACTCCAGCCTGGGTGACAGAGGGAGAACTTGTCTAAAAACAAAACAAGACAACAAAACAAAACAAACAAACAAACAAACAAACAAAACCTTTAGAATATATATAGATACACTTTAGAGTCAATAGCAGGAATTAGAAGCAAAAATGAAAATAACAAAGCTGCAAAAATTGAATTATATGATGTGAATAATCTTGAAAAAAATCTCCCATAATTCAGAGCAAGAGAACAGAGGTAGATGTAATCAGAAATTATATGACAGATAAAAGGTAGACAGTGGCAATTCAATAATATAGATAATCAGCATTCCTGAAGAAGAGGACAAAATAAAAGAAGCAAAAATATTTTCGGCTGGGCGCAGTGGCTCACACCTGTAATCTCAGCACTTTGGGAGGCTGAGGCAGGCGGATCACGAGGTCAGGAGATTGAGACCATCCTGGCTAACATGGTAAAACCCTGTCTCTACTAAAACTACAAAAAATTAGCCAGGCGTGGTGGCAGGCGCCTGTAGTCCCAGCTACTCGGGAGGCTGGGGCGGGAGAATGGCCTGAACCTGGAAGGCAGAGCTTGCAGTGAGCCGAGATGGCGCCAGTGCACTCCAGCCTGGGCGACAGAGCGAGACTCCGTCTCAAAAAATATATATTTTTTTTTCAAAGACCTATGGAAAGAAAACTCTCTAAAATTCAGGGAAAATCTGAACTTATGTATCAAAAGAATTCACCAATTCTTACCCAAAATTAACAAAAAGAAGCAAACTAGTTATAGTGTAGTCATATACTGTATTCATATGCTAGCATATTCATATACTAGTCATATTCTGGTGACAATGTTATTTCAACAATAAGAAAGCCTACCATCATCTAGATAGAATGAATGAGTTACCTGCAAAGAAAAAGAAATTGAGCCAACCTCAGATTTTTCTTCAATGTTAAGTGCCAGAAAATAATAAGAAATGTTTAGAAAATTTTGAGAGTAAAAGCTTGAGACACAAGAATGTCCTTCCTTGTGAAACTACTATTTCCAGGTGAAAGGAGATGATACACACCAACCGAGGGAGCATATGACCAACATACTCATCCATAAAAATCTGCTCAGGAAGGTAATAAGCCGGTGAGAGAGGAATAAGTATGCAAAGCTGATAAATAGAGTAGTGATAATATAAAGAACTTGCCAATGGGTACTTGTCTTAGTCTATTCATGCTGCTATAACAAGGTACCCTAGACTGGATGACTTATTTTTATTTTTTATTTTATTTTTTTCTTTTTCTTCTTTCTTTTTTTTTTTTTTTTAAATGGAGTCTTGCTCTGTTGCCCAGGCTGGAGTGCAGTAGCACGATCTCAGCTCACTGCAACTTCCATCTCCCGGGTTCAAGCAATTCTCCTACCTCAGCCTCCCAAATAGCTGGGACTACAGGCATGTGCCACTGTGCCTAGCTAATTTTTGTATTTTTAGTAGAGACGGGGTTTCCCCATATTGGCCAGGCTGGTCTCAAACTCCTGATCTCATGATCCACCTGCCTCAGTCTCCCAAAGTGCTGGGATTACAGGCCTGAGCCACCGTGCCTGGCCTTCTTTTAATTTTTTAAATTAATTAGTTAATTAATGAATTTAGTTTACTTTAACTTCTGGGGATAACTGTGCAGAATGTGCAGGTTTGTTGCATAGGCATACATATGCCATAGTGGTTTGCTGCACCTATCAACCCATCATTTAGGTTTTAAGCCTCACATGCATTAGGTATTTGTCCTAATGCTCTCCTTCCCCTTGTCCCCCACCCCTCAAAAAGTCCCAGTGTGTGATGTTCCCCTCCCTGTGTCCATGTGTTCTCATTGTTCAGCTCCCACTTATGAGTGAGAACATGCGGTGTGGTTTTCTGTTCCTGTGTTGTGTTGCTGAGAATGGTTTCCAGCTTCATCCATGTCCCTGCAAAGGACATGAGCTCATTCTTTTTTATGGCTGCATAGTATTCCATGGTGTTTATGTGCCACATTTTCTTTATCAGCTGGATGACTTATAAACAGCACAGAGTTACTTTTCAGTGTTCTGGAAAGGTGGGAAGTTCAAGATCAGAGTGACAGCAGATTCAGTGTCTGGTGAGGATTCACTACCTGGCTCACAGATGGCACCTTCTATCTGTGTCCTCCCATGGTGGAAGGTGAGAACTCTGGTCTCTTCAGTCCCTGAAAAAGGCACCAATCCCTAACCACCTTCCAAAGACCCCACCTCCTAAAACCATCACATTGAGGGTCAGGACTTAAATTTATGAATTGTTGGGGGAAACAACCATTTAGACCATAGCAGGACTAATTCATGTACATATAGAACCATGTCTAAATGACTGTAGCAAATGTGGTCATAAAAACAATGAAAATAATACAATTATTGAAAGAAAAAATAGAGAATGTAAAAGTAATGATAATACTAGAACTAGGCTGGGCGCGGCAGCTCACGCCTGTAATCCCAGCACTTTGGGAGGCCAAGGTGGGTGGATCACCTGAGGTCAGAGTTCGAGACCTGCCTGGAGAACATGGTGAAACTCCATCTCTACTAAAAAAAAAAAAAAAAAAGAAAGAAAGAAAAAAAAAATTAGCCGGACATGGTGGTGGGCGCCTGTAATCCCAGCTACGTGGGAGGCTGGGAGGCTAAGGCAGGAGAATCGCTTGAACCCGGCAGGCAGAGGTTGCAGTGAGCCGAGGTCATGCCACTGCACTCCAGTCTGGGTGACAGAGCAAGACTCCGTCTTAAAAAATAACAGCAACAACAATAATAATAATAGAACAAGACAGACAGTCCTAAAACTCTGAAAGATAAGACAGAGGAAGTAGGCCAGGGGAGGCTGAAAGAAAGGAAAAGTGCTCACTTCGTCTTTGCACCAGGAGGAGTCAATAATGACAATAATGACTGTTACATTATTAAAGTTGAAACTTCAGGAAATCCAGATTTTAAGTGCAATTTTTTTTTTTTTTTTTTTTTTTTTTTGAGACGGAGTCTCGCTCTGTTGCCCAGGCTGGAGCGCAGCGGCGCAATCTCAGCTCACTGCAAGCTCCGCCTCCCGGGAATCCTTCCATTCTCCTGCCTCAGCCTCCCTAGTAGCTGGGACTACAGGCGCCCGCCACCACGCCTGGCTAATTTTTTGTATTTTTAGTAGAGACGGGGTTTCACTGTGTTAGCCAGGATGGTCTCGATCTCCTGACCTCGTGATCCACCCGCCTGGCCTCCCAAAGTGCTGGGATTACAGGCGTGAGCCACTGTGCCCGGCCTTAAGTGCATTATTTAATGATTCGGAAGTGAGTACTGGTAGAACTTACAATAGATAAAGTGTGCTTGTCACATGACCAGAGAGATAATAAATGAGAGACAACACAGATGATATCTAAGGAAGTGCTTTTCAAGCTATAATGTGCATGCAAATCGCCTGGGATCTTGTTGAAATGAACATTTGGATTCACTTGGTGTGGGGGGGACCTGACGCTGCATTTCTAAGGAGCTCCCAAGTTATGCTGCTGCTGCTGGCCAGCAGCCACACTTGTAGAAGAACTTGATGACAGCAGTGGATCCACACAGTCCTAAGTTCTGCAAACCCTGTTCATAGATGCTTCCAAAACACTAGACTTCTTAGCGAGCTGGAACACACTCTGCAGCTTTCTACCTCCGTGCCTTTAGCCACATAGGCTCTCCTATCAGTAAATCCCCTCCAACAACCTCCACTGTCACCATTCTACTGAACAACCTAAGGCAAGTTCTATTCAAATCATACTCTCCCCAGAAGCCCTCCCCTGTACCCTGGGCTAATGACCTTTGCCACATGGAGCTACCCACATTCTACCACACTATCAATTCTGTGTACATGTTGTGTTTCCCTTATGGGAAACAAGTATTTTCTTTCTATTCCACACCATTTACTTGTAATACTGAAATCACGACCTTAGTTGCATTCATTGCTCAATTAAATTAAGTTGAATTAAGTTAATTGAGAAATAAGTGCATGGTTATTGGCTAGAGAATTATATGGAAGCAGAGAGAACTTGCAAATGCCATCTCAGGTAGCACCTTTTTCGGCAGATTGATCTGTCATTGTCTCTGGAGTCTCTGAGCAGTAATCAGGAGAGTCAGTCCAGACAGTTTGACCTATGTACCAAGCAAAACTCTTCAAGATTCAGAACATAGGAGAAAAAAGCATCTTGTTGATAACTTTTTCATCTTGTTTCAAACATTTCCTTTGGCTTGACATATATACCCAATAAATACGAGCCCACTAAGAATTAATTTCCTTAACATTTATAAGTAATTTCTTTCATTCCCTTAATAACACATTTTCATTTTTCTTTGTCCAATTTCTAACACCTATCTCAGCCTATATTTAAAAAGAGCTGGAAAACGAAAACAGAGAGCCAAAAATATAAAAGTCATTCAAATGAATTTCAAGTTTGTTTTAATCACATTTCATCAGACTACTTGGGGAGAAATGCTATTATATTAACAGATGACAGGAAAATGCTATTCAAAGTCTTTGTGTTCATTTCTTCTCCATTAGGAATATTATATCCAAAGAAGGAAGGCTAGGCTAACCATGAATATGAAACATGTAATGCCTCAGATGGGAAGAAATCTAGTAAGAGAGCTGCTTGCCAGTCTTAATGAATTTAAGGGACTTGGGCCTTATAAACTGCAGCCTGTAAAATGAAAGGTATGTGCAGATGTGACTGAAGACTCGAAGCCTTCTCTGAAAAGTTATGAAGGACGGGAAGCATGATTGACATCTCAGAATGGGGAAACACCGTCCTGATTTCCCAAATGGGGGAAATGTAGATTCTTCAAAATAAAGACTAGCTCACCCTGACAAAATTCCGGAATGGGTTAGTTAAAAGTAATTTATCCATTACATTGAAATTATTTGTAATAAATTCAGAAGAAATAAGACCAAATGTATCCCTGATTTACGCCTGAAAACCTCCAAGTGCGCTCCAGAAGACTCTTCACAATTCTCACAGTTCTGTGCGCACAACAGGCATTTAAGAAGTATTCTTGAAAGAAGATATGATTCGGTTTTGGCTATAGAAAATGTGGATCTGGAAAATCAAGGGACTAAGGTATCAAATGTTTATTATCCCAAGAAAAGATGTAGCATAGATTTTATGTTATTTTGATGGGATAGACTTAACCAAATGCACTGCAAGTTAATGGAAAAATGTCAGAATAGAAAGGCTGTTTTTTAGCTGCTTCCCATGAATTTGAGTGGCCTCCCACTCTCGTCCTAGCCTTTACCTTAATAACTTTGAGTCATCCTTTAGTCCCCAATATAAATATTCCTTCTCTGACTACGCCCCTCCTCATGATTGCTTTGGCCCCACCCGGGCTTTGCAAAAGTTTTCCAATATTGAAGATTTCTTTTCTTTGTCAAATACTTTCAATTAGACCTTAAAAATCCCTCTTTTATGTGAAGTAGGATGATCAACTGCTCTGATTTGCTCAGGACTAGAGGGTTTCCCAGGATGACAGATGAATGTTCAGTGCTAAAACCAGGTAAGTCTTGAGTGAATGGAGACACGTTTGTTACTCTAATATGAAAAATTCTTGCCTCCTTACTCACTTCCCCCAAAGCTTTGCTTCTCTCCTTCCTCTTTTGATTGAGCAAGCTCAAGTACCAAGAAAGCTAGATGGGAGAAACTCCACTTGTCAGCAGGGTCCACCTTTTGAGATACTATAGGCTGGAGGATGAATTTGTCTCAAGTGGGAGGTGTCCTGAAACAAGCCATCCCTTCTTTTGTTAAGTTTGTGCCATTGAGTTGAGTTATCGTGAAAGACACCTGTAAAGGACACAAAAAAGTGGGGGTGTGAGAGCCAGGGTAGATCTTGCTCTTGTTGTCATGCTGGTCCAAAAGAATGTTAATTTAAAGACATTCACTTGGATTAGCAGATTCAGAAAGTGGAAAGCATCGATTTCAAGTTTCTAAGAACTCAGTTCTCTCAAATCAGGACTCACTAGAATAGTATCTCATAAAAGCAATGGAAGAACACTCCTCATTGGCTGCTTATATCATGGAAAAGCTAAAGTCCCTATCCTCTGATAAGCTTGTAAAGTTCAAGTTCTCCTCTGGGAAAGTTTTGTGTTTGTATTTTTGTTTTTTATTCAGAGTCTCGCTCTGTTGCCCAGGCTGGAGTGCAGTGGCATGACCATGACTCACTGCCACCTGACGCTCCTGGGCTCAAGCAAACCTCCCATTTCAGGCTCTAGAGTAACAGCTGTGCACCATCATGCCTGGATAATTTTTGTATTTTTGTAGAGACAGGATCTCACTATATTTCCCAGGCTGGTCTTGAACTCCTGGCCTCCAGCAGTCTTCCTGCCTCAGCCCCACAAAGTACTGGGATTACAGGTATGGGAAAGCTTTATATTATGACCATGGCCAGGACAGGAGTTTTGAGAGTAGAGGTTGGGAGAAGAAGAGAGAACTAGAAGGTAAACCTCAAGTTAAGAATCAAAGAAGTATAGTGAAGTGTGAGCCCACTGTAGTCATAAGCCAGGAAGGAGGCAGAGGATAGCCCTGGAGACACCAGCCAGGTGTACTCAGGAAGGGGGCAGGATGTGGAAGGAGCTCCTGGAAGGTAGGGGTGTGGACTGTGAACAGGGCAACCATCGCAGTCATGACCTGGTCCTGACATTGTCACCCACCAGGTTCCCTTTCTTGAGTGAAACAGGATGAGGAGGGCTGGGTGGAAGGCCAGAACATGCTGAGCAGCAACCTGAGGCTGGGAAGCAGCCTTCCACATTGTTATTTCAAACCATGTCCTTCCCAAAGGACTACCCATGAAGGTTGGCTGCACACTGTTTCCAGGCATCTGATATATCACCTGAGACTTGCAAAATCCACGTCAGAAGGTGGCTGGGACCCAGGGAGAAAGGTGTGACCTTAATAGTTGGGGTGGTCATGCAAAATGTGGATTATCAAGCATAGAAGGAAACCAAGGGGATTGTATAGGCCAAGCAGCATCATTGCTTTAACTCTAGTAACCAAAGTATGTTTTGAAGACAGACTTCTACATGGCAGCTTCCTAAATATCAACAAAGTTTTAGAGGCACAGTTGGCCTAATTTTATAGAGGCACTCTCCACAAAATGCAAATTAAAACAATAAGGAGATAGGATTGTGTAGGGCTTTAGAGTATCTATAAAATTTTATTTTTAAAACATCCAAAGCCAATGGCAAAATGTCAACATTTGTCAAATATCAGCAATGAGTACATGGGTATATATTATTTTCTGCAATCTTTTGTGTGTTTGAAATAGGCTATGATGAAATATTTTTTTTTAATTAAAGACAAATGCTACATGTCCCATGGTGTTATCCCTGGCAGTTGAAATCAGAGAGATCAGGTAATGGCCACAGATGGCAACCACCTCCTCCTTCCTATTCAGAATTTTAAATCTTTATTGTGCCAGCTGTCAGAAAATGAACTGTGGAACTCTTGCAAAAATTAGGATAAATTTGCAAGTCTTATCTTTGTCAACCTTGGGGGTTTGCCTGGTTCAAAAGATATTTTTTTTTTGTTTTGTTGGTTTTGATTTAATTCCTGAAAAGCTTGATGGAGCTTATCTTTTCATGTACATTCCCTTGCCAATGCAAATTTGACATGACTGGGTATATGGTCTTGTCTCATGACCATTTAAACTTCATGTGTCCTAGTTATTCCTTGGAAGAAATTATTTGTTGGAGAGTGATTGTTAGGTTAAGAAGCAAGTCTAATGATACCTTTCTTGGCATCACTAAATAAAGGAGTGATTGCTTCCCTCCATGACAAATATGATTCCCAATATAACACATGTTTTGCATAGCAAATATAGACATAACTTTATTATTTAGAAAAAAATAACAAACAGTCTCTAGAAAGAGCCAAGTCCAGCTTTTAGACCTGGTATCAAGTTCTACAACACAGTTGCCCAGAGCATGAATCTGGAAAGTAGCATAAAAGAGGCTCTATCAGTTAGGAGTGGCTTTGGTTGCAAGTAACAGAATGCATGGTTTGGAAAGGCTTAAACATAATGACATTTAGTTATCTCACAGAGCACAGAGTCTGTAGGTGGGCAGCCTGGGACTGGTTCAGCTGTTCAAGAGTCTCATTGTTCAATTCCCACCTATGAGTGAGAACATGAGGTGTTTGGTTTTTTGTCCTTGCAATAGTTTGCTGAGAATGATGGTTTCCAGCTTCATCCCCTGTTGTGGGGTGGGGGGAGTGGGGAGGGATAGCATTAGGAGATATACCTAATGTTAAATGACGAGTTAATGGGTGCAGCACACCAGCATGGCACATGTATACATATGTAACAAACCTGCACGTTGTGCACATGTACCTAAAACTTAAAGTATTAAAAAAAAAAAAAAGAGTCTCAAGGCCCAGATTCTTTCCATTCTTCTGCTCCGTCAACCCAAATATGGTGGCTTGTTATGTTGTAAAATGATTGATGCAGCTATGAGCATCATAGCTGCTTTCAAAGGCAGAAGGCAGGAGCTGGGAAAGATTGAAAGAGATGGGGCTAGAGAAAAAAAAAAAAGACCCTTTTCTCTAATGGTTCTCTTCTTTCAACGACAAAGAAATAGGTTTTTTTCCAGGGTCTCCCAATTAGATTTGATTCAAGATCCGTTCCCTAGGCTTGATACGTTACAGCCTCAGGAACATTTCGTCTCTTTTAGCAAAAAATAAGTGTGGAAGAAGAGCTATTAAATTGGCAATAAAGAGTCTTTCATAGGGACACCTAGGATCCTCATTTTTGGAACTATAAACTAAATATACAGCCTGAAACATCGCATAGCACAGACGTTTTGATTTTCAAACCTAAAATGAGTGAAACACAATGATACTTTTGCTAACAGAGCTATTTAGAAACCTCACAAAATAACGATTTTCAATGTTTGCAGACTTGTTAACGTTTATTGGTTTTTCAAAGATGGCCGCATCTGACTGGAACCAGAGTATTATTTACTCCATTTGCAAAATAAGCAAAACTCTACGCCCCTTGAATTGTAAACCTATTGGTTTGTTGTTCAATCCATCAATATTGTGTTCTCATAATTTGCCTAACAAATTGAAAGTATGGGTTTCTTAGGTCAAAGTTTTACAAGAGCTACAGATAGGCTTAAGACAGAGCTGGTCTCTCATGGACAATTGTTATTATCGACCACCTCCTAGAATGAGAAACCAGGAAACTAGTGAGCGATTAATAGCTTTGATTGATCTTTCTTAGCCTCAGATCGTATAGACTGGAACCAGTTGTGTCTTCTTGACTAGGCTGAACCACGTTTCCTAGCACTCCTTTTCCTGCGTGTTTCTGGTTAGGACAGGCCACAGGAGGAGTCCTGCATGGAGCCCTGGCAAAGTTGACGGCAAACCTCAATTGTAACCTGCCAAGGGAATTGGAACTGAATCATGCATTCTTTTTCTGTTTGTTTAATTGACAAATGAAACATTATATACATTTATGGTATACAATGTGATGTTTTGATATAGTATGCATTGTGGAATAATTAACTCAAGCTAATTAACATAGCCATCACCTGTCACACTTCTCATTTTTTGTGATAAGAACATTTAAAATCTACTCTCTTAGCAATTTTCAAGTATACATTTATTATTAACTATAATTACCATGTTTTACAATATATTTCTGGAATTTATTCCTCCTTTCCAGCTGAAAGCTTGTACCCTTTGACCAATATCTCCCCTTTCCCCAAAATTTCCCCCAGCCCCTGATAACCACTATTCTACTCTCTGCTTTTATACATTTAACTTTTTTAGATTCCATGTATAAGTGAGAATGTGTGGTATTTGTCTTTCTGTGTCTGGCTTATTTCACTTAGCATAATGTCCTTCAGATTCATTGTGTTGCCAAAAATATCATAATTTCCTTTTTTAAAGGTTGAATAGTATTCCATTATGCATATATACCACATGTTTAAAATCCAGAACTGGATCATACATTCTTTAAAGAATACTTATTGAATGCCTGTTACATGCCCAGAACTGTGATGATTGTGAACTGTCTACTGAAGGGCACTTAGAGCTTTTCAGGTGTAAATTGGGGATGTATTTGGTCCTATTTCTTTTTTTTTTTTTTTTTTTTGAGATGGAGTCTCACTCTGTCACCCAGGCTGGAGCGCAGTGGTACAATCTCGGCTCACTGCAACCTCCGCCTCCCGGGTTCAAGCAATTCTCCTGCCTCAGCCTCCTGAGTAGCTGGGATTACAGGACGGCACCACCATGCCAGGCTAATTTTTGTATTTTTAATAGAGATGGGGCTTCACCATGTTGGTCAGGCTGGTCTCGAACTCCTGACCTCGTGATCTGCCCGCCTCGGCCTCCCAAAGTGCTAGGATTACAGGCGTGAGCCACCGCTCCCAGCCAGTCCTATTTCTTTTGAATATATTTCTTTAAATCAGCTACCATTCTTGTATCTATAAAGGAGTAATTGGAGAAACAGAACCACTGAGAGAGATAGATAAGGGATTTGGCCTTACCCAATTGTGGAAGCTGCTTATGTAGCCTCTACAAGGCTGTTATCTTCACATTTAATGCTGGAGCTTGAAGTGCAAAGGGCAGACAGTTGAGAAGAACAGATGGATGTAAAGTGGAGGAAAGTAGGAATGCATGGTAACCCACAAATATGAGCTGGGCCCGTGAGGATGGGCTGAAACCCACGTCAGTTCTTCCTGGTGGGAGTGACCTTCAGAAGCCAGGACACTGCATCCCATTGCTGAACACTCACGCCTGTCCGGGGGCTGAAGGAAGCTCCAGGGGAGCCTGGCCCAGCTGAGTACAGGCCCAGTCACTGCAGAACAGCAACAAGGATTGTGGGCTGCAAAACGGCCACTGCTTCCCTTCTACTCCCACATCTCCCATGGGAAGCTGTCTGTAACCCACGCTAATAGAACACACCCAGAAAAAAGAATTCTGGAAAACGTAGGTCAACCTAGGCAAGCTGACACTTCACAAAGCCTCCATACTTAGTGAGCTAGAAGAAAGTGTCTCTGTTACAGAGAACACGAAGACTTAATTTTCTCAAATAAAAGATGATCTGAATGAATTGTTGTCCTGATAGCTATTTTTTTTTCTAAAAAGTAGTTCAAAATAACTAATATTTAGTGAGTGCTTGTTAGGCCCCAGGCATCATACTGAGCACCTCCTAGGTGCATATGCATTAACTTCCTAGGTGGCCTGCCTTCCTCCACTCTTGTCCCTCTACAATCCATCATCCACACCATGGCCTAAAACACCCATTAGATCATGCCACTCCACTGCTTACATCCTCCAGTGGCCTCCCTTTATGCACGGAATAAAATCCAGGTCCCAGCTGGTTCCATGAGCTCTCGTTCCTGTCCACTTCTCTGATCTCTCTCCATCATCATCCTCATACCTGGTGCTCCAGCCACACTGGCCTTCTGGCTGCTTCTTAAAATGTGAGGCTCATTGTTGATGTTCCCTTTGCTTAAATGGCTCTCCCTAGTATCTTTCTTCTCATCTTTCAGATCCCTGTAAAAAATAGTACTTTTTCAGAGAGGAATTCTCTGATCAGTGCATCTTTAAAAGTGTACACACACACACACACATACACACATACATACCCATCATTTACTTGAGCCCTATAGCATGGATTATTTTCTTGATAGAAAGCATCAGAATCTGAAATGATCTTGCTTATTTTCTTGTCTTATGTCTCCACCCCCACTAAAAGGTGAGCGTCAAAATGTTAGAGATGATAGTCAACCTTTGCTGTGTGACTGGAACAGGGCCTGCCATGTAGTGTGTCTCAATAAATATTTGTCGAATGAATGACTCTGTGATAAGTCTTCACAACAGTACTATAAAGTGGACATTTATCACCCTCCAGTTTTATAAAGGAAGAAACAAAGAATCAGAAAGGTGAGGTCAGCTTCTCAAAATAACCGGCTGGGGAGCACCAGAGCTGGGAGGTGAACCCATTTCTCTGTCCTGCCTCTCAGCTACTTAAGATAAAAAGCAATTCTAAGCTATATCTCAAATTATGCAACTATTCCAAAACTAGAGTTATCAATATTGTAGCTATTCCTTAACTTGGGTGCAGTGGCTCACGCATGTAATCCCAGCACTTTGAGAGGCCGAGGCGGGCGGATCACGAGGTCAGGAGATCGAGACCATCCTGGCTAACACAATGAAACCCCGTCTCTACTAAAAAATACAAAAAATTAGCCAGGTGTGGTGGTGTGCGCCTGCAAAAGGGAGGCAGTGGCCGTTTTGCAGCCCACAATCCTTGTTGCTGCTCTGCAGTGACTGGGCTCTGCAGGAGGCTGAGGCAGGAGAATGGCATGAACCCGGGAGGCAGAGCTTGCAGTGAGCTGAGATAGCACCACTGCACTCCAGCCTGGGCGACAGAACGAGACTCCGTCTCAAAAAAAAAAAAAAAAAAAAGCTATTTCTCATAAAAGACTACTTTGTGTGGTAACCCTGTTATAAACCCTCTGGTTAATCTTTGAGTTTACCCCACTTCCACTTCAACCAATACACACACTGAAAATCATTACTCAAAGTTAGATGTGTGTGTTTTGTTAAGCTTTACCTTGGCAAAGAAGGGTGTTGGATTTTTCCTGCCTTAAAGATCCTTGATGAAACCCTGCCTTTAACCTTGTTTCTCTTTCTTTTGTATATTGTGTTTTAACTTTATTCTATTTTGTTGCACTTTATGTGTCTTTTCAGGCCACCTAAATCCCCCTTAGTATAAGGCGAGCATAAATAATTAAATGAGACTACCTGAGTAGCAGGTATTATTCTGAGTAGCACTAGCAATCAATGGAGGTAAAATAATGAGATAAAATTTGAGTTTCAGCATTAAGAAGCCAGAGGGGTGGCCATTAAAATTGATGATCACAAAGAATGTAAAACTGCAAAGATGCTTACAGTGTAATGTGAGTAGGAAAGCTGAGTGTAAAATTGCATATTCAGTACTGCTTAGAACAATTTAAAAAATAAGACTGGAAGGAAATACAAATATACTCGGTTTTGTATAAATTGGAACTATGCAAATTGGAAAGAGTGTGATATACAAATGCAGTATCTCATTTTATAAATCAAACTTCATCAACATTTCAATGTTTCACTCTTCACGGCGGAGAATTGAAAGCTCATACAACACAAACAGTATACGGCAATAAACTCCCACACACCCATCACTCAACTTCAACAACCGTACATATTTTGTCATTCTTGTTCCATCGCTACACCTACTCTCCACCTTCAGGATTGTTTATCTGTTTAATTTACATAGATTGAAATTCAAAAATCTTAAATGTACAATTTTGACATCCATGGAACCGACTCCTCTTATTCCAGAAAGTTCCCTAGGATCCCTTTCCAGTCCACGTCCCTTACTCTGTTGCCTTCAACAGAGGCAACCGCTGTTGAAGTTTTCCACAATAGATTAGCTTTGCTAATTTAGAATGTCATTTGAATAGAATCACAAAATCCACACTCCTTTGTGTCTGACTTCTTTTGCTCAACATAAAGTCTACGGGATTCACCCAGGCTGTTGCCTCTGTCAGGAGCTTGTTCCTCTAATTTCTGAAATATGTTGTGTTAATTTGGTATTTTTTTTCCTCCTTGAATATTTAATGAAATTCACTAATGAGACCACTTGGGCTTGAAGAGTTCTTTGTGGTAAGATTTTTGATAATAAATTTAATTCTTTGGTAGGGGTAAGTCTATTCCTGTATCAGTTTTGGTAATTTGAGTTTTATAATGAATTTTTCCATTTCATCTACCTGGTTATATTTATTGTCATAAAGTTAACCATAGTATTCTTCTTTTAATTATTTTGAAAATTACATAATCTGTAATAATAATCCCTCTTTCATTTCCAGTGTTGATAATTTCTCTCCCTTTTTTTCTTAGTCATGCTTGCTTGAGGTTTATCTGTTTTGTTGATCTTTTCAGATAACTGACTTTTGACTTTATTGATTTTTTATTACATTAACTTCCGCTCTTCTCTTAATTTTTTGTTTATAGTTAACTTTCTCCTAGTCTTTATCTAAATTCGAAAAGTGGACAGTTAGATAATTAATTTTAGGCCTTTCTTCATTTTCTAATACATGTAAGCATTTGAAGCTATAGGTTTCTCTTCAGAAAGACCTATGATGAGAAAGAAAAAAAGAAAAAACAAAGCATCAAAGTCCTTGAGCAAACAAAAGGGAAGGGCACTCAGGACAGCAGTGGAAAGATTAAGTTTGGGTTAGTGGTGAAATACTCTCTTCTTTACCAAAGGAGGGAAAGAGGAGAGGATGGATAAAAATGAATAAACGTGGCCAGGCGTGGTGGCTCACACCTGTAATCCCAGCACTTTGGGAGGCCGAGGCGGGTGGATCACGAGGTCAGGAGATCGAGACCATCCTGGCTAATATGGTGAAACTCCGTCTCTACTAAAAATACAGAAAATTAGCCGGGCGTGGTGGCAGGCGCCTGTGGTCCTAGCTACTCCGGAGGCTGAGGCAGGAGAATGGCGTGAACCCAGGAGGCGCAGCTTGCAGTGAGCGGAGATCACGCCACTGCATTCCAGCCTGGGTGACAGAGTGAGACTTCGTCTCAAAAAAAAAAAAAAAAAAAAAAAGAATAACACATTTGCTGATGGGAAGTTGAGCACATTCTTATCTCATGGTTTGCATGTTCTCAGCAGGTATGAGGAGAGATCACCAACTGAGAGTGTGGGAGAGGAGACAGTGGGGACGGAAGGAGCAGAAAGGAAATGCTGTAAAACAGTCATGTTAGGGTGTGGAGAAGGGGATTTGGCAATTAAGGAGGACCGATGCATCAGTGGTGTGGAGTGCTTATGTGAGAATAATGGCTGTGATGTCTAAAGCAAAGCAGTTAACCTGGATCTGTGATTGTTTTTACCCAAAACTCAGCTGCTCATGTGCAGGCAATTTAGAAGGCAGCTATATGGATTGAGCCAGGGCTGGAATTTACCAAGTGAGCAAGGCAGTGGGGTTGGGGGATGGGGGACAGGTTTCCAGGGGACTGAAGGTAATATTTATGAAGAGGTGATTAAACTGAGCCATGAATTTGTAGCTGGGCAAGTAGAGAAGTGGGGATGAAGTTTGGAAGTCTCAACAAAATCAAAGGATTGTAGCATTGGGAATGCTGGAGTTAAGGACCTAGAAGTGGCATATACAGGCTCAAACCTTTAAAGTTGGGGTTTTGAGTTGAGGGAGATCTGGTTACCAGAGATGACAAGGAACAGATGTGACCATGGAAGAGGATAGAGGATGTAGAGTTGAAAAATATATTTGGAGGGGGTGAATCAAGGGACTCAGAGGCTAGAGGACGCTTTATGGTTCATCAGCACAGGGGTAGCGTAGACAGGATAAGTGAACAGCTAACACCTTCAGTGAGTGGTGGAGTGACTGGCAGGATAACAGATGGCAGGAAGGAGAAGGGAGAGAGACTGACAGAGCTAAGTAGCATGAGTTGAAATAAGAAAGGATTTGCAGGAGACAGGTGGGGGTGGTGAATTAGGAAGATATGGAAAGTGACCCTGAGGTCTTGGGCTGCGAGAGAAAACTCAGCCTCAGCTTGAGTGGCTTTCAGAGACACTAGGGCCTTCAA